>NC_000008.11:1571425-1873710 GCF_000001405.40 Homo sapiens | reverse complement strand
CTACCCCGCGGGCACCGCTCAATGAAACGAGGAAATGCGGGTGCACTACCCCGCGGCACCTCTCAAGGCAACTAGGAAATGCGGGTGCACTACCCCGCGGGCACCTCTCAAGGCAACTAGGAAATGCGGGTGCACTACCCCGCGGCACCTCTCAAGGCAACTAGGAAATGCGGGTGCACTACCCCGCGGGCGCCTCTCAAACGAGGAAATGCGGGTGCACTACCCCGCGGGCGCCTCTCAACGCAACGAGGAAATGCGGGTGCACTACCCCGCGGGCTCCTCTCAATGCAACTTGATGCCAGCACACTGTGACTTTCTCCTCTTGCTTTTGCTTTTTGCTCACCATTGCTTCTGAGTTCTTATAAACATACACACATATAATTTCCTCGTTTTTCTGCTGCCGTGCTGTGGGTGGTTTACTGGATACTTCTGCACGGTGCCCTCCTGCAGCCACCAGGCTTTCCCGTCTCCCGGTCCGCACAACAGCTCTGCACAGAGCATCCCACAGGGCCCTCCTGCGGCGGCGTGAGTTTCTTTCGGAAACTGGCTCCCTGCCCCACCACCGCTATGGATGGCCGGTCCATTAACTCCTGCTTGTGCTGTCCTTACAAAGGGGACACACTGGGCCTCGCCACACGGCAGGGGGCCGACGGCTGGACTCCCGCAGTGTGTTGGCTTCTGAGTCACCAGACCACGCCTTCCGCGAGGAATGCCCGAAGCGACCGGATAAATTACCCCAAAATGCATTTCAAACTTGTTTTTACATCAACTAACCTTTGGTCCTCACTTTCTTTGTGGCACATTTACCTGCAAGCACCTAGGAGTTTTCCTGATCAACAGGATGAAATCACCCTATCTCCATGACAGCAGGCACACCTCCATCTACTATTCGGTATGTAACTGCCCAAAACATATTTGCGGAATGAATAAATTAACGAACGCCGTGAGCTCCTCCCCATTACGTTGGCGGTAGATTTTAAGAACACGTCCTTAATTCAGCTAAGTGAGTTTCCTTCTATCAGCAGTTTTTAATGTTGGATGGTCACTGAATCTCAGCAAGTGCTTTTTAAACACATGCTGAGATAAGCATATGGGTTTATGTCCATCAATTTGGGGAAATCGTGTTACAAGAGCTTCTCAAAGGATCCTTGAACTGCTGCCATGAATGTAAAAGGTTAAAACAGGCTCTTGCTTACTTGTTAGGGTCATGCTGGATTCAACTTCCTGACATTTCTGGAAGGAAATGTAGCATCAACCTTCGCAGGTGAGGGAGTTTACAAGTTTCTGCTAACATTATAAACTAATTCTCACCTCATCCTTGCTTCTGCTATTCACTGGAACAGTGCATGCGACTGAGGGGTTTGTCCGCTCCCTGAAGGCTCAATAAACCCCAGCATAAAAACATCTGAGCCTGGTGGGCTGTTCTGCACAGTAGTTAAGCAAACCATTCATTATGTTGGATCATTATAGGTTTATTCATGGTTTTTATTTTGGGTATAGTTGATTCTTCAAGGCAATTTTTAATTTCATCTAACTTTTTGATAAAAAGTTATTTATAGCATCCTCTTATGATTTTTACAAATTTCTACTGCAGTTACATCCTCTTGATCAACTTTTTCCTTCCTTCCTTTCCTTCCTTCCTTCTTCCATCCCTCTCCCCTCTTTCTCTGTGTCATCTTAATATAACCAGAGGCTTGTCTATTTTTGTACTATTTTTAAAGAACCAACCTTTGGTTTTGTTAATACTTTATGTTGCTTCCTGGATTTTTATTTCATCATTTTTGCCTTGCCCATTATTTTTTTCCTGCCACTTCCTTTGACTCTGCTGCTCTTTCGTGCAGCTGGCTGGATACTCAGTTCACTGCTCTCTGTTGTTTGTTTTGTTTTGTTTTTTCAGAGGGAGTCTCGCTCTGTTGCCCAGGCTGGAGTGTAGTGGTGCAACCTCGGCTCACCGCAACCTCCACCTCCCGGGTTCAAGTAATTCTCTGTCTCAGCCACCCGAGTAGCTGGAATTACAGGTGCCTACCATCATGCCCGGCTAATTTTTGTACTTTTAGTAGAGATGGGGTTTCACCATCTTGGCCAGGCTGGTCTTGAACTCCTGACCTCATGATCCACCCGGCTCGGCCTCCCAAAGTGCTGGGATTACAGGTGTGAGCCACCGCGCCCATTCTGTTTTATTAACATATGCCATTATGTCTATAATTCCTTAGACTTTAAAATCTATCCCATATAGTTTATGTAATGTTTTTATTATTATTCAAGACAAAATATTTTCATTTCCATTTTATCTTTGACCATGAGTTACAGAGTAGTATATCATTTTTAATTTCTAAATGTTTGTATTGATTTTTTTTTACTGATTTTATTCAGTTATTATGAGGAAATAAGGTCTGAACATCCATTCTTTGGCATTTGTTAATATTTGTTTTGAGGCATACTATATAGTTAATTTTTTAAAATATTTCATGTGTTTAAAAAAATACATATTCTGGAACTACTTGCTTCAAAGATCTGTATATGACCTTCAAGTCAATCATACTACATTGCTGTTCTAATCTTTTATGGTTTACTGATTTTTTTTTTTTTTTTTTTTTTGACACAGAGTTTTCACTCATTTCCCAGGCTGGAGAGCAGTGGCACAATCTCGACTCACTGCAGCCTCCGCTTCCTGGGTTCAAGTGATTCTCCTGCCTCAGCCTCCCAAGTAGCTGGAATTACAGGCGCCCGCCACCACGCCTGTCTAATTTTTGTATTTTTAGTAGAGATGGGGTTTCACCATGTTGGCCCGGCTGGTCTTGAACTCCCGACCTCAAGTGATCCATCCACCTTGGCCTCCCAAAGTGTTGGGATGACAGGCGTGAGCGACCGTGCCTGGCCGGTTTACTGATTTTATGTCCAGGATCTGTCAATAGCAGAGACAGTTTTCTTAAAATCTCTCACCCCAACAGCGTATTTACATATTTCTGATTAAGCCTTGTTATATTTTGCTTATATATCTTAAGGCTATGCTGTTAGGTGCATATGAGTTTAGAACTGTTATATATCTTCCTCATGAATTATTCCTTGCTTATGGCTTAACATTTAGTGTATTATTATAGTTATACTGACAATACTTTGGTTAGAATTTGCATTATATTTCTTTTTCCATCCATTTACTTACAAATCTTCTGTACTCTTATGTATCTCTCACAAGAATTTATGGCTAGCTTTGCTATTTTATCCAATCTGAGGATTTCTTTTACTGGCAATAGGATGCACTTTACTATGCGTACCAATATGTTTGTACTTATTTTGCAGTCTTTTCTCATATGATTTGCAAAGCTTTCTTATTTTATATTTTCTTGCATTTACCAGATTGGGTTTTGCACTACTGGTTTCAAAGTTAAAATAATCTATTCCTATTTTCTTAGCAGTTACCCATAAAACGCAAACTGGACCAATCCATAGCAAAAAAAAAAAAAAAAAAAAAAAAAATCGGTAACAAGATCCTCCCCCTGAAAAATGCCGACTTCAGAACTTCAGAACACACGGCATGAACGGTCACCCTCCTCTTCAGTCGGCACTGGCTGGGGCTCCGGCTGCATCTGAAACTCAATCGGCACTATCAGCGCTGTCTTGAGCGGTGCTGGTATCGACTCTCCACACGCCCGACACTTCCCGGGCTCCCCACTCCCTCCGGGCCCCTGTCACCTCCTCCGTGGTTCAGTGTGCTCTTCCCTGCAGCGAGTGCATCATTAACTATTTCCTTAGATTCTATGGGCAGCAAGCTCCCCCGCTCTGCCTCCTGCGGCCCATCGCCCTTTCTAAAGGACTGTACTTTGCTGGACGTGGCCGCTCAGGTTAAAAGAGCCACGTCCTTCTTCGCTTTGAGAACCCGCCCCCAGCCTGTGGGTCAGTGGAATAGCGGTTCCTGTGTAGGCAGCCATGTTTTCTCTCCAGTTGCTCTCGGGAGATTCACCCTGGGCCTGGTGCTCCGCGGCCTCCATTGCATCGGCCTAGGTATGGATCAACGTGTAATTCATCTTGCTTTGAATCTCTATGTCTAAAATCTGAGAATTTATGTTTTTCTTTAATTGTAGAGAATTCTTAGTTATTTCTTTGACTATTACCTTTGCCTGATTCTCTCTACTTTCTCACTGATGTCATTTATTCGATATACATTGCTGCTTCTCAGCCTCTGTGTTTCCTACCTCTTTGCCGGCATTTTCTGTACCTTTACTCCTCTGTTTGCTTGGGATAAGTAAGATTAAACTGCCCTATTTCAAGGGTTATAAGCACACACACATATGTGCACAAACACCAATATTCCACCACACATCAATAAGCCATTCTAGAAGCAACATACAAAACATGAATACAGAAAACGTCTGGGCCGTCCACTAAATAGTCACTTTGGCATCCAGAGGGAAAGGCTGCTGAGCTGAATCTCCTCAAATCAATTCCAGACAAAATCAAACCTGGTTCAGAGTCTGAGTTTTCCCTTGGAACGTCATCGTAAATTGCTTCCTCTGGATCTGCAATAAACGGGGAGAAACACTTTAAACAGTGACCAACAAAACCTAGTGCAATTTAAATTTTACAGGGCCACAGTCGCCGATGATGTCATGATTATTCAAAAAGTTGGTTTATAAGGGTAGTTTTTTTTTTATTTTTTACTTTTTCGTTCTTTGTCCCAACTAGTAGACAATGAGGGCTGTAAGGTAGCTAACAGCACCTTACCAAAGCATAAGCATTATTTTTAGGGCAGAATAATTTATTGGGAATGAAGGATGTCTCTTTAAATGGACCAGCTGTAAAATGTCACTAGGAAGGAGTTTTATGGTTTCCAGGTCAAACTTATTCTATGATTTTGTGTTCAATTACACACTTCTATATGGCTCTCTGACGAGTATTTTAAGCTTATGAAGTTGACGTTCTGACGCACAAAAAAATACAACGGTGGCACACAGACTTCCAGAAATAAGAAAAGAGCCCATCAGTGCTGGATACAATGGAAAACCATCCCAATAAACCAATGACACCATAATTTTGTGCCACTGAAAGTAAAAAGTAGTAGCAAGTATCAAAATGCTAAACATATAGGACAGTGTTTCTCAATCTGTATCACGTGCAACACTGGGGTTCTGTGAAAGTGAAACCGTTTCATAAAAAAGAAGGCAAGTTCTGTAAGCAAAACCGTGCTGTATGAGATGACCACACAGGACACCAACAATGAGCCTGAGGTTTACTCAAATATCTGTAAGAGTTACACGCTTCACATGAAAATCCGTTTCATAAAAAGACCTTTAAATCGAGGTTCCACTCATTGACTAGCGGTGCCCTCCCTGCAAGAGAACGTCCAAACTATGACATATGACTGCATCAAAAACATACAGACAACCGCTTCCTCAGCCACATAAGACAGAAAATGAGACCAACAAACCCGAACTCTCCCCTGACATCCAGCCACCACTCCTGTCCCCACACTAGCAGGAAATAAAAATTCAGGAAAATTCCTTATCTGCTGCTGTTGTCAAGCTCCAGTATTACAGACGCTCTTTCTTTTAATAGCATTTACTATCTGCAACCACAGTAAAGATTTCTACTCCTCTTAGATAATGTTCAGAGACTGCTAGTTTAGAGATCATATTTCCAAATATAGTTATTCCAATTCACTGCCATCTGGGTAATAAAAATGAGTAATGAGAAAAAAATCAGACAAATTTTACCTCGGAAATAAAACTGTTAGCAAACAGCCAAGACAATAATTTAATCCTGTAACGATCCTGCTTTAATAGGCACACAGCGGAATCATCTAATTACACTAAGATCTTTGTTTTAACAACGTCATAATTGAAACCAGAATGAAAACTTCCAGGAGGCAGTTTAATAATCAGGAGGTAACTAAGATGGTTCTACCTTGTAAGTTGATCATATGAAACAGTAACATAGAAATTAGTGAGCCAGTGGATAATGAGAGGCATAATCAGGAAAGTAATCTTGCTTTTCCTTTAAAAATTAAAAAAAACAAGTAAATCTAGCTAAAAATCTTTCAGCCTTTGAAGCCGCAGGTGGGACTGCAGATCTGGCCACCTGGAGGGGGGCTGGCTCAGCCAACTTAAAGGGAGAAAGAATGCCTTTAGGTTTACTCTGAATTGTACGGAAGCTGGAGCCGCGTGTTGGAAATGCGCTCGCTTTAATCCACACAGAGACGGGACATAATCCTACAGGTTTAAATGTACATAAAAATAGAGTTTGGAATTCTTTGCTCTGTTTACGTTGCAGACTGCTCTCATTTCAAGGAGTGAGATTATAAATAAAATGATGCACTTTTGGATGTTTCCTGTTTTTGAAATCTAAACACGAATCATTCACGTGACCAAAAATTGTGTTTTTGTCAAAATACATGTCTAGTCTGTCCTTTAAGTAATAGTTCTCTTAAATAAGCTGTGATATTAATCAGATCATTACCAATTAGCTTTTCAAGCACATTTGCTTCAGGCTATTGTTTTGGAAAAATACGCTACAGAACTTATTTTTAAGTTACAAATAAATAAGAGGCTACTAAATGTTTTGGAATCTGTTGTTTCTGCCAAAGGTAAATTAACAAAACATTTATTCGGGAATCCCCATTTAAATTTGTACGATTAGATAAAAGAAAACACCAAGTTATGTAAAATAAAGTGTGTATGGGACAAAAAAAAAAAAAAAAGGGAGGCCCACCCGCCCCCTCTTCAAAACGGGTGCCAGACACTGCATCTCCCTGGGAATCACAGGCAAGCGCAGGGTGGGCGTGTGGGTGGTGGCTGACCATGGCTGCAGGTCAGAGTTTCTGTTACCCACATATCTCACTGTTACCATAATAATAAAGCCTGTGCTAGAAAGAAACGACCAGGAAGAGTGAGTGCGTGGACGTGGAGAGCTGGGGTGGCCTCACGGGAAGTGACAGCTTCAGGGAACCCGGGGAAACTTCTGCACAGTCAGCCCATGTTACTATTTTCAGTAAATAAACATCTTTTTAGAGTTTTAGATCTGATGGGACCTGAGACTCAGGGACCCGGCCCCGCCGCAGTGACGTCTGTGGAGCGTGGTGAGGATTCTGGCTGTGGGCAGCTGGGGAACTTACTCTCCATCCAGGCTGTGTTGGCCGGGTCTGCGGCCCAGCGGGCAAGTGCGCTGTCCTCTCGACCGACTTGATCTTCACTTAAAGAAAACAAACCATAAAGTCAGAATATCCAGGCACAGCCCAAGTCACTAGGATGCCAACTGCCCTGCAGAGTGTGTGTGTGTGTGTGTGTGTGTGTGTCAGAATATATATATATATGTTACTATACAGGAAATCACATATTTTCCCAGCTATTATTATAGGACATCCCAAGTTCAAGCTTTCACTCATAACTCTGTAAATAAGTATTCCAGATGTTTGGCCTACGCACGGCACAGAACACGGGCAAGGGCAATACAGCCGCAATACGGTCCTTGCCCTAGAAGGCCTGAACTGTCTTCTGGTTTTTCAGCCACCCCTTTGAGGACCTCTTAGGCCCTGCTCACAACGCTGGGTGGGAGAGATGCCAGCGGGCAATGGGCCGTCTCCATGTCCAGGAGCAGGTCAGTGGGAGAAAGAGATGCAAGGCCACCCAGCATAAACCATGGTGCTCTGCCCCCAGCGGGTGGTCACATGGGCCACCAGAGTCCCACACACACAGGGACTGCGGTGTCATCCTTTGCAATGGGTAGCTACGGGAATGCTCCACTCGGAAGGATGATGAGGTCAGACTCACTGCACACACCAAGCATCGCCCCATGAGAGGCACCACTGCTGACAAATGAGATGCACCAGGGATCAGTCGTCCCGACACCGCGTCCTGTGGGGAGCTGTGCAAGGATGAGCCCGGTGGCAGCGCAGAGACACTGCTGGGAAGGCCAAGACCGGAAGCAGAGTGAGCACCCAGAGACGTGTATGGAAGGCCTCGGAAAATGTTCCTATGGGAAGGGTCACTAACGGAATCACGTGATAATCCGTGCAGAGCACCCCACGATGACGACTTCTCAAGCAAAAGCTCTAACAGGCCCCAAGGTACCTGCAGGACCTTGAGGATGAGGGAAGAGAGCCCGTGTCCTGGTGATGGCCCTGTGGGTGCTGCGGGATGCCCCATGCCCTGATGACGGCCCCCTGGGTGCCGGGGGACGCCCTGTGTCCTGGTGACGGCCTCATGGGTGCTGGGGGATGCCCCGTGTCCTGGTGATGGCCCCCTGGGTGCTGGGGGATGCCCCATGCCCTGGTGATGGCCCCCTGGGTGCTGGGGGATGCCCCATGTCCTGGTGACCACCCCCTGGGTGCTGGGGGATGCCCCGTGTCCTGGTGATGGCCTCATGGGTGCTGGGGGATGCCCTGTGTCCTGGTGACGGCCCCCTGGGTGCTGGGGGATGCCCCATGTCCTGGTGATGGCCTCATGGGTGCTGGGGTCGCCCTGTGTGCTGTGCTGTGCACCTGTGAAATTAGGATGCAGCCCCCTGCTCTGAGAACTTATCACATCACCAAGGAGCATTCTTGCACTTTTAAAGTTTAAAATAATATCAAAACAAAAAGTTACCTAAAAAGGTAAAAGAAAATCTGAATCAAACAGAAACACTATTTTAAACTATTCATAACTATTTCTATGTTTGAAAAATTTCATCCTTTTGAAGATCATTTAAGGTTTTCCTCACACTACATTCTATATACATTTTCTTCAAAATAATTCCTATTTTCAATGCACATATTTTTCACAATACATTTTAGATCACCAGTGATAACACGCTACCACTAATTTTTAATTTTACATAAAATCTGCAATTTCTAATGGAGAACCGTGGCTGGACCTACCTGGTGGCACAACTCTGTTTAAACTGGGGCAAGAGCACTGCTCTAGTGGCTGCTGCTCCCCAGATACCCCACCCGCCTGCAGGCGGTTTCACGGGGGACGCTTTACCCTGCAAAGGCCGCCTTCATGATAGAAAGGAGAAAAGCAAATGAGGGAAAGCAACAGCAGGGCCGTGACAAGGGCCAAGCCTGGACACACCTGGACGCCTGAAATCAGACCCAGTTATCAGACCCTCAGTCCACTCGTCCTGACCCTACATTTCCAGGGACACTCGCCTGGGAGGGACCCGAGGCAGGAGGTGGGGTTGGGACAGCTCCCGCCGCGCAGAGCTGAGGATGGCGGGCAGGGACACACACCAGGATCCCCACGTCCAGCTCCTCAGGAGAAAGGCGGGAATTCAGCAGGTGTGGGAAGACGGATGCAGATACCTGGTTGGAGGCTCCTCGGAACTCAGAGAATTGGGCTGGCGATCTTCTGTGACTTCTGGTGTTTCTGCTGGGAAAGAAAATATGTGATGCTGCTTTACGCCTGACAAAAATGCTCATGAAGTTGATGTTTTTACCCTTAAAAATGGTTTCACACTTTCCTATCAATCAGAGGCTTATCTTAGCATAAGGGTGATTAATAAACTTAAAAATTTTTAGCTCTTAGATAAAATGTATTCAAGACTGGAATCTAATAAAATGTGATCTACTGAGGGCTTGTGAAACAGCCAGAAATAAACTGCACCAGCACCCAAATGCATCAGGCTAGAGTTAGAAAGAAACGGGATGTTCTCTCCCACTCCACATGTGCATGGGAGCCACGGCTGTGACCGGCACCCAGATGCATCAGGCTAGAGTTAGAAAGAAACGGGATGTTCTCTCCCACTCCATGTGTCCACAGGAGCCACGGCTGTGACTGGCCTGAAGGGGCATCCGCCTGGCACGCTCAAAAGATGTTCAAGAGAGGAGTGGTTACGCTTGTGACATGTGACACCAGCTTTCACTGGCACACGCTCACATCCCTCCACACGCAAATACACGCGCAGTCCGACCCGCCTGACGATTCCTCCCTGCCTGTCTGTGGCTCTCCAGGGTGAACGGTGAGCCGTGAGCAAAGCCGCAGTGCAGGTTTCCCAAACATTCCACACAGGTGGGGTACGAACTTAGACCATCCAAGGACAGCCTGAGACGCCAGTGCAGAAGAAGCAGACCCTCCCACCTCGGAGGGCTCCTGGGCAGAAGCCAGCCAGAGTCTGTGATGGCTGTACTGCGTGGGTGCGGGCCACGTGGTCCCTTGACGAATCTGCCACCGCCCAGCCGCGTGGCACCAAGAATGATGTGGGGAAGGAGAGCCAGCAGCACTCAGCGGCTGCTGCTCATCGCCACACTGGCAGCTGTCCATGAAACACTTTCTAAAGGGAATTTATCTTTGGAATGAGCAACAGTTCTCAACCGTTTTCAAACCGCAGCAGTTGGCTCAAAGTCGGAGACAGCTGAGCTCGATGTAACCTGCTTGGAGGTCTCATCCCTGAAAACAGGTCCCTGGTCACACCAGGAGCTGCCACACAGCTGGATGCTGACTAGCAACAGACACGAGATGCCCGAGGGGCTGGGGGGGTGGATCTGCGGGTAGCGCTGCAAATCCCACATGCATCTGCTGGTTCAGTGTTCCGGGCCACCTTCCTGAGTGGCAGGTGTCAGGGCAGACACAGGGCCAGGATCTGAAATCCAATCTGCCTGCTCCAAAAACTGCCCTTCCCACACTGCCACACTGCCTCAAAGAAACACCCAAAGATCCAGCTGGCCGCGGTGGCTCATGCCTGTAATCCCAGCACTTTCGGAGGCTGAGGCGGGCGGATCACGAGGTCAGGAGATCAAGTCCATCCTGGTCAACATGGTGAAACCCTGTCTCTACTAAAAAAAAAATACAAAAAATTAGCCGGGCGTGGTGGCGGGCGCCTGTAGTCCCAGCTACTTGGGAGGCTGAGGCAGGAGAACGGTGTGAACCCGGGAGGCGGAGCTTGCAGTGAGCCGAGATCCCGCCACTGTACTCCAGCCTGAGCGACAGAGCGAGACTCTGTCTCAAAAAAAAAAAAAAAAAAAAAGAAGAAGAAAAAAAGGAAAAGAAACACCCAAAGAGCCACAAAGCTTTTACTTGTGTTTTGCAGAGGGACAAAGGCAGGACGTGCTGCCCAGCAGCAATCTCGCTGCACGGTGAGAAATGTCTCCCCCACGGGGGTGTCCAGGAGCACAGACTCCCATCCCCAGAGCACACACATGAGCCCTCTCAGGGCTCCACCCCAGGAAACTCTTCTTTCCTCCGCCTTCCGGGAAATTAAGGTGCAAACTGAGTCTGTCAAGGTCAGAAGGAGGCAGACACGCTGGCCAGGGAGTCGCCTAAACAGCTCCGAGCAGCAGCGCACCCAGAGGCTTCTGGCCACAACAGCCCGTGCGTAAACAAGAGCAGGACCTGCCTGTGGACGTCTTTGAGAGCTGGTTTCGGTAGGCAGGAAAAATAACGGAATCTGGTCATCCCAGTTTGGCCAGCTGGGAGCTCCAGGCAGGGCTCTGCAACCTCCCACCGCAGGCCTGGGGATCCTGGCTGGGCTGTACGTCCCGGGGAAGCCCTGCAGAGCCAGGCGGCCGCCCCGCCCCAGGGAGGCTCCAGAGCAAGGAACAGAAAAGCCAGCAGTGCCACCAGGCAGGAAGTGTGGGCCAGGCTGGGGACCGGGCCTAACACCAAATCCACGCTTTTCCACCTCCCAGGAAGGAGGTCTGCGTTCACATCCCTCATTCAATGATCAAAACGCAACCGGAGAACCACCTGCTCCTCTACTCCGGGACTTAAAATAGTCTTTATTAGAACAAGGCTTTATTACTGGCTCTAGGTTGACAGAACAAAAATAAGCAAATTGTTTTAAATTCATGCTAAGTTATTTTAAAAATAAATTAAATGATATGCAATTATTTTAAATAATCAAATAATATTTTAAAATAAGAAAATCACTTTAAAACAAACGTATTTTCCTTCAGCCAAGAATCCTACACTCTGCACGCCCTCATTTCCAGGGGGTTCTCATGCTCCGCGGTCACAGAGTGACAACAGCAGCGTGGATCATGCAGACCGTGGTGAGTTCCGAGGACTCTGGCCGACTTCAACAGGAAAACGCACAGGAGGCCGTCTATTCTGAAACCTCTGTGTTTCCCAAAATCCAAAATTGAGATTTTTCTTTAAGGATTTTTTTTTCTCAACTGTTATTAACTGGAAAGGGAAGGCTGCTTCCACTGAAACCTTTACAGGAATAAGAATCATGTCTCAGGCGTAGAGGCTGTGGGCTTCCATTAGAGGAACATCCCATGAACCCTGGGAATCCTGCAGCGCGTTCCTGGGAAAGACAGCATAGAAACAGATCTGGGCAAAAAAGGAAAACTTCGGCTGAGACGCCTCGACTGGGTCGCTCCTGAAGACAGAGGCAGGGTATGTGCTTACCCTCACCCTGGCGCCTGGCCCTACAGCAGGGCCGGCAGGAGGCCCCAGCCCTTGGGCTGCAGTCGAAGCAGCCACGGACTGCACGCTGTCCTTCCAGCAGAACCCTGTGGCTCTGCAGACACAGCTGGTGCGTGACTACACATGGCAGGGCCATGTAAGGACAGCAGAGAACGGGCTCCACCAACCAAGCCCCTTCTAGAGCACATGGCCACTCCTTCTCACTAAGTGGAGGAGGAAGCAGACTCGAAATGGAGCTGTCAGCGCTGAGGACACAGAGACCGGAGGTGAGCGAGGCACCCACGAGGGCACCCACAGTCCTCGCTCGGAGCATGTCCTGGCTACAGGGAACACCGTCCTCAGTGGCCGACTCTGAGCCCTTTGTGCTGCCCCAGGTGGCTCTGACCTTCCACTGAGGACTCTGCTGAGATCCTGCGGCATCTTCCCGGCGAGGAAAAGCATGAGTGGGAAACAGGGAGCCCCTGAGGCAATTCTCCCACCCCCACCACCCCTCCATCCTCTGGAATGAAGACAGCGAGACACACGCTTTGACCCCAGGGAGTCTGAGTCTATAGACAAGCAGGTGACACGGGACATACATAACGGTAACTGTCATCTAGCACAGTAAGTCATACAGGCCAAAAACTGCACACACTCCCGTGAGCAGCTGGTGGGGGAATCAGAGATCGGGGTGAAGTTCAAGGCACCCCAGACATGAGGGGGCAACACATTCGGCACCAGACGTTGTTTCAAAAATTTCCAAACCATACACCCTGGCCTTCCCTCAGTGGTGTTCCTGTCACTGAAGATGAACTAGGGGCTCATTTTCCAACTCTGTAAACAAACATCTAATGACCTGGGTGGGGGCAGGGGGAAGGTCAGGCCCGGACTCTACGGAACCACAGGCCACATCAGGGGCATGGAGAGGAGGAGGAGGGAAGGTCAGGCCCAGACTCTACGGAACCACAGGCCACATCGGGGGCATGGAGAGGAGGAGGAGGGGGGAAGGTTAGGCCCGGACTCTACGGAACCACAGGCCACATCGGGGGCATGGAGAGGAGGAGGAGGGGGGAAGGTCAGGCCCGGACTCTACGGAACCACAGGCCACATCCGGGGCATGCAGAGGAGGGAACCACAGGCCACTTCGGGGGCGTGGAGAGGAGGGAACCACAGGCCACTTCGGGGGCGTGGAGAGGAGGGTAGCAGTACCTTCTTCGTCCAGGGACGTGGCGCAGATGATGACCGGGCTGGAGTAGGCGGGCAGCAGGAGGGGCAGGTTGGAGGGCACCGCATAGCCGCAGGGTACAGGCACCAAGTACCCGCAGGGCACATGGAGACCCACATTCTCCTCCTCAGCGCTGGGCACGGGGGTGGGCGGCTGGTCCTCCTGGAATGGCGTGATGTCGATGACAGAATATGGGTTGACTTTCATCGGGAGCACCAGCTTAGTAGGCTCTGCCACTGGGGTGGTTTCTGCTCCAGCTCCATCCTCACCTCCTGGGGATGCAGAAAGGACTTGTCAGCAGACACATCACCAAGGGCATGGCAGGCATGCCCTCCTGGAGCGCAAGTGGGAAGCAGGTATGAGCTCCCACCATCATCCCATGCCAGGACCCCTAGACGTTCCCAGGTCATCAGGTGGCCTCGGAGGGAGCACTCACACATGGGGAACCCAGCATCACCTCTGGGCACAGGTGAGACGGATGCAGCCTGGTCACTACAGGAGGCTCATCCCATGAGCTAAGTCAGGGAGAAGCTGCCGGAGGAGGGCAGCTGCTCCCCTCACCAAGAGTCTGGTGCTACACACAAAGAAACACCATGCAAGCTGAGAGGCGGGTGCTGTGCACAAAGAAACGCCATGCAAACAACCGAGAGGCTGATGCTATGGCCAAAGAAACACTGTGCAAACAACCGAGAGGCTGGTGCTATGCACAAAGAAACACCATGTAAGCAGAGAGGCGGGTGCTGCGCACAAAGAAACACCGTGCAAACAACCGAGAGGCAGGTGCTATGGCCAAAGAAACACCGGGCAAACAACCGAGAGGCTGGTGCTATGCACAAAGAAACACCGTGTAAGCAGAGAGGCGCGTGCTGCACACAAAGAAACACCATGCAAACAACCAAGAGGCAGGTGCTATGGCCAAAGAAACACCGGGCAAACAACCGAGAGGCAGGTGCTATGGCCAAAGAAACACCGGGCAAACAACCGAGAGGCTGGTGCTGTGCACAAAGAAACACCGTGTAAGCAGAGAGGCGCGTGCTGCGCACAAAGAAACACCGTGCAAGCAGAGAGGCGGGTACTATGCACAAAGAAACACCGTGCAAACAACCAAGAGGCAGGTGCTATGGCCAAAGAAACACCGGGCAAACAACCGAGAGGCTGGCGCTACGCACAAAGAAACCATGCAAAGAACCGAGAGGCTGGTGCTACGCACAAAGAAACACGGTACAAGCCAAGAGGTGGGTGCTATGCACAAAGAAACGGCATGCAAACAACCGAGAGGCTGGTGCTGCACCCAAAGAAATGCCGTGCAAGCAGAGAGAAACACTGTGCAAACTGACAGGCTGGTACTACACCTGAAGAAACACCGTGCGAGCCAAGAGGAACGCTGCCAAACTGAGAGGCTGGTACTACACCTGAAGAAACACCGTGCGAGCTGAGAGGCGGGTGCTACACAGGAAGAAACACTGTGCAGGCTCTCCCACCACTGCCTGACCTGAGCAGTCCCTCTGGTCAGCGAATGAAAGCACCCAACCCACCTCCAAACTTAGAAAGCGAAACCTCTACAGCTACTTCATCCCACATGTTCTGAATATTTCTTTTAATCTAGTGATACAATGATGAGGTCATTCTTATTGGGAAATAGCAATACTTTTTCTTTGCAAAATACAAAGGTAGAGTGAAAAGGTTGAAAATTATGGAAAATAGTACAAAGAGAAGAAACTTAGCCAATCTTAAATTAAGTCCTTTCAGGTACATCATGAAGAAATCATAACTCTCTGGCTCCTAGAAATCATCCTTTCCCTACAATGTTCCAATTGGGCCGTAAGAATGGGGAGAAAATCGGCGAGTCCGATGGCTGAGCACAGGTGACCCTGATGCCGGTGATCTGCGGACTCACCTGGGAACCCCCCAGGGGACTCACCTGGGGACCCACCTGGGGACTCACCTGGGGACTCACCTGGGAACTCACCTGGTGACTCACATGGGGACCCACCTGGGGACTCACCTGGGGACCCACCTGGGGACTCACCTGGGGACCCTCCTGGAAACTCACCTGTGGGTGCAGGGGCTTCACTGGCTCCAGCACCTCCTGTCTCAGGGGCGGATGGGGCCTGTCTGTCCGCTTCTGGGATTTCATCTCCACTGTCAAAATCGAACTGTTCTCCCTCTTCCTCTTCATTATTATTGGTATCATATTTCATTTCATTTTCTAAAAAGAAAAACCAAAACCACATCAAGGAGAGATAGATAGATAGATAGATAGATAGATAGATAGATAGATAGATAGATCGATCGATCTATGTTAGCCAGAGACACTGACTAAGTTCCTCTGTGCTGTACTGCGCTTGTAGTTAACCTTTTTAAGGGGCAAAATAAGTATCATTAGAATTCTGAGTCACTGGTTTTTATTTTCTTTTAATAGGATCTACAACTCACAGAGAAGAAACAAGAGGCTGGGGGTGGTAGCTCACATCTGTAATCCCAGCACTTTGGGAGGCCAAGGTGGGCAGATCACAAGGTAAGAAGCTTGAGACCAGCCTGGCCAACATGGTGAAACCCCATCTCTACTAAAAATAAAAAAATTAGCCAGGCGTGTTGGCGGGCACCTGTAATCCCAGCTTCTCAGGAAGGTGGGGCAGGAGAATGGCTTGAACCCGAGAGGCGGAGGTTGCAGTGAACCGAGATTGCACCATTGCACTCCAGCCTGGGTGACAGGGCAAAACTCTGTCTCAAAAAAAAAAAAAAAGAAAAGAAAACAAGAGAAAGTAAGGGGAAAAAAGAGCTTTTCACATTTTAAATCTGTGCACCCAGCAGATGAACATCACCCGGCTGGGCTGATGGTCTGGAAGAGAATTCAGTATCATCCACTTTACTTTTAGAAATAACTTCTGACACCTTGCATCTCTCCCTAGAATTCTTCTCCTTTTATTTTCATTTTGCCTCTCTTATTTACAATTTTAATTAAATATCTCTGATGGTTAGAAAATCAGTGTCAAATATGAACACCGATATATAGCTTAAAATACAAACCTCCATAATTATTAAAGAGCATGGTTAATAACTGTTCCAAGTAAGTGCTTGATAAGAAACATTTTGCAGGAGGCGAGTCACAGGTCTCCTTGGACCGGGGTTACGGCTGATGGCGCAGCCTGCCGTGTGCATCATTTGCAGAGACGGCGTGCTAGGACTGTGTGCCACCATCAGAGCAGACAGGTGCTTCTCCTTTTTCCAGAGGAGACCCATGTGCTGGGACAACACCACCCGGCACACCCAGGAGCGAGAGGAACCCAGCCCCTGCCAGCCTTTCCCAAGGGCTGGGATTTCTTCCCAGCACACGTTCCTGAGGAAACCTCCTGCTGCCATGCCCGGCAATCCACAGAAGCAGGTGGCACCTCGGGACAGAGCCTGGGTCAGCCCAAACCAAGCCCCTCCAACACAGACAATCCCCCGTGGGCCAGGGAGATGCACCCAAGCAGGACGGCCCAGCTCGGCTGCAGGCAGCTCCGGAGGGGGCTGAGGGGGAGCCCTGCTAGGGAGCAACCCACAGACACACAACCCACTTACACTCCACGCAGTCTCCAGGCGCTCTCTGCCGAGCCTCCTGGGGAAGTCGCCTCCCGGGGAACTCTAGCGGTCTAAAAACAACCTTTAAATTTGAGGTGTTTCATTTTCCTTTGAATCTCCTAAACTAGTCATACATTCTAGGAGTGCCTTTTGAAGGAAACAGATTTTTAGGTCACCACAAATACACAGAGGGGCCCAGGCCCACGACAGCGTGAACTGGATCCAGCTACCACTGCAAGGACGGTGGGGATGAGACCCCCAGCTGACCATGACACCTGGGGACCCCACGAGCTTTCTGGAACTGCTTCCACCAACACTCACGAGTTTTACAAGTATGAGAATGACAAATACTAAAATTGAATCAAGAAAAAGGATTCAGAAATGTGTTATTTTTAAAACATACGTCTGATAGGAGTGTGTGTTGCTGTCCTTCTGGATGGTGAACTCTGCTCTGCCCAGATACCAAAGCCTCACCCACTTCCTAGAGGGTCAAAGACTTCTCTAAATTCAAAGTTTTGAATTTAAGCCTAATCAAATGAAACAATCGAAGCAGGGGGAGAGCTGGAATGGACAGAACCGCTAATTTCCAGAGTTTGAGCCTTGTTAACTATGTACTTTCAAACCAGTCCTCACTGTCTCCCAAGCGACCGTAAACAAAACCTATTTCAGAAGGGGTTTTTTTTTTTGCCATATCATTAAGTAGTCAGTTTATGGAAATGAACTGGTGAATACCTTTTAAAGTAAAAAGTTAAACAAACAAAAAAACTGTTTTCTGGAATATTTTCCAAATGCAACTGTCATTTCCACAGAATTCACGTTTGGGGAGAAAAAATCATGTTTGCCAAATAAACGTGCTGCGGAAACAATGCCGACTAAATGCCGTGACGAAAATGATCAGTGAAAATGTTTATGTATTGCTGGGCGCAGGGGCTCACACGTGTAATCCCAGCACTTTCAAAGGCCAAGGAGGACTAATTGCTTGAGCCCAGGAATTTGAGACCAGCCTGGACAACATAGTGAAACCCCGTCTCTTAAAAAAAAAAAAAGGTACAAAAATTAGCCTGGGGTGAAGGCGTGGACCTGTGGTCCCACCTACTCCGAAGGCTGAGGTGGGAGGATCACCTGAACCCAGTAAGCGGAAGTTGCAGTGAGCTGAGATTGCGCCACCGCACTGCAGCCTGGGGGACAGAGCAACACCTTGTCCCCCACCCCAAAAAAAGTTTCTGTTCTGACCACCCCAAAAAAAGTCACTGCCAGGCACATGTTCAGATTCATCCAGACGGTGACACAATCACACTAGATTTTTATATTGTCAACTCTCTTTTTTGGAAATTATAGTTTACTACCGCTGAACTCAAACAATTAGATAAAATACACCTAGACATGAGTCTATAAATATTGTTTTTTAAAAAAGCTTGACAATGTCTGGTACAAAATAGGCTCTCAAATATCTGCAAGGGGAGAAACATGAGCTGTTGGGACCGGAACCCACACTGTACCCCATACAGGAAGAAGGAATTCTCTTTAAAGTCTTCAGGAAGGAAGGCCGTGAACAGGAGCCCGTGTGTGCAGGAAACAGCCCTGAGGAGACACCGAGGCCCCTCCACTCCCTCCCCATACGCCACCTCCTGGGCTGTGACACCAGCCCCGGGAGACCGGTGGGATTACCTGGGACAGTGCATGTCCCGTGTGCCAGGTACAGGTATGACCCTGAGAAGAACCGCATGCGTTCTCGGAGCCGGCACCTCTGCTCACCGCCCAGCAAGGTGCAGTGGGAAACCTGGTTGGCGGCAATGTGTGACACGCACATCATGTGAGCGAATGAATGAGAGAATGACGAGCAGATGAGCAAGCTTCAAACTGTTTTTTGCCAAAATAACTCACTTTTTCCCCTAGTAAAATTTAAGTAGAATTCTACTATACAAGGGAAATCAAAGCAATCAAGAAATTCCTCCAAAAGTTTAAATCTTGTTAGTTTAGACTTGGAGGGGCTTGGAAGGGGCTTGGGGCTTGGAATTCAAGAGCTCTCTGCTGTCATTGAAAGACTGGCAGACACTGGCGGAGCTGCCCTCCATCCTCTGCAAACACTGCAGGGAAAGACTTTCAAGTTATATAGACTCTGCAGAATGATGTGTGTTACAAATTCCTCTCAGAATTCAGTTCCAGTAAGAAAAAAATAGCCTTTCTACAAGAACTCAAAGAAGTTGTGCTCAATGTAACCACCTGAGGCTGCACCCCTGCCTGCATGGGTGCCCACAGCTGTGCCCACGGCGGGCGCCCAGGACAGAGGGCGAGGCCGCCTGGAGCTGGGCTGCTCCTCTGACCCCCACCTCCAAGGGGGCCTCCATCGATGGTGAGGCTGCGCCGCCCTCTGAGGTGAGCATGGGGCCGGGCGTTCAAGGTGGTGTGTGCTGAGCATGTCCATCCCAGACACTGCCCTGGGCCCTGGGGGATCCTGGGCATCACAGACCCCACCCGAGCTCCCCAGGTCCCTTAGTGAAGTGCAATGCAGAATGCCTTTAAAAATCCCAGCATTTGGGGTCCTAAGTTTAGTTCTGACACCAGCCCTGACAGGTTCAATTGTGTCCCCTAAATCCCTGTGCTGAAATCCTCACCCCCAGTCTGCTGGTGAGCTCGTCTGCAAACAGGTGACTGCAGGTGCAATTGGTTTACAGGAGGCTGTGCTAGAGCAGGCTCGGCTAACCCAGTGTGGCAGTGTCCTCATGACAGCAGAGGCCAGCACAGGGACGAGGAGCCACCTGGCAGTGCAGCTGCAGGAACTCCCGGGAGTGCCCACAGCCGGCGGGCGCTGGAAGAGGCAAGGAAGGCTGTGACCTACATTCCCGGGGAGCACACACAGCCTGCCAGCACCCTGACCTGGGACTTCCGGCCTGCAACCCAGGAGGCTCCCCCGCAAGCTCGGCCAAGCCCTTTCCAACACAAAAGGTCCTGTGCCATCCTCAGGGCCCTGGCGGGAGCCAGGCAAGCTGGGCTGGGTCGGTTCCCACAACACTCCTGCTGCAGCCACAGAAGGAATTCCCGCTTCTCAAAACCCCAGCTTCAGAACCCAGCCATTCAGCTGAAGGAGAACACTGATGAGAAAAACTACAATTTGCAAACTAGAAAAGATGCTCAAGGGCTGCTGAAAGCATCTCAGGAGATACAACGTGTTGTAGTTTGAGACGACATGGATCTTTCAAAAAGCTGTTGGGGAATCTGCAGTGTAGCCGTCATTCGCTGGACACACCATGGCCCAGTGTTCTCCGCCCGTTGGTCCCTGTGGAGCCCAGGAGGTGGGCGGGAAGGGCCCGGCGCTCTGGGTAGGCAGCTGGCAGGGAAGCAGGGAAGGGCGGCCTGGGCAGGGCTGCACCTAGGGAGAGGCTCTGTGCCCCTCCTGCCCACTCAGGACGGCAGGTTCTGAGAGTCACCCATGAAGGCCATGACACGGAGGAGGAAACACAGACGGCAGTGCAGCCCGTGCCGACCCACAGGCATCCAGCCCAAATCTAACCACCCGCCAGTGCCCGGCCCAAATCTAACCACCCGCCAGCGCCCGGCCCAAATCTAACCTGGGGACCATTCTTCCCCTGCCCCTCTCCTCTGGCCTGCCCAGGACAGGCTGCCCTCTGGCCACAGCTGCACTTCCCAGGAAAACTGCAGGCTCTGCTGCATTCAGGGGCCAGCCCTTGTGGGTCACCGGCAGCTTGACACGACACCCCTAATGCTGACCGACAGCAGCAGCCATTTAAGCCTCAGGATTCAGACTGTTTCCGTCACAGCAGGGCCATTGGGGCTGCCTTGGTGGCACTGACTTCTTACCAACCTGACTTTTTACACTTGTGAGTATGCAGGTAATTGGCTCATCAATTAAGGCACACATTTCTAAAACAAGTTATGAAATAGAAAACTTTAAGAAACATTACGTTTCCAATCATTATGACATAATATGACCATGCCCATTTTAAGTTATGCCTATATGCAAAAAAGGGCGAGGAAGTTACCTGACAATCCAATCTTCGAAATGCTGCTGCTAGAAAAGGTGCTGCTCCCGGGTTCTCTCCAGGATGATGGAGAGGTTCTAGAGGGCCCTCAGGACAGAAACGGTGCTGCTCCCCGGTCCTCTCCAGGATGATGGAGAGGTTCTAGAGGGCCCTCAGGACAGAAACGGTGCTGCTCCCCGGTCCTCTCCAGGATGATGGAGAGGTTCTAGAGGGCCCTCAGGACAGAAACGGTGCTGCTCCCCGGTCCTCTCCAGGATGATGGAGAGGTTCTAGAGGGCCCTCAGGACAGAAACGGTGCTGCTCCCCGGTCCTCTCCAGGATGATGGAGAGGTTCTAGAGGGCCCTCAGGACAGAAACGGTGCTGCTCCCCGGTCCTCTCCAGGATGATGGAGAGGTTCTAGAGGGCCCGCAGGACAGCTCAAGTCACACATGGCTATTGCACTTGGGGTGGCCAGTGTGACCAAGAGCCTCAGTTGTTGTTGTTATTTAATTCTTATCAATTCTAAGTTTTGTAGACACCTGAGCCTAGTGGACCTCGCAGGCCTGAATCTCGAGCTATCAAGACGGCTAACGGCCTGTCTGAGCCTGAGAGCCGTCCCCACACCCACAGGGCCCCTCTGCTTGTGTCTGTCTTCATATGGTCTGCAGCAGAGATTCATTTCCATTTGGTTATTAATTTTTTTTTTTTTTGAGACAGAGTCATGCTCTGTTGCCCGCGCTGGAGTGCAGTATTGCGATCGCAGCTTACTGCAGCCTTGACCTCCTGGGCTCAAGCAATCCTCCCACCTCAGCCTCCCAAGCAGCCAGGACTACAGGCATGAGCCACCACGCCTGGCTAAGTTTTATTATTTTTAATAGAGACGAGGTGGCACTATGTTGCCCAGGCTGGTCTCAAACTCCTGAACTCAAGTGATCCTCCTGCCTCGGCCTCCCAAAGTGCTGGGATTACAGGCAAGAGCCAACGTGCCCACCCCAGTTTGGTTGCTTTTAAGAGATACAACTTTTTAGAGCAGTTTTAGGTTCACAGGAAAATTGAGAGGAAGGTACAGAGAGTTCTCATATACTCCCCACCCCCAAAGAGAGCCTCCCCCAACACTATCCCCCATCCTTTGCCAGAGTGGAACACTTGTTGCAACTGAGAAGCCAACACTGAGGTACGTCACTAACTAAAGCCCACGGTGTGTGTTAGGCCTCGCTCCTGGTGCTGTGCCTTCTGTGTGAGGAGCCAACAATGAGGTATGTCACTAACTAAAGCCCACGGTGTGCGTGAGGCCTCGCTCCTGGTGCTGTGCCTTCTGTGTGAGGAGCCAACACTGAGGTACGTCGCTAACTAAAGCCCACGGTGTGCGTGAGGCCTCGCTCCTGGTGCTGTGCCTTCTATGGGTTTGGACAGGCGTGTAATGATGTTGAGGTACGTCGCTAACTAAAGCCCACGGTGTGCGTGAGGCCTCGCTCCTGGTGCTGTGCCTTCTATGGGTTTGGACAGGCGTGTAATGACATGGATGCACCATTATCAAGGAATTTCGTGGCCCTAAAAATCCCGTGCTCCGCCTGTCACCCCTCCCCCCCGCAAACCCCTAGCAACCCTGAGCTTGTTACTGTATAATTTTGTTTTCTAGAATGTCACGTGGTTGGAATCGCACCGGGCGCAGCCTTTTCAGGTTGGCTTCTCTCGCTCAGTAAGATGCATTTAAGGCTCCTCCATGTCTTTTCACGGCTTGGCAGCTCATTTCTTCCTAGCACTGAATGTTCCACTGTCTGAATGGGCCCCAGTTTATCCATCCATTCACCTCCTGAAGGACATCATGGCTGCTTCTGGGTTCTGGCAATTATGAATAAAGCTGCTATCAACACCTATATGGGCAGGTATTGAGTGGACATTAAGTTTTCAACTCATTTAAATAAATACGCCGGGGCATGGCTGCAAGTCACACGGTAAGAGTGTGCTCAGGTTTGAAGAAGCCACCAAACTGCCCTCCCACGCGGCTGCCCCACGCCCTCTAGCCACCCGCCAGCACCCGGCCCTCCTCAGCATTTGCCGTCTGTGTCCACGCAGCTGCCCCACGCCCTCCTCAGCATTTGCCATCTGTGTCCACGCGGGTGGCCCATGCCGTCTTCCGCACTTGCCGTCCATGCCCACGCGGTTGCCCCACACCCTCCTCAGCATTTGCCGTCTGTGTCCACGCGGTTGCCCCACACCCTCCTCAGCATTTGCCGTCCATGCCCACGCGGCCGCCCCACACCCTCCTCGGCATTTGCCGTCTGTCCACACGGTTGCCCCACGCCCTCCTCAGCATTTGCCGTCCATGCCCACGCGGCCGCCCCACACCCTCCTCAGCATTTGCCGTCTGTGTCCACGCGACTGCCCCACGCCCTCCTTAGCATTTGCCATCCATGCCCATGTGGCCGCCCCACGCCCTCCTCAGCATTTGCCCTCTGTGTCCACGTGGCCGCCCCACACCCTCCTCAGCATTTGCCCTCTGTGTCCATGCAGCCGGCCCACGCCCTCCTCAGCATTTGCCCTCTGTGTCCACGCAGCCGGCCCACGCCCTCCTCAGCATTTGCCCTCTGTGTCCATGCAGCCGGCCCACGCCCTCCTCAGCATTTGCCCTCTGTGTCCATGCAGCCGGCCCACGCCCTCCTCAGCATTTGCCCTCTGTGTCCACGCAGCCGGCCCACGCCCTCCTCAGCATTTGCCCTCTGTGTCCACATGGTCGCCCCACGCCCTCCTCAGCATTTGCTGTCTGTGTCCACGTGGCCGCCCAAGCCCTCCTCAGCATTTGCCCTGTGTCCACGCAGCCGGCCCACGCCCTCCTCAGCATTTGCCCTCTATGTCCACGTGGCCGCCCCACGCCCTCCTCAGCATTTGCTGTCTGTGACCACGTGGCCACCCCATGCCCTCCTCAGCATTTGCCATCCATGCCCACGTGGCCACCCCACGCCCTCCTCAGCATTTGCCGTCTGTGTCCACACGACTGCCCCACGCCCTCCTCAGCATTTGCCGTCTGTGTCCACGCAGCTGGCCCCACGCCCTCCTCAGCATTTGCTGTCCATGCCCACGTGGCCGCCCCACGCCCTCCTCAGCATTTGCCCTGTGTCCACGTGGCTGCCCCACGCCCCCCTCAGCATTTGCTGTCTGTGTCCATGTGGCCGCCCCACGCCCTCCTCAGCATTTGCCCTCTGTGTCCACGCGGCCGGCCCACGCCCTCCTCGGCATTTGCCTTCTGTGTCCACGTGGCCGCCCCATGCCCTCCTCGGCATTTGCTGTCTGTGTCCACGTGGCTGCCCCATGCCCTCCTCGGCATTTGCTGTGTCCACACGGCCGCCCTACGCCCTTCTCAGCATTTGCCGTCTGTGTCCCCGCAGCCGCCCCACACCCTTCTCAGCATTTACCATCTGTGTTCTGGATTTTGGCTATTCTAATTTGAAGTTAGTTTTAAGTGCTCTTTTCTTAATGAGCAAAAGGGTACAAATAAAGTATCTAAGTTTAGTTTAAAATTTAGTTACCCTCTGCCCGGGGTGGGGAGCGGTGTCTAGGGGTGACCAGCACTGACTGTGTGATGGTCCTACATGCTTGTGAATACAGTAAAAGCCACGGAGCTTTACAAGTTAAATAGGTAAACGGTACTAAGATATGAATTATATCTTAATAAAGCCATAAATAAAAAAACTTAATCTCTCACTTTAAATAAACTATACATATAAAAACAAGTGCTGCCTAGGTTTGTCAGGGAAAAAAACTGCTAATGTTTGAAACATAACCATGCAGATACTATCACTTATATTAACGGCATTTAAAAGTTTGCTTCAAGGGGAAAAAAAAAGACTACTTCTAAAACACTGGAAGAATATTCAATAAAATTTTAACAGTACTAATCTCCCAGAGGTGAAGTATTTTCTTTTTCGTGACTTGTCTATATTTTAGTTTTTATTCTACAATTAACATGCATTGTAATTTTTTTAATTACCCAATTTAGATTATAAACTGTAAAGTCATTTGTAGTACCTGAAATGTAGCTTCCCTACATTTACATAGTGAATACATTTAATAGTGAATACAACATTCACTGAATAAACAACAAACAGAAACCACGACACACCCATCGCTGCGCAGCACATCTCCCATCCTGCTGTGTTATTCTGAAGCCCCCGGACAAATCTACACAAGAAATGCTAAGTACAGAGTCGTGGATTAGAGAACGGCTTCTGGAGTCGGAGAGCTGAGTTCAAACTTTGCTTGCTGGCCACGAGACCCCATCCCTCGTCTATAGAAAGGAATCACAGAATGGAAAGAATCCCTCCCTGGGGCATGTTGCAACAAGTAGGAAACGCCGTGTGGCGCGTACAAAGCCACTTAACCTGAGGACTAAGACGGAGGACCCCGCGTACCTCTTTTTACAGAGATACTGAAGAGAGGACGACAAATACAATATGCACGATGCAAAAGAAGACGCATAGAACACTTCAATTTTCTGTTTTCTTTAGCGAAATATTTATTCTACAAGCTACCAAGACCTGGTGGCTCTGGTCCCAGCACCCTGAGTGGGAGAGAACTGGCCGCCAGCCCTGGAGAAGCAGGCCACCCATTCCCGGGCCACCTTCCCTCGTGAGCAGACAGCGCTCTGACTGTTCCAAGTCCATGAAGAACTTTTAAAGACATGCAACGATTAACACACTGAGAACAAGATTAAAGTAATACTCATTTTTTAAGATCAGAGATAAAAGCTAAGTGTTACTTTTCCTGGGGCTTGGAAGAGCATGTTTGATTCTCATATGAAGGTTTAACTCGGGATATGATTTTCTCTTATTTTGAATGAAGGCTGTTTGTGTTTTAGCTCTATTGTTTAAAGAAAAGTCCTTTAAAAAGCACCAGGCTGCAAACAGCTTCAGCCACAAGAGGCTATTCATAACCACTTCTTGGCTCTGGGTGTCACTGCGGTTTGTAGCTGCTTGTGCTGAAGGAGGCCTCCCCAGAAACAGTGCCATCCCCCAGAAACAATGCTGCCCCCAGAAACAAAGCTGCCCCCAGAGACGATGCCAGTGTGAGTGCTGGCGTCTGTCTGAGCTCATTATGGAAGTTACCAGGTATTTGGTAAATGATTTTTTGTGAACCAACATTAACATGCCAATTGTACTTATTTCTTTTGCCCTAATGTAATTTGCATTGGAATTTTGCTACTAATTAGAGAAAGGCTTTAGCTGGCAGTGTGACTTGTTTTGCATTCTGAGAAATCCCAGATCATCTTCTGAATGGATTTGCTGAGTGCTTACCAGCTAGGTCTAAGTACTTCATAAATGCTAACTTGTCAAATCCTCCCCAAACTTATGAGAGGGGTTCTGTTTTTTCCAGGAATGACAGAAATTGAAGGCTGCTTAGGTCATCAGCTCACACACCTCAGGGTCAACATTTGAACCCCAGCAGCTGGGCAGCAGAGCCTGAAATCTTTCCTGGTGCACAGGCTGCCTCTCCAACACCACTTCCCCTTGTGATGACCTGACGTGTTGCCAAAGACATTTCTAGAGAAGGCACAGGGACCTGGTAAAGGTGAGGAATGGGCATGGACTAAAGAATGATTCCACTGGAACACACAACAGCACCCCTGCCAGGAGGCCCCAAGAGCAGCCACTGAGGAGGACACTTACGAAAAACGAGCAGCAGCCTGAAAATACTCACAAACACAAATGTTAACGCGGTATAAAAACCTACACTCAAAATGTTAAAAATCAGGCCACATGTGGTGGCTCACGCCTGTCATCCCATCACTTTCGGAGGCCAACGTGGGCAGATCACTTGAGGTCAGGAGTTCGAGACCAGCCTGGCCAACACGGTGAAACCCTGTCTCTACTAAAAATACAAAAATTAGCTGGGCATGGTGGCAGGTGTCTATAATCCCAGCTACTCAGGAGACTGAGGCAGGAGAATCCTTGAACCCGGGAAGTGGAGGTTGCAGTGAGCCAAGATCACACCACTTCACTCCAGCCTGGGTGAGAGAGCGAGACTCCGTCTCAAAAAAAAAAAGTTAAAAATTTATATTCAATGACTACAATTATGTAGAAAAGAAATATGGGGAAAAAAACCAGAAAAGTGATGATCTAAAGTAACAGCACCAACTGTGTCCCCACGCAGGGAAGAAATGAGGTCGCAGTAACTTCCTGCTGGATCCTGATCTTCAGGGGCACTTTTAAGTGGACGGTTGACTTAATAATGGGGGAAATTATAATTAAAGTACCACAGAATCCTCAGAAAAGACACCAGGCCATTATCCCTATTTCTATTTGTCGTAAAAGTTATTGGCTAGAAACTCACCTAAGTTTCCAAGCCAGAGCACTGTCATTAAATGGTGGCTTTCTGTATCAAAGACCAAGGTCATGTGGCCTGTCAGCAAGGGCAGGGGCCTCGCTCCCAACCCGCCAGAGGGCTGGGCGGCTCCTCAGCCCCTCCGCGGCTCCCGGGCTCCCGCCAGGGTCTCCCGAGGACACCCTCCTGGGTGAAATGTTAACAGTGGCGAACTGTGGAGAGCTCCACATTCCTGCAGCCTGGAGCTAGTGACCAGCCCTGAGGCTGGATCCAGTAGCCTTGGCCCAAGGACGGCCTGGCCAGTCCAGCTGCACCCAGAGGGCGTGGACCTGTCATACTCTCCCCTGGGTCGAAATCTGGGCAGAGGGAGGGGCTATGGAGACACCCCCAGCCCCAGCAGAGGAGTGTCCTGCTGCAGGGAACCCTGGGCACCCCCAGTCCTGCCTCCATCAGAGGCCACATCTCTGATTAGCACAACTACACACAAAGTGGAGTCCTATGGGCCCAGGAACCTTCTTCAGAAGCCAGTTCTGGTCGTGGAGACCATGGGTGGATGGGCATTTCATGCAATCCAGGTGGTGGTACCGCTGGGCAGAGCTCCTCAGGGTGCCAGGCACTAGCCAGGACTGATGACGACGTCAGCAAATGCTGGAGATAAATTTAATGAGAAAACGGTGTTTCCGCCTTCTTTGAAACAGAGGGCAAAACAGGGTGAAAGGCAGCATCCATCTGCCACGGGATTCTGAACGGGTCCTACGTCCTCCACGCTTACCTGCAGAGACAGCTTCCTGGCCTTTCTTTCATTTTTAACTTTCCCCAACAACTGTACCCGCCTCCTCAGCATGTCAAGGCACCATATTAATGGTGTGCCATCTTACATGTGTGTGGGAAGGAGGGGAGGCAACAGAAAAGCACGCAAGCTCTGGTGCTCACCCCTTCAAACAGAAAACTATCCAAGACAACCACTCATTTCCAAGAAATGCCAAAAAGAAAGCAGGGAGGCGGGAGGGGGCCCCTGGAGGGACAGCCGCCCAAAGTGGGCCCGTGGAGGGTAAGGCCACAGGATGACGCCCACTGCCCTGCTCTGCTGGGGCATCATCTCATTTGATAGGAATGAAAAGCAGTAAAAGATTTTGCTCTCTGCCTCATGTTCCACCTTTATTTTTTAGACAGGGTCTCAGTCCCACCACCCAGGCTGGAGTTCAGTGGAAGGATCTCGGCTCACTGCAGCCTCAACTTCCCGTGCTCAAGTGAACCTCCCACCCCAGCCTCATGAGTAGCTGGGACTACAGGCATGCACCATCATGCATAACTAATTATTATCATATCATTATTTTTGCAGAGATGGGGTCTAATTATTACAACTATTACAACTAATTATTATTACATTATTATTCTTTTTGCAGATATGGGGTCTCACTACGTTGCCCAGGCTGGTCTCAAACTCCTGGGCTCAAGTGATTCACTCACCTCAGTCTCCCAAAGTGCTGGCATTACAGGTGTGAGCTGAGGTGCCCGACCTCATTTTCAATTAAAACAACCTAGTCTGGCAGAGCCTGAATGCCAGCAATCCACACGTAAGTGAACTGTGGCGACAACGAGCACCATGGCGACAAAAAGGCAAGGAGACCGGCCGACGTCACCCCCAGAAGAGAAGCAGTGGAGCTGTGGCCTCGGGTTTCCGGTACCGGGTCCCGTACCCCGTGGTCTTGCGGCTCCGGAGAACTCCAGGAGCTGGACTTCCAGGCCTGGTTCCCCACCGCAGACCCCCGGCAGCAGGAGTGGGCATCCCTTCTGGCCCCTGTGGTGTCGCTGGCTGTTTCTGGGGTGGCCACTGCTCACCCCTGGATTCTCCCGTCTCTGTCGTCCAGCAGGCCCCGGTGACCCCTGGATTCTCCCGTCTCTGTCATCTACCAGGCCCCGGTGACCCCTGGATTCTCCTGTCTTTGTCATCTACCAGGCCCCGGTGACTGACTTGCTTATGAACAGCCTGACTTCCAGGCTGCCTCTTTTCTGATCCAGCTACAATCTCTGAGGGCCCAGAGTGTCCACGTAGTTGGGGGGCACAGACGACCAAATCCCAGCATCTCCCAAGACCCACACCCACAGTGCCAAGGGGCCTGGAGCCCACACAGTTAATTCCGTGACCTCCACAGCTCCATCACCCCCCAGACCTGCAACGGACACCAGGCCCATGTGCAACATGTGGTCCGGCAGGCCCCGGGAGGACCTAGGCCAGGTCTCCAGGCCCTGCAGACGACCTGCCATGGAAACGTCGGTCAGTGTCCACCTTCTCCACTGGCCGGAGCGCGAGCTGGCAACCCTGGCATAGTCTTTTTGGCAACAATTTAACTCAGGTGAGGTGACAATGAAGATAAATCTTTCATCAGCAGGCCCTCCCTTATTGGAGCATATGGATAGAGAGGGCGTGCTTGTCCCTGAGCGGCCGCTCAGAGGAGGGAGGCAGAAAAGGAAACTGGGCGAGCACCCGCCATGGGCGAGCTGAGCTTTAAGCCTGAGCGAGGCCTTCAACACTGGAAGGCGCCATTCTGTAACAACCCTCCCGCTCCATCTCCGATTGCATCAGGCTAAGGGGAATCTTAAGGGAATTTCAGATGCTGACCATAGGTCCCCAAGAGCAATACAGCAGCACCTGTGAGGAACGCAAGAGGCTCACCCAGGATGCCCCCGTGGCAAGGCAAGGATGGGGGCACCCAGGCTCACGTCAGAACCTTCTCTTTCTCCCAAGAAGCTCTCACTCCACCCCATACCCCAGTGACCAGCAATTCAGTGGTTCCAGAAGTACCCCGTCCTTGATGAGAGCAGCAGCACAACCTGACCCACAGGCCCACCTACTGAGTGCTGTTACCTGCAGGAGCGGGAGGCAGGGGCTCTCGCTGGTCCATGCTGCAGCTCCAGATGCCTCTCTCAGCTCTGTTAAGGGAAGGAGCTCCTGCAAGAAGGAGAGACACTGCTTGTCACCGTTCAGGTGGATAAACATGCACTCAATAGGTGTAGGGCTGTCGACAGAGAACCCCGCAAAAAGGAAGAGCTAACTGTCATTACTAGCCATAATTAGAAGACTCACCACCTATTAGTCATGAATACTTGTAAATCTCCCTTGAAACAACATTCAAGAGCAAAACAAAAGAGACTTCTCAGTGTTGGAGTGACTTCACCTTGAAATGTAGCCAGAAGTTTATTTTGCAAATTGGATTCGCCAGCCAGGCCCTCCCAAAATGACACTGGCTTTAACTCCTTGCTGAATTTCCCACTGTATTCTAAAGGGAGAAGTCAACATGTAAACCAAATGGGTTTCTTCCAGACTTAGCTGGGATCAGGTGCGGCGCTGACGGCCCTCTCCACTCCTTTTTCTTCCAGACTTAGCTGGGATTAGGCGTGGTGCTTAGGGCCCTCTCCACTCCTTTTGGTAAGCATGTGGCTAACCTCTCGGGGCGAGGCTGGGTCCCGGCCTGCCTGCTGTTGTGATTCTTGTCTACACTTCGTGTTTCCCTCCCTGCTTCGAGGACACCAGTTTGAGTGTGAGCTAGATGCCAGCGAGTCCCGGGAAGGCCAGTTCCTGGTGACTCGTGTTAAGACCACAAAACACGGGCCTGGCTCCCGCCAGAGCCATCCAGGGTGAAATAAGCTGTCCTCAGGGAACTCTCCAGCTGCCTCGGCTCCAGTGCCAGGGACCAGGCTCTAGCACCGGGGACCAGGCACCAGCTCCAGGCCCTCGCCGCATCAGGAAAAGCACATGGGACCACAGGGGGCATGGTCCCTGAGTGTCACCCACAGGCCAGCTCCTCCGAGGCCAGGCGGGCCCATGCCCAGGGTGGTCACCGGCCTCACGTACTATTCAATGAGGGGAACGCGAGGGGATGGCAGGCTGCCAAGAGCTCCAGGCTCTGCCTGACACACACCCAGGACGCCACCAGGCCGGCGAATTCCCTTATCCTAGTGCAGAGAGCTGGCCACTGGCTCTGGCACTCTCAGAAGCAGACAGACACTACTTTCCAATGAGGATGGCAGTGGGACCCTGCCCCCAACCTCAGATGCGGCACCTCCTGTATTCCCAGCCCAGTGCCCGCCCTTCTGCCTTCCTGTATTCCCAGCCCTGAACCTGCTCTCCCTCCATCCCCCAGACTTGCTCAGGTGCCTGCCACGTGCCACCACCCCCGCCCCATCCCCAGCACCTGGCCTCGTGGTTCGGCGCCTCGCGGCCCCAGTTCCCGCCGCGGCCCCAGTTCCCGCCGCGGCCCCAGTTCCCGCCGCGGCCCCAGTTCCCGCCGCGGCCCCAGTTCCCGCCGCGGCCCCAGTTCCCGCCGCGGCCCCAGTTCCGGTCGCGGCCCCAGTTCCGGTCGCGGCCCCAGTTCCCGCCGCGGCCCCAGTTCCCGCCGCGGCCCCAGTTCCCGCCGCGGCCCCAGTTCCCGCCGCGGCCCCAGTTCCCGCCGCGGCCCCAGTTCCCGTCGCGGCCCCAGTTCCCGCCGCGGCCCCAGTTCCTAGGTTTCAGGTCATTTCACCAACATGGCACACGAGTAGCTCAACACGCACTGGGGCTCCCCACGAGCAGCAGCTGCGATTGTCTCATCTGTTAACACGACTGCTGAGAAAAGAGCGGAACTTCGGTTTGAGGGATGGGAGCCCTTTCACATCATCAGGCCCCGAGAGATGAGCAGACGAGCCACAACCACGCCCTGCTCCCTACTCCCTGCCCCCAGGGAGCCGCGTGTTCACTCAACATGGCCCACTGTGGCCCCCGGTAGCTGGGAAAGAGCCTGGTGATGCTGCTCTGGACACCGTAACACACTCTGTAGCTTAACAATGCACAGGCATCACTAATCAATAAACCAATGGTTTCCATAAACTAATGAGAATTCCTGACAAACAGCTTTCCATCCGCCTCTCTGACCCCCTTTCTGCTTTCCAAAATCGCCCTGGAGGCGCTGCTCATCAGTGTGCGTTCAGGGCAGCCTGAATCCAGGCTCCTGGGCTGCAGGCCTCACACGTGACCCAAATAACCTTCTACATAGATTACTTTTACCCTAGCTTTTTCCTTTTAGGTCCACCTCGCCAGCGCAACTCCAAGACGTAGGTACTGTTATTATTTTTCAATGGAGAAACCACTGGTTGGGAGACTTGAGACACTCACCCAAGGCTACAGCAGAGGGCAGCTGGCTGACGCGAAGGCTACAGCTGAGGGCGGGTGGCTGATGCGAGCACCCAGAGCCCAGCCTAGGCCCCGACGGCATGTCCTTGCCCTTCCACCCACCGGCCGGGAGAGGGGGCAAGTGAGGTCATCGCTCCACCTGGAATATGTGGGGAGTCACAGGATCCACATCGGGTGCCCTTGCAGGTGAGCTTTCTGTGCAGCAAGACAGGGTCCGAGTGCCGGCCAGCGCACCCGTGAGGCGGTAGGGGCCCACCCTCTCCACCCCAGCAGCACCCGTGAGGCGGGAGGTGCCTACCCTCTCCAGCCCAGCAGTGATTCCACAGGATGACAAAGGATGTTATCCTTGGAGGGAAAGCTGTCATATCCAAGTTAAGGTCAGACAGACATGCTTGGACCACAACAGTGAATGTAGGGAATGACGCTCATGGGAGGAAACCTCAAAGACAAGTGCAGCAAACAATGGACAGTCCCCACACCGGACAGTCCCCACGTCGGACAGTCCCCAAACCAGACAGCTTCCACATCAGACAGTCCCCATATCGGACAGCTTCCACACCAGACAGTCCCCATATCAGACAGCTTCCACACCGGACAGTCCCCACACCGGACAGATTCCACACCGGACAGTCCCCACACCGGACAGCTTCCACACAGGACAGTACCCACACCGGACAGCTTCCACACCGGACAGTCCCCACACCGGACAGCTTCCACACCAGACAGTCCCCACACCAGACAGCTTCCACACCAGACAGTCCCCATATCGGACAGCTTCCACACCAGACAGTCCCCATATCGGACAGCTTCCACACCAGACAGTCCCCACACCAGACAGCTTCCACACAGGACAGTCCCCACACCGGACAGATTCCACACCGGACAGTCCCCACACCAGACAGCTTCCACACCAGACAGTCCCCATATCGGACAGCTTCCACACCAGACAGTCCCCATATCGGACAGCTTGCACACCGGACAGTCCCCACACCAGACAGCTTCCACACAGGACAGTCCCCACACCGGACAGATTCCACACCGGACAGTCCCCACACCAGACAGCTTCCACACCAGACAGTCCCCATATCGGACAGCTTCCACACAGGACAGTCCCCATATCGGACAGCTTCCACACCAGACAGTCCCCACACCAGACAGCTTCCACACCAGACAGCTTCCACACCGGACAGTCCCCACACCAGACAGTCCCCACACCGGACAGTCCCCACACCGGACAGTCCCCACACCAGACAGTTTCCACACCAGACAGTCCCCACACCAGACAGCTTCCACACCAGACAGTCCCCACACCAGACAGCTTCCACACAAGACAGTCCCCACACCAGACAGTACCCACACCAGACAGTCCCCACACCAGACAGCTTCCACACCAGACAGCTTCCACACCGGACAGTCCCCACACCAGACAGTCCCCACACCGGACAGTCCCCACACCAGTTTCCACACCAGACAGTACCCACAGCGGACAGTCCCCACACCAGACAGCTTCCACACCAGACAGTCCCCACAGCAGACAGTCCCACACCAGACAGCTTCCACACCAGACACTCCCCACACCAGACAGCTTCCACACCAGACAGTCCCCATATCGGACAGCTTCCACACCGGACAGTCCCCACACCAGACAGTTTCCACACCAGACAGTCCCCACACCAGACAGCTTCCACACCAGACACTCCCCACACCAGACAGCTTCCACAGCAGACAGTCCCCACAGCAGACAGTCCCACACCAGACAGCTTCCACACCAGACAGTCCCCACACCAGACAGTCCCTACACCAGACAGTCCCCACACCAGACAGTCCCCACACCGGACAGTACCCACACCAGACAGCTTCCACACCAGACAGTACCCACAGCGGACAGTCCCCACACCAGACAGCTTCCACACCAGGCAGTCCCCACACAAAACAGTCCCCACATCAGACAGTCCCCACACCAGACTGTCCCCACACCGGACAGTCCCCATACCAGACAGTTTCCACACCAGACAGTCCCCACACCAGACACTCCCCACACCAGACAGCTTCCACACCAGACAGTCCCCATATCGGACAGCTTCCACACCAGACAGCTTCCACGCTGGACAGTCCCCACATCGGACGGCATCCACGCCAGATGGCCCCCACGCCAGAGAGTCCCCACGCCAGACAGCTTCCATGCCAGATGGCCCCCACACCAGACAGCCCCACACTGGATGGTCCCCACATCAAACACCTTCCACTCCAGACACCTTCCACGCTGGACAGTCCCCACACCAGACAGCTTCCATGCCAGACAGCAACCACACTGGACGGCATCCACGCCAGACAGCTTCCAAGCTGGATGTCCCCCACATCAGACAGCCCCCATGCCAGATGGCCCCCACGCTGCACAGTCCCCACGGTGGACGGCCTCCACGCCAGATGGCATCAATGCTTCCGACAATCGGATCCCATGGACAGAGAGGACCACACTGGCTCTGAGACCCTGACAAAACCCAAAATGACCCTTTAGCCTCAGTCAAAAATATTCAGCCAACACCAACTGTGCTGAAGAGTGCGTGGCTCTTTGAAGGAATGAACACATGAGGTCTGAAGAGGACTGCCTCCGGCGTGCACACAGCAGCAGGACCAGACGCTGACTGCTGCCCTGAGTGCAGAGAAAGGGATGGCTTCTCCCCAGGCTGGGCGGGTGCCGGGTGGCTGTGGGAAGGAGAAGACTCCTTCATTCGTCAGCCTGGCCTGGATGACTCTGCAGCCTCAGAGACGGATGGAAGAAGAGTACGTTCCATGGCTGGAGCATCTCCCAACAAAGAAAATTAACAATGCTCCAATACAGCTATGAGTCCTCAAGAGTTTAGGTTGATGTCATCTTTCCCTGGGACGCTGGCACCAGGGCCAATGCCACCTCACGCATCAGGATCGCTGGAGATGGAGTCCAGGCCTGTTAGAGAAAGGAAGGCACCAGGCACCCCCGGCACCCCCGGTGGATCCCAGCCCAAGGTCTGTTCCTTCCACGGTGCACCAGGACCTCGGGGAACAGGACAGACAAAGACGCATCCACCATACGAAGAGGAGACAATGAATAAACGCCCTGAACTCTATGGAGGAGACAATGAATAAACCCCTTTGAACTCTGCAGTCCTGAGGGGAGACAGAGGAGGAAACTGTGAGCACCTGTGAGGAAACCTAGAGCACCTGTGAGAGTGAGGAGCAGTGTCCCCACGACCCCGAGTCCTCACCACCTTGACTCACCATGAGGAACGTGGTATCCCTCAGTTTCTCAACTGCTGAAGAAACAAAGGTCACAGATTCACCTGCCCAACATTAGTAATACGACGCAGCCGAGGAGCCAGGCAGCCTCGGGCTTCAGAGAAAATCAGCGCCCTCCCCTGGTAACCCACGCTCTGTTCTCAAAGGTGGTGAGCAAGTGGCAGGGCCAGAAGCACACTCTTCCCCCTTCCCGCCCTAGACAAGGCCAGCTGTACGCCTGCCGCGTCTGTTCAAGAATGAACACAACACCAGCACGCTCTACCTAACAGCCACGTGGCTTTGTGTGTCTTCCGAGAATTCTGTTTCCTTAAGCCCTGTTGTTTACTCTCCATTTTTTAAACCACACTGTGTAAATCTCATTCATGCTATTTGTTTCTCTACAAAAATGCATAAAAATGAGTCAAATTGATTTCTCATTTTTCCACTGATAATCTTAGGACCAACGGAAAGATGAACAACACTGGGCATTACTCCTTTCTATGCCTGGCCCTTTTTAAGGGTGACAGCTCACACTTCACCCAGCACCGACCATGGCGTCTGCCTGCATCAGCTCTGCAAGTCTGCAGGGCAGCCCTGTGCAGAGAGCATGCCCCCGACCGTCCTGCGGCTCCGCACAGCGCACAGCAGCCCCTGGCTCTGGGAAGCAACTGTCAGATTCTGGCCCAGGCCTTGCCCTACCACCGGCATCCTGACCCATACACAAGTCTCAGGCAGACTGTAAACTCCAAAAATTTCCTTCCAAATTAGTGTCCCTTAAAAACTGCATTCCTAAGAAGGAAAATTTCTATGAGGCTGTATCAGTCCACTTTCACGCTGCTGATAAAGATGTATCTGAGACTGGAAACAAAAAGAGCTTTAATTGGACTTATAGTTCCACATGGCTGGGGAGGCCTCAGAATCATTGTGGGAGGTGAAAGGCACTTCTTACGTGGCGGCGGCAAGAGAAAATGAGGAAGAAGCAAAAGTGGAAACCCCTGATAAACCCATCAGATCTCGTGAGACTTATTCACTATCAGGAGAATATCACGGGAAAGACCAGCCCTGATGATTCGGTTACCTCCCCTTGGGTCCCTCCCACAACACATGGGAATTCTGGGAGATACAATTCAAGTTGAGATTTGGGTGGGGACACAGCCAAACCATATCAGGGGCTGACACAGAAACCACGCCTTTGTTTCTGGACTCAGAGCTGCCTGTGCTCCCTACACAGCCCACGGCAGCATGCGCTTCTCCCCCCCACAGCCTGCTCCCCCAACTCCGACCTGCTGTGAGAAGTATCTGTGTCCCTAGAACCTCCAGGCCACACAAAACATCCCACCCCCTGAAGCCCGGGGGTCTAGAGCCTGTCTTCTGTGTGCAGTCTTCCACCGGCGTCAGCCCACGTGGCTGGCAACTCCCCACAGGTGACTCACCTGGACCTCACCGGCATCGTTTTCAATGGTGGGGCTGGGCTGGGGCTCACTCTCCCTGCCCTGGTGCAGGTGAGATGGACCCTGGGGGCAGAGCAGAAGACTCCGCTTTCAAAACACTCTATCCCCAGGAGCGTGCAGCATGAGCTCATACCTGCCTGGGCTGCAGGCTTTGTTTCATGATTGCTGTCATTTTCCAATTTAAGCATCTTAATGAAAGATTTCATTGTGCATTTGGATTGTGTTTTTTTTTTTCTTTTTTTTTTTTCCATGGCAGAGTCTTGCTCTGTCGCCCAGGCTGGAATGCAGTAGCACAATCTCGGCTCACTGCAAGCTCTGCCTCCCGGGTTCACGCCATTCTCCTGCCTCAGCCTCCCGAGTAGCTGGGACTTCAGGCACCTGCCACCACGCCTGGCTAATTTTTTGTATTTTTAATAGAGACGGGGTTTCACCATGTTGGCCAGGATGGTCTCGATCTCCTGAGCTCGTGATCTGCCCGCCTCGGCCTCCCAAAGTGCCGGGATTACAGGTGTGAGCCACGGCGCCTGGCCTGGATTGTGGTTTTAAACAAAAAGATGATGCATTCAGTCAGAGAGGGAGCCCAGAGACACCGAGGCTGAAGGACCGTTTCATGCCGTGTGCGTCAGGCCGCAGCCCCACCTTCTATAAGTGTTTACACACAGCACAGCCACTGCGCTCCCTGACGCTGTTCAGCGTGACTGTGGGGACACACCCGCACCTGTGCTGCAATTGTGCTGTCTGTGCCGTTCACCGTGTGCCCAGGCCTGCAAAAGGAGGTCAGGGGAGCCCATCCAGCAGCAGGGTGGGAAGGACGCTGGCCGAAGACCCAGGGACGTTCCACAGGCACCATTCCACAGTCAGTGCTTCGGGACGGCATGAGCGTGCTAGCATGAGCTGTCATGCTGACTCCTGCGTGGGAGGAAGTCACCATGACCCAGGGCCTCTACCTGGGAAACAGCTGCAGGGGCGGCAGGGCTGAAGCCTGTGCCGGGAGCCTGTCTGCATCTGCCCCAGCCCAGCACTTCCCAGCCACACAGGCCCTTGACCTGCCTGTACCCCCACGGCCTCAGCTGCACAGGGACGGCACCGACTCACAGGGCTGCCGCGTGGTTTCAGAGATGCACCTGGGGCAGGGACAGGCTCTGTGCCTGTGAAGTGCCCCGCTCTTCACTTACTGCTCAGCCCTGTCCGGCACTCGGGCCTCGAGCATCCTGGGCCCCCTGGTCGGTTTCCTATCGTCCACTCCTCCGGCCTCCATGGCCCTGCAAAGGTGGGGGCGGCAGGCTGAACCACCCACATCCTGTGTCTGCGCCACAGAATGCAGGAGCGTGGGATGTCCCAGTGCCTTGGCAGACACGGGCCGGGGGCCATCAGCGCCCAGCACTCCCCGACCGAGCCGAGCTCAGAGCGTTGTGGCGGACCCGCTTGGCGAATGATGCAGGGGCCATTTCCTCCATCCTCCCACCTGGGGGTGAAGTGGCCCCGCGGACAGACCCCGGGAGCTTGGGGCCGGGAGCCGGCTGCTGGGTGGCCGGTGTCCAAGGCTGCGCGGTCTCTGGACATCCCACCCCTGATGCACCACGGGAGCCAGGAAACCCCTGTGGCCCCGGCATTCTGCACCCGATTGATTTCACATTCATAAGGTTCCAACTCAAGACATAAATCCACGAGGAGGAAACGTAAAAGGACGCAAAGTCTACGGCAGGAGTCCTTCTGGAATGTCATGGTTAACTCAACCAAACACCGCAGCAAGCCAAACACGCCAGTCCTTTCCACTGAATGTTTCCAGAGGTCTGTGAGGACACTCAATGCTTACGGAAAGGGGATGGATGGACGGACAGAGGGAGGGAAGGAGGGAGGAAAGACCTTCTTCTCTAAGACTCGGGAGAACCCCACTGTCCTGGGTTTGTGTTTTGTGACCATCTGGATTTGGCCTCAGAGCGCAGCTGTGACTGAGTCTCAGGGCGCATGGCACCCAGCAGCCCCTCTCTCCAGGGTCCTCCCTGGGCCTGTGTCTCCAGCTCTGCTACCTTCTCACCATTACGCTCTGCTCACCTCGGACTGAGACCGTCTCCGTGGGATCTTCTCCCCTCCTCTGCACGCTCCCAGAAAAGAAAAAACAGTGAAAAGAGAAGCAAATGCATTCAGTCTCGCAAGGGCTTTATAACACAGTCAGTCACGAGCTAACCGGGTCAGAATCAACCCGCCTGGGCCCCAAGCAGGTGTGACCCTCTCTGCGCCACATGCTGGGGAGGGGACAAGCAGCCCCGGACCGGCCACCACAGTATCCACTTGCCCAGGCAGAACTGTCCGTGCCATGAGAGTCCACCCCGATGGGTGAGGGTGGTGTCCAGACAGCTGCGTGCCCCAGGCCTCTGCAGTCGCAGCAGGCAGCCCAGCCCTGCTTACCCTTCCCCGGGAGGGCTGGAGCTGCATGTGTCTGCTTGTCTCCTCTCCTCTAGTGCCCCCGAGCAGGAGTGGTCATTGGGGGGCTCCCAGCAGCCCCGACACGGCTCCCCAACAATGCTGTGTGCCGTACACTTGGGGAGGGGTCATGGTCGCAATGGAGGCTGAGGTGCACAGTGCCAGCTAAGACTCCCTCCCAGGGAAGCAGCACAGGGAGCTGGGGATGGGGGTCAGCGGCCAGGAGGGCTTCCTAAAGAAGGCAGTGGGGCCGGGATCTGCAGGAAAGGAGATGCTTGCTGGAAAGGGTTCAGGAAACAAGCTGGGCCGGGCATGAGGGCAGCAGCGGCCTGGGGACTGCCCGGGGCCTGGCATGGAAAGGGGGCTGACCCAGGGCTGGGAAGAGACCAGAGAGCATGGTGAGCATCCTGGGGGTGGGGGCTTGGAGGCGGTAACAGGGCGCCAAAGAAGAGCCAGAGGCAGCCGTGAGGGCCGTGCTTGGGGCGGATGCAGTGGCAGCGGCTGAAGGCCCCGGGCTGTAGCCTGCCCCTGTCTCTGCCCCTGCCTCTGCCCCTGTCTCTGCCCCTGCCTCTGTCTCTGTCTCTGTCTCTGCCTCTGTCTCTGTCTCTGCCCCTGTCGCTGCACCTGCCTCTGTCTCTGCCTCTGTCTCTCTCTGCCTCTGTCTCTGCCTCTGTCTCTGTCTCCCTCTGCTTCTGTCTCTGCCTCTGTCTCTGCTTCTGTCTCTACCTCTGTCTCTGCCTCTGCCTCTGTCTCGGCCTCTGTCTTTGTCTCCCTCTGCATCCCTCTGCTTCTGCCTCTGCCTCTGTCTCTGCTTCTGTCTCTGCCTCCCTCTGCTTCTGTCTCTGCCTCTGTCTCTGCTTCTGTCTCTGCCTCTGCCTCTGTCTCTCTCTGCCTCTGTCTCTGTCTCTCTGCCTCTGTCTCTGTCTCTCTGCCTCTGTCTCTGTCTCTCTCTGCCTCTGTCTCTGTCTCTCTCTGCCTGTCTCTGCCTCTGTCTCTCTCTGCCTGTCTCTGCCTCTGTCTCTGTCTCTCTCTGCCTCTGTATCTGCCTCTGCCTCTGTCTCTGCTTCTGTCTCTGCCTCTGTCTCTGCCTCTGTCTGTCTCTCTGTCTCTGCGTCTGCCTCTGTCTCTCTGTCTCTGCCTCTGCCTCTGTCTCTCTCTGCCTCTGTCTCTGCCTCTGCCTCTCTCTCTGCCTCTGTCTCTGCCTCTGCCTCTGTCTCTCTCTGTCTCTGCCTCTGTCTCTGCCTCTGTCTCTGTCTCTGCCTCTGCCTCTGCCTCTGTCTCTCTCTGCCTCTGTCTCTGCCTCTGCCTGTCTCTCTGTCTCTGTCTCTGCCTCTGTCTCTGCCTCTGTCTCTCTCTGTCTCTGCCTCTGCCTCTGTCTCTCTCTGCCTCTGTCTCTGCCTCTGCCTGTCTCTGTCTCTGTCTCTGCCTCTGTCTCTGCCTCTGTCTCTCTCTGTCTCTGCCTCTGCCTCTGTGTCTCTCTACCTCTGTCTCTGTCTCTGCCTGTGTCTCTGCCTCTGCCTGTGTCTCTCTCTGCCTCTGTCTCTGCCTCTGTCTCTGTCTCTGCCTCTGTCTGCCTCTGTCTCTCTCTGTCTCTGCCTCTGCCTCTCTCTGTCTCTGCCTCTGCCTCTGTCTCTGTCTCTGTCTCTGCCTGTCTCTGTCTCTCTCTCCCTCTGTCTCTGTCTCTGCCTCTGCCTGTCTCTCTGTCCACAGCAAGGGCGGCTGCACATGACCCTCGACACAGCCTTGGACACAACGCGCCCCCCGCCCACCGCAACTCCTCCGGGCATCTACGGACGCTCCATCCCTTGGAGCCCTTGGGAGACTCCCTTGGAGCAGCGTGGTGATTCGACTGCAGCTGCCCCTTCGACAGGCACCAGCAGAGCGGGGCCACAGGACCCCCTGGGTGGACTAAACCACCCTCGACCCACCGCTGCTCCTCCAGCCCCACAGTCAGGAGGAAGCACCGCATTCCACAGACTCCTGTCCCCACACCCAGTCCCCAGCGGCCACACCCACAGGCTCGGGCACCACCCTCCCCTCCTGCCAACGTGCTGGTTTCCACAGGCAGCTGCGGGAAGGGAGCCCATCCAACTCCACCCGGCCATGTGCCACCCTCCAGGGCACTCCTGACCCAGGGCCACAGCCCCATAGGATCCCATGGTGAGAATGAGAAAAAGCTGCCTGTCATCGACGTGAAAGTCAACACACTGAAAAGTGACTCCATCAGGAGCACCCTGTGCAGGTGTCCAGGAGCGAGCAGTGCACGACCCGCACAGCAGTACATGAGCCGCAGCACAGGACTCTGCAGTGGGCGCTGACACCAGCAATCCCAGCAGCACAGAGCAGCCTTCGCGTCCCAACTCGCTCACCACTCACTGTGCACGGCCCCTCCACGGCTGCCACTGTCCCTCCACGGCCGTCACACTGTCCCTCCACGGATGTCACACTGTCCCTCCACGGCCGTCACACTGTCCCTCCACGGATGTCACACTGTCCCTCCACGGCCGTCACACTGTCCCTCCACGGATGTCACACTGTCCCTCCACGGCCGTCACACTGTCCCTCCACAGATGTCACACTGTCTCTCCACAGCCATCACACACTGTCCCTCCACGGCTGCCACTGTCCCTCCATGGATGTCACACTGTCCCTCCATGGCCGTCACACTGTCCCTCTATGGCTGCCACTGTCCCTCCATGGATGTCACACTGTCCCTCCACAGCCGTCACACTGTCCCTCCACGGCTGCCACTGTCCCTCCACGGATGTCACACTGTCCCTCCACGGCTGCCACACACTGTCCCTCCATGGATGTCCATCACCCTGTCTGCTACAGCTCTCTGTCACATGGCCCCTCCGTGGCTCTCCCACACTGTCCCTCCATGGGTCTGGCCCGTGGCCCTTCCAGCCGCTCTGACACACAGAGCCTCCAAGGCTTCTTCCCATGCAGTTCCCCCGCTGCCCTGGCATTCACCAGTCCCCTCTTGCCTTCGGCCCTCCAGCCCTGGCCGACCTGCTGTTCCTGGACATGCTGGGTGCACCACCTCAGGGCCGCGCAGACGCTGTTCCTCCCACTGGGAATGGGCTTCTGTGGACGTGGGCTCAGCTCATCTCTCGGCTCCAGTGGCATTTCAGGCAATGACCCCATTCTCTTGGCGCCTCGCCTGCCATGGCTCCTATTCAATTTCAAATCCCTCCTCTCCGCACCTTGTAGCCCCGTGTATGCCTTATTTCTCCACCTTGTAGCCCCGTGTATGCCTTCTCTTTCCGCAGCTTTTCATCATATTACTTTACTTCTTAAATCATCTTTCCTGAAGACAAGGGTGCCAGCCCCCCAGGGCAAGCACATGGTCTCTGCGGTTCACACCCTGCCTTGGGGCGTGAGAGCACTTAGTACTTAGCACGCAGCGGTATTCATGAAACACCTGTCTCTTAATAGGTCATTTCCAGATTTGCCGGTGCTTGTCATATGGCCACAGGTAGATTTTCTTCATGTGCAAAGGTTGTTTCTTTTTATAGAAGTTAAATCAAGTATAAAAACTTGATTCAAAAAACACATAAGCACAAAAGGGCACTAAACCTAAGCCAACAGAGAAAGGCCTCAAGGGACCAAGAAGGTGCTCGCAGGTGTTTGCACGGCCCCCGGAGGCTCCTGGCAGCCTGGATGCTGGACAGAAGCCACGCCCAGGAGTCAAGCGCCCACCAAGGACAGCCGCCTGGGCCCCACGGGAAATGAGCCGCCTGAGCCCCACGGGAAATGAGCCGCCTGCCACGCATGCCTGCGGATTGCAGTGGAAATCTCCCAGGATTACAGGTGCGCGCACACAGCCTCCCTCCCCTGCCTTCGTCTGATACTCCTCTTGTCACCAGGAGTCCTTGCCCTCTGGGGCCGTCTGCAGACAGAACGGAGCGGGGAAGTGGCTCTTTAGAGCAAGCGGGAGCTGCCTCCAAACTGCAGCCCTCTGACGGCTGGCAGAGAGCACTTCGGAGCCTGCACACTGGAGAACCTAACCCTCTCCTTCTTGCTACCGCTACCTATGACTCGCTCCCCAGATATTTTCATCAGCTGGCAAAACGCTGCACCTTTCATTCCTTCCTATTAAATCATGGAGAAACCTGCATGTCTAAACGCCATTCCAGGAGCAGGGTGCCTGCCGCCGTCCCAGCAGCCTCCCCGGGCCTCGCCGCGCGTTCTTCCTCCGCAGACCCCGGATTCGGGACCACGAATGCAGCGCTGCGCCGCCGTGCAGCGCTGGGCACCTATGACGCTCGTTTAGACTCCAGCTGCAGCTGAAAAGTGACCTATTCTACATAACACAGGACCACAGCTTCCAGAGAAAGGAATTCTCCTCAGCCCTGCTCTGCAAGAAGTGCCTCTGCTGGCTGAATGCAGAGCCCACACAAACGACAGAAAGCCACGAAGCCGCGGCTTCCGTGGAGGCAGCTGGACGTGGGTCAGGGCCTCTCGTGTGGGCTGCTTCCCACGGGCCTGCTGAGTCAAGTGCTTGAGAACAAAGCATGAGTCGACTTTCTTATCACTCCTGCAGCAAGCAGGCTGGCCAGGGTCAGGGGCTGGCTCCAGCCCTCAGCGGACTTCAAGCTGGCCCGGCCCACACAGGGCAACCGCCCACAGGCCTGGCCTTACCACGTCCCACTGGTTCCATGCCGCTGACCCCGCCAGGCTCAGAACTGCACGCACCATCAGGAAGACCCACCGCATTCCCTCCGTCACAGCTCAGCGCTTCTCACACAAAACATACGGAGCTTCTGAACCAGGAGGGTCATTAACTCTGGAGCTCCCTGGGTTGTGTCTACACGGCCCACGCAGGTATCCTGTCGGGACGACTCAGCTCAGGCCCGACATGAGTGCAACTGTGCAGGCGGGGAGCGCTCGGCCTGGCCGGGCTGGTTGGCCGCCCCCCAGGTGTGCTGGAGGCCCTGCCGCCTGCTTCCTCTCCAAAGCTCGAGGACTCCCCGTCCGTGTCCGCTCAGATACGCACTGAATACCACGCTAGCTTATGTAATGCTCTTTGGACTCACTTTTCTCATGTTCCTTACAGAAAATCAGACACTGCACTGAAATCACTGCTTTATTTTCCTTTCAGAAAAAAAAAATAAGCAAACGATAGAATAAAACAGTAAGTGCGCATGCCACAGTTTATCAAAATGTAATTCCTTAAAACCGTAAGTGTGCATGCCACGGTTTATCAAAATGTAATTCCTTAAAACAGTAAGTGTGCATGCCACGGTTTATCAAAATGTAATTCCTTAAAACCGTTAAGTGTGCACGCCACGGTTTATCAAAATGTAATTCCTTAAAACAGTAAGTGTGCATGCCACGGTTTATCAAAATGTAATTCCTTAAAACCGTTAAGTGTGCATGCCACGGTTTATCAAAATGTAATTCCTTAAAACAGGAAGTGTGCATGCCACAGTTTATCAAAATGTAATTCCTTAAAACAGTAAGTGTGCATGCCACGGTTTATCAAAATGTAATTCCTTAAAACCGTAAGTGTGCATGCCACGGTTTATCAAAATGTAATTCCTTAAAACAGTAAGTGTGCATGCCACGGTTTATCAAAATGTAATTCCTTAAAACAGTAAGTGTGCATGCCACGGTTTATCAAAATGTAATTCCTTAAAACCGTTAAGTGTGCATGCCACGGTTTTAAGGGAGGAAGGCACTTTAAGAGGAAGGCACTGCTCTTCCACAACATAATAACGACCACATCCAAGTGTAAGGGTCTGTTCCCCACAGCTGGACAACAAGCCACGGGCACAAAACAAAACAAAGAACGTGATCTCAGCACGGAAGCAACACCTACGACTTGCAGGAGCCTGACTCACCCCGACTCACCTGGTGCCGAAAAGGGCCTCGGCTGTCTGTAGCTATCAGTGGAGGCAGAGTGTTGAGGTACCACAACCATTCCTTCTGTTTTCTTCATTAAACCCCCACTGTGAGTCCCCAGGGACTGACGGTCATTAAGATATTGGAACCTAGAATGGCCAGATTGGTAACTAGCCAATGCTGATGCAGCCAGGCCTATTCTACGCAGACAGCCATGCATCTCTACATGTGCCTGTTAACAACCTGCATGCTTCCCCATCGCTCCCTCACAAGGGCCCCCGCACCAGTCACAGCTCTGGATACCATATTTTACTTTACACAGTTATTTCCCCTATCAGAAGTGACCCATGGAAGAGAAAAACTTTGAACCCAAACATTTTTAAAAATATTTTACACCTTTTTCACATCATTTAACAAAAATATAAAATACCAACAACCCCCATATAGCACTTTCTACTGGCAGGCCTGCTTTACTCTAATGATACAACAAAAAGCAGGAAATGGCAATGATGGAAGGAAAGGAAAAATCCACGATTTAAAATGATCATTTTGACGGGGCATGCAGTGGCTCACGCCTGTAATCCCAGCGCTTTGGGAGGCTGAGGCAGGTGGATCACTTGAGGTCGGGAGTTCAAGACCAGCCTGGCCAACATGGCAAAACCCGTCTACTAAAAATACAAAAATTAGCCGGGCACGGTGGTGGGTGCTTATAATCCCAGCTACTTGGGAGGCAGAGGCAGGAGAATTGCTTGAACCTGGGAAGCAAAGACTGCAGCAAGCCGAATCTCTCCACTGCACTCCAGCCTGGGCAACAGAGTGATACTCCATTTCAAAAAAAAAGATCACTTTTTTATCAAAATTTGGAAAACTACTCACAGAAAACAAACAAACAGAACCAAAACCAATGTCCAAACCTGACAACTATGAACAGGCTGAAGCAGAGTAGGGTGGCAGATGTGGCAGAAGTGTGTGTGTATCAGCGTGGGGGCTGGTGGCAGGGCATTCTCCCTGGGCCCCTTTGCCACACCTGTCCTTACAGGTAACCCTGCCCCTCCCTAGACGGACCTGGGGCTGTGGCCCTGTCTGCCACCCAGGCAAGGACCCCTGCTGGTCACCGGCCTCTGCTCTCCCTGCCTCTCAGACCCTTGGCAGCCCCTGGGCCTGGCCCACCCCTTTCCACTGCAGAGCTCCCAGAACCTTCCAAAATTACACTCCCAGAAAGCCTGGTTAAGGGAGAGAGCTGAAGTTCTCCCTCATGAATGACTAACAGCTACGCTTCCCTTCTGTCTTATTTCACGCCACTTACCTTTCTACCCAGGCAAACTATAAGCAACGCACGCATGAAACACAGATTCTCTGAGCATCTCCAGATCCGAGCTGTTCTTTGCATGCTTCCTGCCACACACTGTGCAGTAAACAATGACGGGCCTACAACAGCGCTTTCTTACATCTCACTATGACGTTTTCACATCGCTTACAGAATACAACCGTCATTAGCGCATTTCCAGTTTGCTCTAATTTATGCCAAACATCTTTGTTTTAAGCAGCACTTCCCCATACAACGCCTTCTAGCAACTTCGTAAGTGAGCACCCTCAAGTCCCGTGAGAAGTCTGGACTCACAGGGCCAGGGAAAAGCTTCCCCACCTCAACCCAGGTCTGTAACTCCACACCCTCCACACCACCCAACGCCTCTATCTACAACTCACACACGCGCACACACACACACACAAAGCGCACACACACACAGCACACACACAAACACACGCACACACAAACGCACACACATGCATACAAACACAAACACATACACAAAGACACACGCACACGTATGCACACACAAACTGCAGAGGAAAGGCAGCACACCAAAGCACCCAGAAGACAAATGTGGTTACATCTGGAAGTCAAGCATCAACTTTTAAAAACATAAAAAGCTATTCTGAATAACTTTTAACTTCACTTCACCCCCAACTGTCTACAACTAATGAATTACAAATAGCACCTTATACAAATGACTTTTCTTACTGCTGAGAAATCCTGGAGGTCTCATCTGTCTATAAAGAGTTATGCATCCGTAACTGCCGATGTTGGCTGCTAAAGCCAGCAAATAAATGCTGTGAGAGACAGACAGGGACAAAGTGTGTTTTTAAAAATACATGACGTGTAAACCTCAGTAATCATCTCTCTTTTCGAATAAAAATTATTTTCTATAAAGCAGGTGTTCAAAACATATTATTAATCAGCAACAGTGAAATTGTTCCTCCTTGCAGCATTCCACCCATATGGACATTAAGTCACTCCTGCACAGAATCTAGAATACTGACCAGTCCGTACTCAGGTTATGGTTAACCAGAGAAAAGAATTAAAACCCGTTACATCTTGAGTCAATGAGAATTTTTACTTGCAGCCAAAGTTAGTGACTGGAATCAATATCAGACAACAGCAAGTTCGTCTACTGCTGCCTGGGAACATGACCTACTGGCCACAGTCGGGAGGGGTACTCAGACCTCACCTTCAGTGCCCAGGGGCCCATGGAAGGGGAGTGGGGCTGGGACAGGTGGGCAGGGCGTCTGTGGACCTAGGGCAGTTTCCTCAGAATCTACCTTGGCTTCTTGGGCACCAGCGGGCTGTGGGGTGCAGGGGAACAGGTGGAGTACGGGGGGGACAGCTGGGGTGCGAGGGACAGCTGGGGTGCAGGGTAAACAGGTGAGGTGTAGGGGGACAGGTGAGGTGCAGAGGACAGGTGGGGATCAGGGGGACAGGTGGGGTGCAGGACAGTTGAGGTGCAGGGGACAGGTGGGGTTCAGGGAGAGAGGTGGGGTGCGAGGACAGGTGGGGTGCGGGGGAACAGGTGGGGTACGGGGAGACAGGTGGGGTGCGGGGGGACAGGTGGGGTGCAGGTGAACAGGTGGGGTGCGGGGGACAGGTGGGGTGCGGGGGGACAGGTGGGGTGCGGGGGGACAGGTGGGGTGCGGGGGGACAGGTGGAGTGCGGGGGGACAGGTGGGGTGCGGGGGGACAGGTGGGGTGCGGGGGGACAGGTGAGGTGCAGGGGGGACAGGTGGGGTGCGGGGGGACAGGTGGAGTGCGGGGGGACAGGTGGAGTGCGGGTGAACAGGTGGGGTGTGGGGGGACAGCTGGGGTGCAGAGTAAACAGGTGGGGTGTGGGGAGGACAGGTGGGGTGCGAGGGGACAGGTGGGGTGCGGGGAACTGGTGGAGTGCAGAGTTAACATGGGGTGCTGAGGGACAGGCGGGGTACACGGGGTGCGGGGAACTGGTGGGGTGTGGGGGGACAGCTGGGGTGCAGAGTAAACAGGTGGGGTGTGGGGAAGACAGGTGGGGTGCAGGGGGAACAGGTGGGGTGCGAGGGGACAGGTGGGGTGCAGAATAAACAGGTAGGGTGCGGGGGGACAGGCGGGGTGCGGGGGAATAGGTGGGGTGTGGGGGGGACAGCTGCGGCGCGGGGGACAGCTGGGGTGCAGGGTAAACAGGTGGGGTGCGGGGGGACAGCTGGGGTGCGGGGAACTGGTGGAGTGCAGAGTGAACAGGGGGTGCTGAGGGACAGGCGGGGTACACGGGGTGCGGGGAACTGGTGGGGTAGGGGGACAGGTAGGGTGCGGGGGAAAGACGCCGGCTTTCCTTACACCGGTCCTTCTCTGCATCCTGAGGCGGACCGCATTCTTCTCCTTTACCGGAAAATCTAAGTTACTGCACGACCCCCCAGGCGAAGCCAGCTCGCCCCTCGGGCTCCTTCCGCCGATCGGAGTTCGCTCCTGCCCCTGGGGCCAGGGGTCCCTGCTGCCAGTCCCTGCTCCCCCCGCCCAGGCCCGCGCCGTTATCCTGAGGGGCCGGGGGCGCCGCGGAAGGGGGAGCTGCTCGGGGGGAGGGGGTCTCAGCCCCTTCCCTGAAACATCTGCGCAGGGGGTCGGGGGCGCAGCCACCTCCGGGTGGGACCCAGCGATTTCGGGGGAGCCGGGCAGAAGTGCAACTCTCAAAGGAAACCAGAAGCCCGCGAGGGGACCCACGGTCCGCGGGGCCCGCACTCACCTCGGCGGCCAGGACGCGACCCGCAGTCCCCTGCTGTTCCCCGCCGTCCCCCGCTGTTCCCCGCCGTCCCCCGCTGTTCCCCGCCGTCCCCCGCCGTTCCCCGCCGTCCCCCGCGTCCCCCGCGTCCCCCGCGACCCCGTCCGTCCCGGATCGCGCGCCCGCCGGCTACAGGGATGCGCCCAGCCCCTCCCGCCCGGACGGCCTGCTCCACCCACCATGCTGTCATTGGCGGGCCCAGACCGTTCCGGGCGCCCATTGGCCGCAGAGCCTGCCGGTTTCTCGGCAGCGCCCTGCCCTCGCGCCCGCGCATTCCTTCGAGGCCACGTGGCCGCCCGCGCCCCCTCCCGCTGCCCAACGCCCGGCCCAGGCTGCGCACGCGTGGGAGGGGGCGCGCGGCAGAGGCTCCCGCCCCCGGATCATCTCCTGCCCCGCGGACCCCGGGCCGCGCTCACTTCGGGAGGGGTCGCTGGGCAGACCGAGTGCCCTCCCCGCCCCCAACATCTGGATCCTCCCCGCAGAGCCTGCTCCCGGCTCAGAGCTGCGCCCCTTGGGGAGGGTGCGCCGGGCAGACCCTAACCCTCTCCCAGAGCACCGCCCTTTCTGCGGACCCCCACGGGCTGAGCTCACCTGAGGGAGGGGGCGTCGGGCAGACGCTCCCCCCCCCAGAACATCGCCCCTCCCTGCGGACACCCGGGGTGCGCCCAGCCGAGGAGGGGGCGTCGGGACCCCACCCGACCCGCCCTTGAGCCCCCGTCCCTCCGTCCGCAGCTGGCCCTGCCCACAGGGCGTTCCGGGTCTTCCGCGCCAGCTGCCCTGGACCAGCCAAGGCTTGGGCGTTTGGAAATGCGATGACTTCAGCCACGTTTCCGAGGCAGTTTTTGAAGCTTGCTTCTTGCCAGGAAGCGCTCGTTTTTCCCGGGACCTTTCCAGGGAATGGCCCCTTCTGAGTTATTGGAATTGTTTACTTTGAGCATTTATTTGTCTTATACTTTTAAAAAGGAAACAGATTATCGTTATAATTACTATTAAAGAAAAAAAAAAACGAGAAACAAAGACATTTTTAACCAAAATAACTAAAGGATGTTATCTTTTACCTGGTCAGCACATTTAACAAGTGTGTTCGCAGATGCTAGATTTATTTCTATGCCTTCTCCTACCCAAATCTCCGAATCATAGAAGTAATTTTAAGTCAGTGTTTTAGAACTGTCAGACTTCTTAGAGATTTCTAGCCCCTTTCACTTGTTTTATAGAAGAAATACAAACAGCTATTTGGGATGCTAAGTATCACGAAATTAATCTAAACATTAACTGCCCTTAAGGCTTGTGTGCTCTGGAATAAGTTATTTCCCTGAAAATTTTGGACTATGTAAAAATCATAGCCAACATAGAAAGACTACAATGGCTGGAAAAAATAATCGTAGGTAAGGTGATATTTTTTCAATGTTTATTATTCACACTTGCTAATTTTATGAAATCAGACTGAGTTGTTTTTATGAATCAATTGAAAAAGGTATTTGCTCTCAGCGACCTTAAGATTAGAAAACTTATTTCAGGTTTCTATTCCTAGGGTTCTCTGGGTACCTTATTCAGAGATCTTCTGCACAGATCAATGGTCAGATCAATGGTCTTGATCAACAGAAGTAAGAAGGTCAACTAAATTAGTTCTTGTTTACCTAAATACGATGAGAAAATCCTGATACTTGTAGTGTTTTCTAAAAAGGTAGAGATAAGAGGAAATAGTCCTGTGTATGGAATAAACAACTCATTTTCTCAATGGATGAAATTGAGCCCCTAAACTCAGGGCCGCCAGGGACACCACTGAGTAGGGCCACAGAGCAATGCCTTCCAGGCAGGTTGGGCAGAAAATCCCCTGATTTGGAGCTCCAATAGATCCTGTCTGTCTGCTTTATTCAGGCGTTCCTCACAGATACATCCCTATTTTCGTAAGCCCGGATATGGAAGAGTTGGGATTTTCCATTGTGATTCCCTCTTTGACCCATGGGATATTTAGAAAAGTTAGGTTCACCTTTCAAATATATGGGGACTTTCTGGTTTTCTTTTTATTGTAACTAAAGTTTAATTCCACCGGGCCTTAAAACATCAGCTGTTTTATTTTTGTCGTTTAAGATTTTCAAACACTTGCTTCATGGCCCAACATTGTCTATTTTGGTAAATGTTCTATGAGCACTTGCTGAGAACATGCTTTCACTGACATAAAGTTCTACAGATGTCAATTAGGTCATATTTGTTACTGATTTTTTTATCTACTTGTACTTTTTATCTACTTGTACTTTTTATCTACTTGTACTGATAAGGGTGTATGAAAATCTTTGACTCTCCGTAGTCTATTCAGCATTGTCCTGCAGCATCTAACAAGTGTTGTAGGTCATAAAAACAAAAAGTGTAAGGATTGAGGGAGGAAAAACTGATTATTTACAGTCAATATGATTATATATGTTAAAAAACAAAATTATCTACAAATAAACTATTAGGATTAAAATAGAATTTAGGAATTTCAGATGGATCATAGACTTAAGTGTAAAAATTATAAAGTTGCTAGGATAAAATATAAGAAAAGATCTTACGGATCTTCAGGTAAGACAGAAAATGGACCGACCATTTAAAAATGATTAAATGGCTTATCAAAATTTAATATTTCTACTCATCTCATGACATCATTAAGAAAATGAAAAGGCAAGCCACAGACTGGGAGAACACAGGGGCAATGCATATATCCCACAAATGGCTTGTCTTAATCCACGTTGTGCTGCTGTAACAGAATACCTGGGAATGGGTGATTTACAATGAAAAGAAATTTATTTCTCACAGTTCTGGAGGCTGGGAAGTTCAAGATCAAGGAGCCACATCTGGCAAGAACCTTCGGGCTGCATCATCCCATGACGGAAGGTGGGAGGCGGAGGTGGGGAGGGAGGATGCAAAATGGGCCAAACTTATCTTTTTTTTTTTTTTTTTTGAGACGGAGTCTTGCTCTGTCATCAGGCTGGAGTGCAGTGGTGCGATCTCTGCTCACTGCAACCTCCGACTCCCTGGTTCAAGCTATTCTGCCTCAGCCTCCCGAGTAGCTGGGATTACAGGTATGTGCCACCACACCCAGCTAATTTTTGTATTTTTAGTAGAGACGAGGTTTCACCCAAACTCATTCTTTTATAAGGAGCCCACCGCCTCAGTCATGGCATTTATCCATCCATGAGGGTCATACCCCCATGACCCAGACACCACCTAGTAGGCACCTTCCAACACTGCTGCATTGGGGGTCAAGTTTCCAACACATAAACTTTGGGGAAAACGCGTTCAAACCATAGTCCTGGTAAATAGAGAACTCCTGCAAATGAACAATAACAAGACAAGTCTATTTCAAAAGGGACAAAACAATATAACAATAACAAGCCTGTAAATAACAATAACAAGTCTATTTAAAAATAAACAAAAGACGTAAATACTTCACCAAAGATGTACTGATAGCCAACAAGAACAGGAAATAGTGCTCAGTGTTACCCAAAGTAAACTCACAATGAGATGCCACCACCGTCATCCAAGCACGGCTGAAACTGCAGACCGACATGGCAAGGGTAAAAATGTGGAGCCCCTGGAACCACTATACAAGGCGATGAGAGTGCAAATGGCGCAACCACTCTGATTAATTGTTTGCCCATTTCTCAGCAATCCCACTTTTAGGTTTGCCCAAGGCAAGTGAAAACATAAGTCCCTTAAAAGACTTTTACAGCCAGACATGGTGACTCCCACCTGTAACCCCAGCACTTTAGGAGGCCAAGGTGGAGGATTGCTTGAGCCCAGGAGTCTAGCATGATAGTCTCCACCTCCAGTCCCAGCTACTTAGGAAGCTGAAGTGGGAGGATCGCTTGAGGCTGGGAGGTCAAGGCTGTAATGAGTCATGTTCACCACCACTGCACTCTAGCCTGGGTGGACAGAGCAAGACCCTGTCTCAAAAAAAAAAAATGATTTTTACAAGAATTCTTTCTTCAAAACAGTTCAAATACTTCGCAACTGGAAACAACCCAAATTCCATCAACAGGTGAACTCATAAAGTATTGTATCTTCATAGAATAATAGAATACTAATAATACAGTAATAAAAAGGAAGAAACTGATATGTTCAATAACAATGAATCTTGAAAACATGAAAAACATAGACAAAAGGGCACATATAGTATGATTCAATTTTTATGAAATTCAAGAATGTGCCAAACCAACCTATAATAATAGGAATCAGAACAGTGGTTATTTTTGGGGGTATTGTCTCAGAAAAGACAAAGGAATTCTGGGGAGTGATGAAAACGGTGACTACATCTTGATTTGATTTGCAGACACATGGGTGTGTTCACTTTGTAAATAGAATCAAGCCGAACACAAGAGTAAGCTACTTCATGGGATATATACAGTGGCCTCAATGCATCCCCCTTGATGACTGAAAGTTCATCACCAACGTGATAGCAGTAAGAGGTGGGGCCTTGAGGAGGTTAGTGGGTCATGAGGGATGGGCTTAGTGCCCTTGTAGAAGTGCCAGGGGGCTGTTCACCCCTCCTACCAGTGAGGGCACAGTGCTCAAGGTGCTGTCTTGTGAGCAGAGACCAGGCTCTCCCCAGACACTGAACCTGTTGGCACGTTGATCTTGGACTTCCCCACGTCCAGAACTGTGAGAAATAAACTCCTGTTGTCTATAAATGACCCAGTCTCTGGTGTTTTGTTACAGTAGCAGGAACAAATTAAGTTATGTATCAGCAAAAAGGGGTTTTAAAAGCTGGGTTCCTTTAAAAAAATAATGATTCCCTTTATTGACGGAATACAAAATATCCCTTAATTAATTGCAAGCAAATTAAGTGCAAGGCCCATGCAGAGGGTAGGGATAATCTATACCCTAGTTAGGACATTCAGAAAGGAAAAAAATGGCAAAGACAGCCTGCCTGGTTCTAGGCCTCGCCTCTACTCCAGAGACGTCTCCATGCCCCACGCGGAGCGGGTGCGTGAGGTCAGCTCTAGCAGGGCCTAAAGGCCTGGGCTCTATCATCAAATAGGCCCGGGGGCTTCTGCCTCTTTTACCACTATATGGATGAACATGGGCGTCATTCAATGTCCTGGGCCTCAGTCTCCTCACTGAAAACAAGAGCAAAACCTACTTAGGCAGCATGAAGACTCAACACTTTCATGTGCAGAGACCGGTGTCAGGGCACCTGACCCCATGGACATCTCGGGGGAGCCTGAGGCACTGTCCGAAGATGGAAGCTTGTATCCACTCCTGGGCACAGTTCCTGGGTTCACATCCCAGGCACTTCCCTTACCAGCTGTGCTATCTGCATTGCTGTGCCTCAGTTTCCTGCAAAGAATTGGAAAGACATTCGCACCTACTGTGCGGGTCAGTTTTATATGTCACCTTGACCAGGTGACAGTCCCCGGTAATTCATTCAACATGGGTCCAGATGTGGCTGTGGAGGTGTTCTGTTGGTGTGCAAAAGACCCATCACAGTGGACTTTAAATGAGGAAGACTATGTTAGACAATCCGGGTGGGCCCGATTCAGCACTGGAAAGGCTTTCCAGAGAAGAAATTCCGCTGTGGGCGGTAGCTTCAGCTCTGCCCCAGGTCCAGCCTGCCCTTCCCACGGCCTGCCTGCCTGGACCTCGCTCCCAGGCCCCCATCGTGGTGCCGGATCCAGGCTCTAAATCTCTCCAGGTCTGCCTCCTACTGGCTGAACCTTGGCTGAGGCCACTTGTAGGATGGCGCCATTGAAAGGGAGATGGCATGCACACATCTCAGAACTACTCCACTCCGCAGGCGGGGAGCGAGACACTGAGCCCGGGGACGGCGAACAACCCTGGATGTGAGACCTCAGACAAGTCCCTGACCGTACTGAGCCTGCTATCTCGTGGATACAGGGTTAGTCACCAGTCCCTGGCTCTGGAGCGGCGGTGAAGATGAAGGCATCCTGGGTGCACCTGGCGCTCTGCCTGGCCCACAGCGCACGTGGGGCAGACCTCAGGCCGCAGTCACGGGGCTGCTCAGGTGCTGCGATGGGAGAAGAGCCAGGAAGTGAGTCTCCACCCAGTGCCGCTCAGTCACGGGACCCAGGTACAGCCTGGCAGAGGACAGACGGCGCTCCAGGGAGACCCTGGGGCAGCGTGGGGCTGGGGTGGGGCTGTCACACGGCAGAGGCCCTGGGCAAGTGCGGAGGCCACACGAACATGGGGTGCAGGGGGTACATGGAAATCAGAGGCCCCCTTCAGGCCTCTCAGCCTCCCAGCCTCGAGCCATGAGTTCTGTCTGGGCTCACGCAACCCCAGACGTGGCTGAAGAGGCTGGAGTGTCGACGAGCGCTGGGAAGAAGCTGCCGACCTCACTGCTCCGCGCCCTGCCTTCCCCTCCCTCCTGCCGTCCCCAGTCACCCCGAGGCATCACCCGGCCGGGCTCCCTGGGGCAACACATCCGAGAGCCCCCAGCAGGCCACACCCCTCCCAGCGCCTGTCCCCACAGGGGGCTCGGGACTTACAGGGAACAGTACAGCCTGGGGGCCATCGCAGATGCCCTCCAGGAAAGCAGGATGCTCTGCAGATAGGACGGCTGTGGCCGCTGCCCCAGGAAACAGCCCAGGACGCTGCCTGAGCTCAGAGGGTTCCGGACACAGACCGCGCTCCCCGCTTTGCAAACCACACCCAGTCCATTTCCTAGTGTGAGTTTGTCTCTACTCATCGGTTTGTGTCTTTATAAGAGTTCTAAAGTAAAACAAAAACACACAAGGACAGTGACCTAGACAGCACCCAGGGATGGGTCGGGTCGGCCTCCGAAGGGCAGCAGCTGCCATGCGGGAGGCAGGTTCCCGAGGAGCCGGGCAGGCTTCGGAGAGGCCGTGCTCGCTTTCCCGACTGTGGCGACGGATCCACCTGCTATGCGTTCCTCAGAACTCACTGAACCGCCCACGTTAATGACGCGCAGTTCGCCGTGTGCCAATGACGCCTCAATCAAGCTGCTAAACGAAGGCCGGAGCAGCCCTGCCTGTGGGGCTGTAATGTTTTCTGCAGCCTTGATGAGCCGCCCTGGGCTGTTTCAAAGGGAACGCAGCAGTCTCCTCTTGACTTCCGCAGTGGCCGTATTCCTGGGCCGTGCGGTGGGTGTGTCTGCAGGTAAACAGGGAGTATCTAGGCTCGGATGGTTACAGACGGCTTTCCCCGTGGGCGGCGTCCCGTGGGCCCTATGCAAGCTGCGCAGGCCGCCCTGGGCTCTGCCGCGAGTGCGTGGGCGGCAGGACGGTGCATCCCGGGCCTCCACCGGTCAAATGCTCCACACTGACCACCGCAGCACCCCCCCGCTCTCCCGGGCAAATTCTAAAGCTTCCCTAGCGGGGAGTTCCTGCTGGGGAACTTTCTCCATCCGCCCTCTTGGACCTCACAGGCTTCTTCCGCCTTCCCAAACGGACGCTGCACCCCGTCTCGTTAGAACGCTGCACCCCATCTCGTTAGAACGCTGCACCCCGTCTCGTTAGAACGCTGCACCCCGTCTCGTTAGAACGCTGCACCCCGTCTCGTTAGAACGCTGCACCCCATCTCGTTAGAACGCTGCACCCGTCTCGTTAGAACGCTGCACCCCGTCTCGTTAGAACGCTGCACCCCATTTCGTTAGAAAGCTGCACCCCGTCTCGTTAGAACGCTGCACCCCATCTGGTTAGAACGCTGCACCCCATCTCGTTAGAACGCTGCACCCCATCTGGTTAGAACGCTGCACCCCATCTCGTTAGAACGCTGCACCCCATCTCGTTAGAACGCTGCACCCCATCTGGTTAGAACGCTGCACCCCATCTCGTTAGAACGCTGCACCCCATCTGGTTAGAACGCTGCACCCCGTCTCGTTAGAACGCTGCACCCCGTCTCGTTAGAACGCTGCACCCCGTCTGGTTAGAACGCTGCACCCCATCTCGTTAGAACGCCGCCATGGCCTGCATGTGTGTCCGCTCCAAATCTCATGTTGAAATTGTATCCCGTGTTGGAGGTGCCTCCTGGTTGGAAGTGTCTGCGTTATGGGGGTGGGTCCCTCGTGAATAGATTAATGGAGGGGCTGTGAGTGACTTCTTGCTGTATTAGTTCTGTGAAAGCTGGATGCTAAAAAGAGCCTGGCACCTCCCCCATGCTTCCTTTCTTTTCTTTCTTTCCTTCCTTCCTCCCTCCCTCCCTCCCTCCCTCCCTCCCTCCCTCCCTTCTTTCTTTCTTTCTTTCTTTCTTTCTTTCTTTCTTTCTTTCTTTCTTTCTTTCTTTCCTTCTTTCTTTTCTTTCTCTTTCTCTCACTCTCTCCTTCCTTCCTTCCTTTCTGTTTCTTTCGACGGAGTCTTGGTGTCTTGCTCTGTCGCCCAGGCTGTAGTACAGTGGCACGATCTGAGCTCACTGCAACCTCCACCTCTGTGTTCAAGCAATTCTCCTGCCTCAACCTCCCAAGTAGCTGGGATTACAGGCATTTACCACCACACCTGGCTAATTTGTGTATGTTTAGTAGTAATGAGGTCGTGCCATGTTGCCCAGGCTCATCTCAAACTCCTGACCTCGGGTGATCCTCCTGTCTAGGCCTCCCAAAGTGCTGGGATTACAGGCATGAGCCACCGCGCCTGGCCGCCTCCTGCCACTTTCTCTCTCTGATCTCTCCGCGTGCCGGCTCCTCTTCCCCTTCCACCGTGAGTGGAAGCAGCCTGAGCCCCTCCCCAGGTGCAGGTGCTGGCGCCATGCTTCTAGTACAAAAAGGGGCCAAATAAACCTCTTTTCTTTATAAATTACCTAACCTCAGGTGTTCCTTTCTAGCAACACAAACAGGCTGAGGAACACACTGCGGACATTTCGGTGGGAGAAAACAGTGGGTAGATGTCACCAGGAAAACGGATTGCAGAAGAAGGGAAAGTGGAGGGGCAGACAGAACACACACTCGGCACACTCGGCTTCCCTACGTGAGCATGGTCCTCCTCTCATCCCAAGCTAAGAGATAGTCCAGTCCACACAGCGAGGGCTCCCAGCATAGATGCCAACACCCACATCTCACGGGGCATTCAGTGGCCTTGGGGTCTTGCCTTCCCGGCTGGAGAGCCTAGAGCGGATGGTCTGGCTGAAACAGAGGCTTGTCCCTAGCTACATAAACGAGCATTGCAGTGTGTCTCTAGGGGTTCACTCACACTAGTCTGGTCTGCTGAATTAGAAATGCACCTTGAACCAACCTGGCCATCATGGCAAGACTCGCCTCTACAAAAAAATTAATACATAAATAAAATAGCTGAGCCTGGTGGCGTGCACCTATGGTCCCAGCTACTTGGGAGGCTGGGGCTGGGGGATCACTTGGGCCCAAGAGCGTGAGGCCACAGCGAGCTATGATGGCACCACTGCCCTCCAGCCTGGGCGTCAAAGTGAGACTCTCTCAAAAACAAAACAAAACAAAAATAGAAATGCACCTTGGTAAGTAGAAGGTGGTCATTAAGGAAGGAGTGAAAAGAGGGAAATTATACGATGCCTGTGTCCGAAGAGCAGCCAGCACGGACAGCCGGCCTTCCCAAGACGGGCCCTGTAGGTGGCTTGCCTGAAACATGTCTGATTCCCATGCCCGCTCCATCCATCCCCCGTTTGATGGAGGGCAGGCCAAAGGCAAAAGAGGGGCAGAGGAGAGGAAAGGTAAAAAAGAGAAGCAGCAGAGAGGAGGCTGGAGGCACCCAGAAAAGATCCAGAGGCTTAACACTGTTCCTCTGTTTCAAAGGAGTCAGCATGAATGCGGTGGGGGAGAAGGAAGCATTGTTCCAGGAGGAAAACAGTGATGTTTTTGTTTCCAGAGCTCTTGCAACAACTAAGCCTGTTTTCTTGCTTTGCTCAAATGGGAGGGAGAAGTGAAGAGGAGCGAACTGGAAGAAGGGAATGCCACTCTCCTAATGACCCAGCTCAGGAGGTGCTAGGGGAGGATGGAGGAAGTGAATGACCCAGCTCAGGAGGTGCTAGGGGAGGATGGAGGAAGTGAATGACCCAGCTCAGGACGTGGTGAGGGAGGATGGAGGAAGTGCTTCCCTTTAAATGCTTCCCCTTTGCGGGGGCTCACCTAAGGCCCAGGGAGGGCCACGACTCTCATGTGGGGCAGGCCCCACCAGCACCTCCCTCCATCCTGCCCCCTGTCCTTCCCCTCCGTCATCTAGAGCCAGCCTCTGCCAGCACAGCTCAGAGGTCAGTGGCAGGGCTGGAAGGAGTGTCAATGCAGAAACCAGGGGCGGGAGGGAGTGGGGTGGGGGGGGGCGGGGGGGAAGGAACAGGGGTCGGGGAGGGGGGCAGGAGGTTGGGGAGTGGGGCAGGGGGTGGGGGAGTGGGGTGGGGCCCGGTGGGGGAGGAGTGGGGCCCGGGTGGGGCGGGGGAGGGGCTCTGGTGGTGACATCCAGGGCTCTCTCCTGCACTGGGGACCTGGCGTTCGGAACATGCTCTAGCCCTCAGCATATAGGAGAGCGTGGGGAGGGGTCAGTGCATAGCAGGACACGTGGCCAGGATGGGCCATGATTTGAGGGCCACAGGGGAGAGTGCCCCACACCCAAAACACGCCTGTGTAGGTGAGTCTTCCGTCCTTCTGACCCACTGGCCTGAAGTTCCCTGTTACTCCTGGTTAAAGCACTGAAAGCCTCAGTTATAACGTAAGGGTGTTTCCTGAAGTCCCGCATTTATAACGCACACAGCTGAACACCAGCAGTTGGCCAGATCCACACTAGTCATTTGAGGACCATTTAGGAAGAGCTTCGAGGACAGGTAGGTTTACAAGGGAACAAGGGCAAGGAAAGATGTAGGATGCGGGACCACATGAGGAGGGACGTGGGAAATTCATAAGGCATAATGTTACTAGATACGGGAGGAGAGTAAGAAGATGAAAAATAGTCAGAGAGGGACGGAAAATATGGTGCTGGGTCCAACTGTATCCAGAAACATGCAGGCTGAATGGGCACGCTTATCTGAAGGGAAACCAACGTGCTGTATAACAGCTCCTCAGCTCTGTTCACAGGGGACACAGTCCTCTTCCTGCTCAAGGCCACAGCAGTCCTGTGATGTGCAGAGTTTACCTGTGATTCTATTGCTAGTTCAAAACAGGCACAAAATTCACAAGCACAACAAACTCCACTGAAAATGTTCAAAACTCCTTTCAAAGACGGCCAGTCATGCTCCCCCTGCCCTAGGATCCCCTCAGAGTCCCCTGTGCCCATGCTCCAGTGTGGTCTCCCCTCCATCGCAGGACCCCTCACAGCTCCCTGTCCATCCTCCAGTGTGGGCTCCCCTCCATCCCAGGACCCCTCACAGCTCCCTGTCCATCACCCAGTGTGGGCTCCCCTCCATCCCAGGACCCCTCACAGCTCCCTGTCCATCTTCCAGTGTGGGCTCCCCTCCATCCCAGGACCCCTCACAGCTCCCTGTCCATCTTCCAGTGTGGGCTCCCCTCCATCCCAGGACCCCCTCACATCTCCCTGTCCATCCTCCAGTGTGGTCTCCCCTCCATCGCAGGACCCCTCATATCTCCCTGTCCATCACCCAGTGTGGGCTCCCCTCCATCCCAGGATCCCTCACAGCTCCCTGTCTCTCCTCCAGTGGGGGTTCCCCTCCATCCCCTAGTGGGGTCTCCCCTCCATCCCGGGATCTTCTCCCGTGTCGTCGCCCATCCTACAGTTTTTTTCTTTTTTCCTGAAAGCCGCCCTCCTCATCTTTGGTCTGGGGTCTGTCCTTGGGCTGTGGGGACACTTTGCCCATTGCTAGAGCTGGGTCTCCCATATCCATGGCTGAGGGGCTCAGGTGTGGAGAGCCTGGGGGCTGATATGAGGGGTCTCGGGCAGGTGAAGTTCGTGCTGTAGAACCCTCTGAGGGTCCAGCTGGGCCGGGACTCCCTAAAGATGCAGCCGTGTGGCCTCCTCCCCTTCCTCACCCCCTCTTCCCCCCACTGGTAGCTTCTCGGGGACTGTTCCCTAGACACAGGTCCGTGTGAATTCTGGACTCTGGGTCTGAGTCTGCAGAGCACCTGAGCGAGGACACCGTGGCTGTGTCTGCTTCTCACCCCGCTGTGTGCCCTCCATGTTCTCTGGCCTCGTGACCCTTCCCTCTGCAGAGGCCTCCCCCTGGGCCTGCGTGAACCTGGGGTGGCCCTTAGGCTGCTCTCTGTCCCCGCTGGACTTGTCCCAGCCATTCGCTGCTGCAGGGCATCCCCTTGGGCTGGGCAAGTTTTCCCACATCCGCCCCTTCTCCGCCCCTGCCATTTGCCACCCTGCCTAGGTTTCGGGGTCCGTGCTGGGATGACTCCTCTGCTTTCCCCCCCGTTTTCCCCCGTTTTCTCCTTCCAGTCGCATTCTCTGCTAGGCCGCCAGCCCGACTCTACAGAATGCACACCTGGAGCCATATGGAATCTCAGGAACCTGCAAGGCTTCCCTCCCACTACGCGGACTAAGGGCAAGGCTCTCAGAAACGTGAGTTCCTGCAGCAGCGGGTGGGCCGGCTTGTTGTTCATCTCTCCCCAGTTTGTTCTGTGGTCTGCAGAGATTGAGGGAAGCCTGAATCATATAACTCTTGGTTTCCGTCTTTCCCACGGGACCACATCAGCAGATGGCATGACATTTTAAGAAATATTTCAAATATTTCAAAAGTTTTATATAAAAATATTTATTCTCTTCAGATTTCTAGGATGTATGTGCTGCAAGTAGGAAGGCCAGTGGTTGATTAGAATGGGATCGTACGAGTCCTAATGGATACGTAACGCTCGAGCAGCCGGTACAAACGGTGGGCCCTGCACGCCTCCGCTAAGTTACCTCTCACTCCACCTGTTCCACATGGTTTTCGCTCCGCTGGGCCAATGCCTCTACCTACAGCACGTAGAGGAACATCAGACTGATTTCTGCTGAACACTCCTTTTCATCCCCCTAAGGGACAATGCGGGTACCGTGTCCTTAGTTTTTCTCAATCATCTTTCTTATTTTTCTTAATTCCCTTAAGAACTCTGATCTTGTTTCCCTCTCTTTGTTCTGTTTGTGATCCTCTGAAAATGACCCTACCCTTAATTTAATTAAAACGAGCTGTTTACCCACTAGAATGATACAGTTAAAAAGTTTGACAATACAAAGTGTTGGCAGGGCCACAGAATCACTGGAATTCTTAAATGTTGCTTATGGGAGTGTAAAGTAATACGTTTTATTTGAAAAAGAGTTTACAGTCCCTTACAAAGTAAGCACACGACCCAGAAACTCTACTCCTAGGTGTTCGCACCAAGTAATAAAATTTATGTTTTAAGAACAAGAAAGTTCTTAGCAGCTTTATTCAAAATAGCCCCACTGGTAACAACGCATCGGTAGGTAAATAGATAAACACATCGTGCTACGGTCATACAATGGAATGGTACTCAGCAGTGAAAAAGAACAACATGGAAACATCTCAAAATATGACGCCAAGTGCAAGGAGTGAGACACACGAGTTCACACCGTGCATCCTCATTTATGAAGTTCTCCAACAGGTGAAAGTAACAGTCCGAACCTTGAAGTTCCTCTGTCGACCCTGCCAGTCTCTTTCAGGTTCTGCTAAAGTCTTTCCTCTTCACTCTTCCTAATTACACTTACTTTTTTTGAGCATCGATCTTTAATAGAAATTTTTAAATGATTTCTTATTTATATTATTATGTATTACTTTTCTGTTTGGTTTAACTTTGGGTATAGAAGCCTTGTTTTGTATTACTTATCATTCCAAATGCATGGGCCTGTGGCTTTGGCAGGTTTTTTTTTTTTTTTTTTTTTTTTTTTTTTTTGAGACAGAGTTGCGCTTTCATCGCCCAGGCTGGAGTGCAATGACACAATCTCGGCTCACTGCAACCTTCGCCTCCAGGGTTCAAGCGATTCTCCTACCTCAGCCTCCTGAGTAGCTGGGATTACAGGCACCCACCACCACACCAGGCTAATTTTTTTGTATTATTAGTAGAGATGAGGTTTCACCATGTTGGCCAGGCTGGTCTCGAACTCCTGACCTTAGGTGATCCGCCCACCTCAGCCTCCCAAAGTGCTGGGATTACAGGCATGAGCCACTGTGCCTGGCCCACTTATCTTTTTTTGATCACCAATGTTTAATAGAAATTTTAAATGATTTTTTATTCAATTATATTACTCTGTAATACTTTTCCCTTTGGTTTACTTTCGGGTATAGAAACCTTATTTTATATTACTTATTCCAAATGCATGGGCCTATGGCTTTGGCAGGTTTCGTGTGAGTCAGAGCGACGCTGCCGGGGAGTTTTCCTCACTCGCGGCCTCCACTCACGGCCTCCACACGCGGCCTCCACACGCGGCCTGCAGGCAGCCGTCTGGAGTCAGGGGCTCCATGTGCAGCTGCTCCCCAGAAGGTGCCTGTGCTGTTGGCATGCTTTTCATACCGGTGCATTCCGTTCTTCTATCACAGGCATAATTAAACATTTTAACAACTTTTTTCAATTTTCACCTAATTGTCCTCAAATTTAATTCTGATAGAACTGAAATATTTAACAAACAGACCACCAGGAAGCTATTCTCAAAACCAAACAGACTCGCCCTTTGTATTTCCACAATATTGGCCACCGCTGGGTTGGACCCAGCCAAGATTTTCAAGCATTTGTAGAAAGACTCTGACTCACTCCATATTCACAATGGCGTTGTTTAAATCCCTTCTATTTCCTTCCCGAGTAAAACTTACACAAGCCTTCCATGTTACAGAACACGAACCATATTAGCAAACTATTTCGAGGGGAAATGGTATCAATTCTAAATCCTCCTAAGCATTTCCTCTTCTGAAAACAGACATGGATATCTTAGTTGAAATCATAGGAAACTTAACTCGTATTTATAAGAAGCAACATCCTGCTATATTTAGATGTGCATCTGGGGCTGGGCGCGGTGGCTCACGCCTGTAATTCCAGCACTTTGGGAGGCCAAAGCGGGCAGATTGCCTGAGCCCAGGAGTTCGAGACCAACCTGGGCAACACAGTGAGTCTACATCAGTACAAAAAAATACAAAAATTAGCCGGGCATGAAGGTGCACACCTGTAGTCCCAGCTACTCTGGAGGCTGAGGCAGGAGAATCGCCTGGACCCAGGAGTTCCAGGCTGTGGTGAGCCATAATTGCACCACTGCACTCCAGCCTGGGTGACACAGCAAGACCCTGTCTCAAAAAAAAAAAAAAAAAGTGCATCTGGCTGAAAATAAAAAGATATACAAATCTTAATTTTCACGCTTCAACTAGCTGGATAGCTGTGGATAAAGTGTTTAACTCGTAGGCCTATGAGTTGAGATACATGAGCTCAAAGTGCCCAACCAGTAGACGGCTGTGTACCAATCTAAAGTTTCATTGCAGACAAATCTTGCTATTTGGTTTCTTTGCCATTCGTTCCATAAAGCACCACATAATTGACTCAACCAAGCGCATAATGCCAGTATCTCACCTGAGATCATGTTAGCATATCATGAAAGTTCCTGACCTATTGCACATGTGCAGAATCACCCATGTAGCACACACACAGATAGGAAGAATAATAGGATGTATACCCTGTACCTATCACTCAGTTTCACAGACTATTAACAGGATACTTCCATCCCTTCCTCCATCCCCAGTGGTACCTGGAGTATCCTAAATTGGGGTTTGATCATCCCTTGCTTTAGTTTATTGCTCTAATACCCACGTCTCAACCCAGCCTGTGTCTGCTTGTCTTTCTCGTATATGTTTAGATTTGCATGTTTTTTTGTTTGTTTGTTTGTTTTTGAGGCAGGGTCTCACTCTGTTGCCCAGGCTGGAGTGCAGTGTGGTATTACAGCTCACTGCAGCCTTGACTTCCCTCAGCTCAGGTGATCCTCCCACCTCAGCCTTCCGAGTAGCTGGGACTACAGGTGTGCACCACCATGCCCAGCTAATTTCTATAGATGGGGTTTCGCTGTGTTGCCCAGGTTGGTCTTGAACTCCCGTACTGAAGCAATCTGCCCACCTCAGCCTCCCAAAGTGCTGGGACTATAGGCCCACCACACCACGCCTGGTGGCTTTGCACGTTCTTGGTATCTTATACAACTGGTATCATACTACATGTGTTTTTCTGAGGCTTTCTTTGTCGTTCCCAATACGTTCCTTCTTTTTCACTCCTCTACAGTAATTAAGTCATGAATATACCACGCCGATGGACATGTCTGTCACTTCTGGTTTAGGGCTATTATAAGCAATACTGATGTGAACATTCACATATATGTTTATCATGTGCTTATGCGTTCCATAGGGTGTGTGTCTGAGAGTGGATTTGCTGGTACTAGGTCTCCACATCTTCAGTTTCCCCAGATGACACCAATTGTTTTCCAAATAGTTGAAACTGTTTAAACTTCTACCGACTGGGCTGAGTATTATGAGTTAAATTTTGCTTATCTGATATGAGTGTAAATACCCTTTATCAGATTAAGGGAGTTCCCTTCCATTTCTAATATGTTAGGAGGTTTTATTATTAATGGGGTTTGATTTTTATCAAAGGCCTTTTCTGCAGTTATTGAATAAACATATAATTTTTTTTTTTTTTTACTTTAGGTAGTAATGTGGAGATTCAAGGTAAAAGATTTTTGAAAGAATTGCTGTATTTGATTGGCTAACTTTGGAAGTCTTTTTTTCCATCTCTGTTCATGAATGAGAGTTTTGCCATTTCCCTGTCTCATACTGTTCTCACCAAGCTGAAACTGACCTCATCAAATATTTGAATTTTTGCTACTCTCTGGAAGAGTCTGTTTAAATTTTAAACTCTCTCTTCCTGAAATTTTTGATAGAAGTAGCTCATAAAAGCACCTGGAACTTTCATTTTCTTGCTGGAAGAATTTTATTCACTCAATTTTTAAGAAGAGTTATTGAGGTTTCTTCAGCCAGTACTGGGGACTTCTATATTTGCAGGAATGTGTGCATTGATTCTAAGATTTCAAATGTGTTGCCATGGAGCTGCTTATGAGCTTGTCATATTATTGTTTTACTTTCTGCTGCCCGTATAGATATGGATTCCTTTACATGCCTGTATTAGTTTTCTATTTCTTCCTTAACAAATTACCACAAACTTCGGTTTTTTTGTTTGTTTGAGACAGGGTCTTCCTCTGCCATCCAGGCTGGACATGGCTCACTGCAGCCTCAACCTGCTGGGCTCAAGCAATCGTCCCACCTCAGCCTTCCAAGCTGCTGGGACCACAGGTGTGCTCCACCACATCTGGCTAATTTATTTTATTTTTAGTAGAGATGAGGTCTCACTATGTTGCCCAAGCTGGTCTTGAACTCCTGGGCTCAAGAGATTCTTCCACCTTGGCCTCCCAAGTAGCTAGGACTAGGCACACACCACCATGCCTGGTTAATTTTTTATTTTTATTGTTGTAGAGACAAAGTCTCACTATGTTGCCAGGGCTGGCCTCAAACTCCTGGGCTCGAGAGATCCTCCAGCCTCGGCCTTCCAAAGTACTGGGATTCAGATGTGAGCCAGTGCACCCGGCCACAAACTTAGTCTTAAAAACAACACAAATTGACTGTCTGTGGTTGTGTATCTGCAGGTCACAATCTAGCAGGGCTCTCTCGGAGCTGAAATGGCAGTGGCAGGGCTGCATTCCCATCTGGAGGCTCCAGGGAGAAGACTTGCCTTGCACTTTACACTCTCCTGGGCTTGCAGCCCCTTCCCCACCTCCAAAGCAGCAATGCTGGGCTGAGTCCATATGCTGTCGCCCACCCCTGAACACTTCTGCCTCCTCTTCTACTTTCAAAAACACTTGGGAATACACTGGACTCACCCACACGATCCAGGACAATCTCCCCCTTCAGATCCTCTCCTTACATCTGCAAAGCCCCCTTCACCTGGGAAGGCCACACTCACCTACTTCTGCGGGGTCCTGCGTGGACACTCTGAAGTCACGTCTCAGATTGTTGGTCTGCACCTCCATGCTTTTTCTCTGTCTCTTTTTCCCTTTGATCATTTTGCTAGAGGTTTCCAATTTTTCTGTCTTTTCAAAATCCATTCTGTCATTTGTACCCATGGAATTACTATCTCCTGCTTTATTAATTCTGGCCTTATTTTTATTTTCTCCCTTCAATATACTTTTGGTTTGTTCTACTATTCAATTTCTAAAGTTGTAGACCCAATAATTTTTAGCCATTCTTTTTTTTCTGTATTTTTTAGTTGACAAAATTATATATTCATTAAAATCTCCTTTTTGCGTATATGTGTGTGTATATATATATATATATATATATATTTTTTTTTTTTTTTTTTTTTTTTTTTTTTTTTTTTGAAATGGAGTTTTGCTCTTGTTGCCCAGGCTAGAGTGCAGTGGTGCGATCTCAGTTCACTGAACCTCTGCCTCCTGATTTCAAGCGATTCTCCTGCCTCAGCCTCCCAAGTAGCTGGGATTACAGGCGCCCACCACCATGCCTAGCTAATTTTTGTAATTTTAGTAGAGATGGGGTTTCACCATGTTGGCCAGGCTGGTCTCGAACTCCTGAACTCAGGTGATCCACCTGCCTCGGCCTCCCAAAGTGCTGGGATTACAGGTGTGAGCCACCGCATCCAGCCCCTTTTTACATATACTTTTAATTTTTGTATATACATTTTTATGACTATATATAGTATGTACAGCATATATATTTTGTGTGGAGAGAGAGAATTTCTAGTTTTTAAAGGTTCAGAAAATCCATTGATACAAATATTACTGAAAATATTTAGGGGATAGGACATGAGGTAGCCTCCACTTCAAAACCTTCCTTGTACAGGTGAGTGAGAGACCTGGAGTTACAGGATTATCTGGGGGCAGGGTGGGGAGGGGATGATGTTGAAATGAAAACCAAAACTCCCGAGTGTTCCTATACCAAATTAGCAGCTTCATGTGAAAATCAGCCCCAAGGAAAACCCAGGAGACAGCTGGGTCCACAGCCCTGGAGAAGCAGGAGCAGCAGCTGGGTCCACAGGCGAGGAGAGGCAGATCCTGGAGAAGCAGGCTCACTTCTCCCGCCCAGTGGTGGCCATGCCATGTCCCTCCTTCCACGTCTCCCAGCCGCACCTAAAACTAGTACAGATGGGAATAAAACCCACCTCTGGAGTGTGTGTAAGTTATGCAAGGTGTGAATCAAACATAGGAAACGCTGCTAGTGCATGGCCTTGGGCAGACACACAGGAGAACCAACAGGAAGGAAATTTACCAAGATATTAACACATGGTCTGTTTCCCTCTTTATTGTAATTTGTATTTCCAAAACTAATACTTATTACATTTATATACTGATTAAAACAATGAGTGGATTTCTTTAATAGATAAGAAGTATCAATATGTACAAGTCCATTTTATTCATGGCTGAATTAGCAAGAAATATATAAGAACCAGTTAGCCATATTTTGACACACCATGTCTTTTTAAATTAGCACTAACAGTAACCTATCAGCATAACCCAAAGAAACATTTACCCTTTGTAAAATGACATCTTCCTCTTGTCAAGTGTTTAAAATGAATATAAATGGGCCTGCTGTCCCCAGTTTTTCTGAGCAAGTGATTTGCAAAAGCTTAAGGCCTGAAACCTTGAAGCCTGTACCAAACTGTCCAAACAAGGCAGTGTTGATGAAGATGGACACCCTTGCTATTTTCTCATTAGTCCAGAATAAGTAGGATGTAGTTACAGAAAAATCACACCAGGCGCCATGGCTCACACCTGTCATCCCAGCACTTTGGGAGGCCAAGGCAGGCAGACCATGAGGTCAAGAGATCGAGACCAGCCTGACCAACATGGTGAAACCCCGTCTCTACTAAAAATACAAAAATTAGCTGGGCCTGGTGGCGTGTGCCTGTAGTCCCAGCTTCTTGGGAGGCTAAGGCAGGAGAATCACTTGAACCCGGGAGGCAGAGGTTGCAGTGAGCCAAGATCATGCCACTGCACTCCAGCCTGGTGACAGAGCGAGACTCTGTCTAAAAAAGATAAATAAATAAAATAAAAAAGTCATGCCAGAAAGCAGGAACACTTTGCAAAGGAAGTTATTGACAAACAGTAAAAATTCTAAAAATCACTATAGTAAATGAGTGAAGGTTAGCTGCTGCAAAGGGGAAAATGTACATAGACCATAAATTAAGCTACACATCGTAGAAAAATAAATAATCACTCCAAAAGATCCCACCTCCACAGGGAGGCTTGAAAAGATGCTATTACACCACAGCCCACAGATGAAAGTGTGAACTCAAAAGTATCTGAGACAGGTCTCCATCCATTTAGAAAGTTTATTTTGCCGTGTGGGTTCACTTTCACACTGCTATAAAGAAATAGCCGAGACTGGGTAGTTTACAAAGGAAAATGGTTGAACTGACTCACAGTTCCATATGGCAGGGGAGGCCTCAGGAAACTTAAAATCATGGCGGAAGGCAAGAGGGAAGCAGGCACCTTCTTCACAAGGCAGCAGGACAGCGAGTGTGAGAGAGCCTGGGGCAACTGCCCTTTATAAAACCATCAGATCGCTGGGCGAAGTGGCTCACGCCTGTAACCCCTGCACTTTGGGAGGCCGAGGAGGGTGGATCACCTGAGGTCAGGTGTTCGAGACCAGCCTGGCCAACATGGTGAAAACCCATCTCTACTAAAAATACAAAAATTAACCAGGTGTGGTGGCAGGCACCTGTAATCCCAGCTACTCGGGAGGCTGAGGCAGGAGAATCGCTTGAACCCGGGAGGTGGAGGTTGCAGTGAGCCAAGATCACGCCACTGCACTCCAGCCTTGGCAACAAAACTCTGTCGCAAAAAAAAAAAAAAAAAAATCAGATCTCGTGAGAGTTATTCACTATCGCGAGAACAGCATGGGGAGAACCGCCCCCATGATCCAGTCACCTCCGGCCAGCTGTGTCCCTGGGGACTGCAATTCAAGATGAGATTTGGGTGGGGACACAAGGCTAACCATATTACTTGCCAAGGTTAAGGATGAGCCCGTGACACAGCCTCAGGAGGTCCTGACCACATGTGCCCAGGGTGGTCGGGGCACAGCTTGGTTTTATACATTTTAGGGAGACGTGAGACATCAATCAGTAGGTGTAAGATGCACATTGGTTTGGTCTGGAAAGATGGGACAACTCAAAGTGGGGGCTTCCAGGTCACAGGCAGATAAGAGACAAACAGTTGCATTCTTTTGAGTCTGGGATTAGCCCTTCTTTCACCAAATACACAATTTACATGTGAAAGGGGGGTAGAGGAACAGTCACTCTTGCCTTAGTCTGGCTTAGTGAATCTGCATTTTTTTCTTATTTTTTAGAGACAGGGCCTGGCTACATGGCCCAGGATGGTCTCAAACTCCTGGACTCAAGCAATCCTCCTGCCTCAGTTTCCTAAAGTGCTGGTCTTACAGGTGTGAACAACTATGCCCAGCCTGCATCTGCAGTTTTAAGTAAAATGGGAGGCGGGATTCCCTGATGCAGTTCCCAGCTTGATTCTTCCCTTTGGCTTAGTGACTTGGGGTCTCGAGATTTATCTTCCTTTCACAAGAGCCTGTGGTTCCACCGTAAGGACTGGAGTGGCCGATGCAGGGGGAGGAGTTTTGGGTGTGGCCACAGAGGCAGCTCCCAGCAAAGGCTGGCCACTGCATCCCCCTTCCTCACTCTGACTCCAGTCTTTCTGGCCATGAAACTTGACCTCTGTCATTTCAGGGGTTTCTTGTGGCCCCTCCACCCAGGCTAGCCCAGCTGAGCCCTCGAGGCTCCTCCTGCACCCTAGGCCTTGTTCCTATCACTTCCAGAGCCTGTCTGGTCAGTCCGAAGGTCTCTGTGTTAATGTTAATGCCATCGGCTGTTCCTGACCCCAAAGGGAGAGGATACAATGAGGCGTATCAGACCCTCCCCTTCCCGTCCGGCCTGACTTGTTTTTCAGGTTTGTTTGGAATCCTCTTGGCCAAGAGTAGGGGTCCATTCAGTTGGATGGGGGGCTTTTGGTTTTCGGAATTTTATTTTTGGTTTAAAACGGATGCTCACATGGGAGCCTGGGCCCAGAGCGGCCCAGGAAAGCACGTTCCAATGCTCCCTGCAGTGATCTAATGCGCTCAGAAGGTGGGAATGACTGTTCTAGTTCCCAGAGCCCCTTTTGCAGGGGACAGATGCTGGTGTAGAGTCCATGGTGCATTCAAGTCATGTTTCCTGCCCATTCCATCCGAGTGCAGTAGCCTCAGTATCTCATGCTACTAAAGTGATTGTCCAATCACTGTCACCGCCTGAAGGCTGGCTACAAAATTAAGAAATTAAAACTCCTGCCCACTGCACAGAGAAAACCAATTCACTGAAACCATGGTGTTGCAATAAAGAAAGTTTAACTGACACGAGGCCAGCCACGCCACGTGGGAGATGGAGTTATTCCTTTCATGCGCGTCCGTGTGAAGAGACCACCAAACAGGCTTTGTGTGAGCAAAATGGCTGTTTATTTCACCTGGGTGCAGGCGGGCTGAGTCCGAAAAGAGAGTCAGCGAAGGGAGATAAGGGTGGGACCGTTTTATAGGATTTGCGTAGGTAAAGGAAAATTACAGACAAAGGGGGTTTGTTCTCTGGCGGGCAGGAGTGGGGGTCGCAAGATGCTCAGTGGGGGAGCTTTTTGAGCCAGGATGAGCCAGGAAAAGGACTTTCACAAAGTAATGTCATCACTTAAGGCAAGGACCAGCCATTTACACTTCTTTTGTGGTGGAATGTCATCAGTTAAGGTGGGGCAGGGCATATTCACTTCTTTTGTGATTCTTCAGTTACTTCAGGCCATCTGGGCATATACGTGCAAGTCACAGGGGATGCGATGGCTTGGCTTGGGCTCAGAGGCCTGACCATTACTTAAATCAATTTCCCTGAAAATTTGGAGGCTACTGTATTTCAAGGGTAGTTTAGCAGGCCAGGGAGTCCGCTTCTGAGTGGGGCCACAGGATCAGTCGGACATCAGAAATGCAAAAACTTGAAAGGACATCTCAAACGGCCAATCTTAGGTTCTACAATAGTGATGTTTATCTGCAGAAGCTGCAAATCTTGTGACCTCCAGAGTAATGGCTGGTCGTCGTTTACATCTATATTTTAGCAGAATCCAGGCTCCTCTCATCCTCCTAACCTACTGGCCTTTCATTAGCTTTACACAGGCAGTTCAGTTCGGGAGAAGGGCTATTATCGTTTAAACTATAAATATCTTCCAAAATTAGTTTGGCCCAGGCCTAGGAGTGATGAAAGACAGTTTGGAGGTCAAAGGCAGGATGGGGGTTGGTTAGATCAGGTATCTTTCAACGTCATAGTTTTCTCACTGCTGTAATTTCTGAAAGGTGGTTTCATCACTTCCAAGAGGGTAGAAGACATGTCCTACTCTGGCGGCAATTCCTGCGGGTGGCTGAAGGACTGAATCTGCACAGAGCGGCTGTCAGAGGCCAGTGCGTTCTCTGCTCCTTGTGTTCCTATCACCCAACTCTCCTGTAAGCCAGGCAATAAGAGACGGGAGAAAAACATCCTCATGCAAAGCAGCCGGACCCAAAATGAAGAAATGAAAAGATCAGTGGATCGTTAAGACCCGAAGTCAAATTTTTAACATGCCCCTGACTTTGTGGTTTTAAACTTGCCTGTTTGAGACATGTAAATACTCACTGATTTATAAAAACACCAGTCATCAGGCGTGCCAGTTTGATTCCAGAGAAAACAGTAGAGAGTGCCTTATCGGGAAGAACAAATGGCTGCCCTTATCTAGACGCTTTCACTTACTGCATGGTTCAGCACACGGCATTTTCATGATATGCAGAAACCATCTTCATAAAAAGTAATTTTCCACTTGCCCAATTAAATAACTGTCAAAGCGTATTTCCGAGGAAATTACACTGCATTGTTCTTAACTTTGCTTAGTTGTTAAAAAAAAGTTGACATTTTATTGTGAAATAAAACATATGCAGAAGAATTCACAAATCACACATTTACTAAATGATTATAAAGCAAATAGCTATGTAACCAGATCACAAGCAGAGCCCTGCCAGCACCCCAGAACCCCCACGGATCCCATCCTAACCACAGCCCCATTCCCTCATTGGGAAATGTGTTTGGTTTTATTTGCAAGCCAACCCATAACCTCACCTCATGTTCCAAGAAAGTCCCACAGTGATATGAGGCCAATCTGTTCAGCTATTTTTATAGGGAATTCTTTACCGCCTAAATCCAAAATACTTCCAAAATACTTCCCACTTCTGGGAGCCTGGAACTCACTCCCACGCTCTTGGCCTCATCCAGGGAGGAGCTTTCTCGCAAACCTGTCGCTCCAGGTCCTAAGAAACCAGATTTTATTAAAAGATTGGGTTTAGGACAATTAGGTAACTGATTAGTCTATCACAGTTGTCTGTGACAAGAACATAAATATTAGAGTTGAGACGTCAATTTTGTGAATAAAACCAAGCAGAAACCCTAACAAAGGCAAGAAGGGGTTTGTTTAGATCAGATGCAAGGGCTTCTGGTCCAACAGGCAGACAGAGCCCTCATGTCCATCCATTTCCTGCTGAAACCTGGCTAAAAATATTTAAGTGTTGAAAGTAGAGAAAGAAGATAGAAGGCATGGCCGGGTGTAGTGGCTCACACCTGTAATCCCAGCTCTTTGGGAGGCCGAGACAAAAGGATTGTTCAAGGCCAGGAATTCAAGGCCAGCCTGGGCAACATGGTGAGACCCTGTCTCCATTTAGAAGAAAAAGAAGAAGAAGAAGAAGAAGAAGAAGAAGAGGAAGAGGAAGAGGAAGAGGAAGAGGAAGAAGAAGAAGAAGAAGAACAAGAATTGGAGGAGGAGGAGGAGGAGGGGGAGGAGAAGGAGGGGGAGGAGGAGGAGGGGGACGGGGAGGGGGAGGGGGAGGGGGGAGGGGGAGGAGGAGGAGAAGAAGGAGGAGGAGGAGAAGAAGAAGGAGGAGGAGGAGGAGAAGAAGAAGGAGGAGCAGGAGGAGGAATACAATGGTCCAGTGCCAAGACAGTGAAAGGCAGAGGGCCATGGCAAAGTCTGAGGGCTGGAGGCAGATGGACAGATGATGGACGAATGGGCACCGGTGAGGCCAACCAGAGGAGGCTACCGGAGCTACAGGGAGAGCCTTTCAGGCATCTCTGAAAGGGGACATCAGGCGAGGCTGAAAGCAGGAGGCACAGGATCACCAGGTCCTGCTCCACACCCAGGAGGGCAGGTGGCAGCCCCAGCCCAGCTCGGAGGGCCCAGGAGGAATCGGCCAGAAGACACTGTCATGGAGATCCTGAGGCAGCAATGGGAAGCAGGAGGAGTGAAAGAACAGTGGCCTTTGCCTACTTGGATCCAAGAGTTGTGGCAGTCGAATGACAGATCCTTCCGCTCCGCACCCCAGGGGACAGCATGACAGATCCTTCCGCTCCGCACCCCAGGGGACAGAATGACAGATCCTTCCGCCTCACACCCCAGGGGACAGCATGACAGATCCTCTCGCCGCACACCCCAGGGGACAGCATGACAGATCCTCTCGCCGCACACCCCAGGGGACAGCATGACAGATCCTCTCGCCGCACACCCCAGGGGACAGCATGACAGATCCTCTCGCCCCGCACCCCAGGGGACAGCATGACAGATCCTTCCGCCCCGCACCCCAGGGGACAGCATGACAGATCCTTCCGCCCCGCACCCCAGGGGACAGCATGACAGATCCTCTCGCCGCACACCCCAGGGGACAGCATGACAGATCCTCTCGCCCCGCACCCCAGGGGACAGCATGACAGATCCTTCCGCCCCGCACCCCAGGGGACAGCATGACAGATCCTCTCGCCGCACACCCCAGGGGACAGCATGACAGATCCTCTCGCCGCACACCCCAGGGGACAGCATGACAGATCCTCTCGCCGCACACCCCAGGGGACAGCATCACAGATCCTTCCGCTCCGCACCCCAGGGGACAGCATGACAGATCCTTCCGCCCCGCACCCCAGGGACCCCAGAATTCCTTTCAGGGAAACACACCCATGAGAAAAATCTGCGTGATTCAAGAGTTCCTCAGTATGAGACCCACGCGCCTCCCTGGTTATCCCCGGTCCCACAGGCAAACCTCCTTATGCCACAGACACACACACACACACACACACGCACACCCGGGGTTCCACATCCTTTCTCAGTGCCTCATGCTGAGAAATAAATAGTCGAAGACCACCAGACACAAGGAAGCCTTCGACATGGAGAAAGAGGCAAAACCAAATTGTGTGGTCAGAGGAGACAGTGAATGGGGCAGAAGAAAACTTCAACAGAGAAAAGCGATTGTTGAAATGCTCCGGGGTGTCTGTCTCCCACCAGTGGAATTGCTGTGACACTCGGTGTGTGTCAGTGTGTGCAGAGGCATCTCCTGTCTCTAGTGGAGACTCTGGGATCAAATTAGTGACTGGTACACGAACACTCATCCAACCACTAGAGGAGGAGGAAAGGGCGCAGGGCTTTATTATGAACAGGCTAGGTCAACAGGACGGGCCTCGGGATGGGAAGTGGGTTTGAAGAGAAAGAGGAATCAAGAAAAATCCCAAAAGTTTTGACTGCAACACCTGGAAGGAGAGCAGCCCCCTGTACCGAGATGGAGGTAACAGGAAGAAGAGCACCTTGTGGGGGAAAGCAAAGCCCTGGTGTGGGTGGCCTGAGGCTGTAGAAAGTGTGTGATGCTCCAGATAAGGTGTCAGCTGACCCAGTATTCAGGTCTGGGCTGGAAGTGAGATTTTGGGAGCTTCTTGGGTATGGATGTGATTTACAGGTGACTTTGCCTGGGAAGATCCTACAGATGGAGAAGAAAGACAGGAGGAGGTTAGGATGATGGGAGGGGGACCAGGATCGGGCTCCAGGATCCCTCCCAAAAAAGCTCTTCTGGAGGAAGGGTTGGTGGAGCAAGTGCTGGCCGCCGGTGCCCTGGCAGGGGTGACTGTGGGGGGCAAAGGGCACTGTGGTGGGCCTTGGGCCTAAGAGACAACAGGAAAGAGGAGGTGGGGCTGGTGTGTGTAGGAAGTCCTTCTAGGTGGTTTCTCTAGAAAGAGAAGAGGTAGCTGCTGGAGGGGGTGAGATCCAGGGGTCTTTTCATGGCAGCAGCTCTCAGCATGGCATAGATGGACCAGTACCCCTGAGTGTAAAGGGGCGACGGTCCCGGGTGGAAGGGGCTTTGGACAGGCAAGGGAGGGGAGACAGTGCAGAGCCTCAATGCTGGTGGGCGGGATCAATGTGATGGTAAGCAGACTGGGACATTCTCTCAGGAGTTATCCATAAAACCTAGTGGACAGTTAAAAAGAGGGGAGAGAGAGAGAAAGAGAGAGACAGCAGTGGGAGTCCAGGCAGATGTGAGTTTGTGACCCAGGGAGGAAGCCTGGCAGAAGGGGCCCCTTTCCTCCAGATCTGGGGATCTGGGACCTAGGAGTGTCTTGGGATCTGTAATGACTGGGAAACATCCAGGGCAGTTTCCACGGCAGCCCCAGTGCGCCAACACCTGGTCCAGGAGGACAGAGAGATTTACTGAGTCCAGACTCGAAACAGAACTACACAAATAGGAAGGTGTGGAGGGGGACGTGGGTCCTGATTTCCAAACTGGGGCCTCCAGCCTTGGATGGAGGAAGTTAGGAAGGAAGGAAACAAGGAGAATTCAGGGACAGCTGGAGAAAAGGCCTGGAGTTCCTACCGGTCTATGGAAAAAGCAGCAATCTTGTGAGTGGGAGCATCATCCGGAGCTGGGTGGGTGGGAGGACTATCAGGGAGGCTCGGGGCTGGGCAGGAGATGGCCCTGCTCTCCTTCCCCTCCCCGTCTTCTGCAAAGCAGGCAGGTCTGCTCGTCCAGTCCTCAGGGGATGCTTAACCTCACTGCACTTTCGGCTATTTGTTTTTTAAGAGTTTGACTGTAACTCCCTGCCCCCAGGTGCTGGCGGTAGGGCTGCAGCTAATGGAGTGGTTAGCCCAGACTCTTTCCCTTCCCAACCCCAGTTCTGGGGAAGACCTCACCTGGGATCTTCCGACCAGTGTCTTATACCCCAGGGGGAACACACCCACTCCAAAGAGCTAACACCCAAGGACTGCAACCCCTGAACAAGAAACGAGTTGAGCTGAGGATACTGTTTAAAGTTTATTTATTTATTTATTTTATTTACCCAAGGACTGCAACCCCTGAACAAGAACAAGTTGAGCTAAGGATGCCATTTAAAGTTTATTTATTTATTTATTTTATTTTTATTTTTTGAGACAAATCTTGCTCTGTCGCCCAGGCTGGAGTGCAGTGGCGTGATCTCGGCTCACTGCAACCTCTGCCTCCTCGGTTCAAGCGATTCTCCTGCCTCATCCTCCTGAGTAGCTGAGATTACAGGCCCGCGCCACCACACCTGGCTAAGTTTTGTATTTTTATTAGAGACAGAGTTTCACCATGTTGGCCCGGCTGGTCTCGAACTCCTGACCTCAGGTGATCTGCCCACCTCAGCCTCCCCTGTTCAAAGTTTTAAAACAGATGCACCAAGAATTTATACAAATAAACATATTCAAAGAGATAAAGGCAGACACCAGAGACATAAAGCAGGGAAGAAGGAATGTCTAGCATCCAATGAAATAATTGAAATAAGGAACATGATGAGGCCAAATGCAGCCAAAGCCAGATGAGCAGGCTAGAGGCAACTCACCCCAAAGGCAATAGGAAAAGAGAGAATGTATGAAAGAATGGTTAAAGGTAAGTAAGGTAATTAAAGAAGTGGAAATGTACAGATAATGGAGTTCCAGGAACAGAGAAAAATAAAAATGGAGAAAAAAATATTCAAAGGTAAAATCAGAAAAATTAAAGATGAAAGCTCTCAAGTTGAAAGGGCTTAGAGAGTGTCTAATAGGATGGATGGGAAACTTACCCATAATTGACAGTGAAACTCAAGAATATCAAAGAAAATTCCAAAAGTTTCTATGAAGAAGAGCAGATCACTGACAAAAGAGTAAGTTTCATTTCAGAGTTTCCAGAGGCCACAATGGGTGCCAGAAGACACTGGAGTAATATTTTTAAAGCCCTCAAGGAAAATAATTTGACATAGAAGCCAGGTGCAGTGGCTCACACCTGTAATCCCAGCACTTTGGGAGGCCGAGGCAGGTGGATCATGAGGTCAGGAGATGGAGATCATCCTGGACAACATGGTGAAACACCGTCTCTACTAAAAATACAAAAATTAGCTGGGCATGGCAGCGCATGCCTGTAATTCCAGCTACTAGACAGGCTGAGGCAGGAGAATCCCTTGAACCAGGGAGTTGGAGGTTGCAGTGAGCTGAGCCAAGATCATGCCACTGCACTCCAGCCTGGGAGACAGAGCAAGACTCTGTCTAAAAAATAAATAAATAAATAAAATAAAATAAAATAAAATAAAATAAAACATAAAAAAAGGAATTTGACATAGAATTTTATAGCCAGCTCAACTGTCACTGAAGTATAAGCACATACCAAATTATCTTCCAATATAAAAGGCCTCAGAAGATCCACTTTTCCAAAACTCACTTTGAAAACGTTCTTCAAGGAAATTAGAAGATAAATAAATCCAGGAGGATGTTGATAGGAACTATGGGTATAAAAAACTTTAGATCAAATAGATTTTAGTAGTCTATTGTTATCTAAAAAAGCCAGGAGCAGCCAGGTGCGGTGGCTCACGCCTGTAATCTCAGCACTTTGGGAGGTCGAGGCGAGCGGATCACAAGGTCAGGAGATCAAGACCATCCTGGCTAACACAGTGAAACTCCATCTCAACTAAAAATACAAACAATTAGCTGGGCGGGGTGGCGGGCGCCTGTAGTCTCAGCTACTCGGGAGGTTGAGGCAGGAGAATGGCGTGAACCCGGGAGGCAGAGCTTGCAGTGAGCCAAGATCGCACCACTGCACTCCAGCCTGGGCAACAGAGCGAAACTCCGTCTCAAAAAAAAAAAAAAAAAGGCCAGGACCAAAGTGAGGAGAGAAGATGAAGTACATTTACAACAATGCAAAAGTAAATATTTAAACAGAATCAACATGGGAGTCCAAAGATTTAATATTAATCTGCTCAGGAAATCAATACGATTAGCTATGTATTGATGTGGATCTTAAACTAAAGGTAACCACCATTAAAATCGATAGGAGAAACTTAGGGAAAAAGAAATGAATGTAAAAGCCAATTATGAATGAAGGAGGCAGAAATAAAGTCCTGCTGCAACCAGACACAATCAACTTAATGAGCTAAAACACCAATACGAAGCTTGGATTTATAAAGAAAGAATCAACAGTTTTCCAAGAGAAGCATATTTAAAAGTAAAGGATACTAAAAAGTTTAAAATAAATAGAAAAAGAAGTACTAGGCAAATTGGAATCAATATAAAACTAGATAGTAGCCCTGCTATCTGCCAAGTCCAAAGCAATCAGCGAACAGCATGCTGTTACACACCTGAAAGAGGAAACAGATGAACAAGATGCAACCATCATGATCACATGTGTACTTAAGCATGTTTCTTTAAAAAAGCAAAAACTGACCGGGTGCAGCGGCTCATGTCTGTAATCCCAGCATTTTGGGAGGCCGAGGCGGGCGGATCTCCTGAGGTCAAGGGTTTTCGAGACCAGCCTGGCCAACATGGCGAAACCTCATCTCCACTAAAAATACAAAAACTAGCTGGGCATGGTGGCGCATGCCTGTAATCTCAGCTACTCGGGAGGATGACGCAGGAGAATCACTTGAACCCGAGAGGCAGAAGTTGCAGTGAGCCGAGATTGCGCCACTGCACTCCAGCCTGGTGACAGAGGAGACTCCGTCTCAAAAAAAAAAAGCAAAAACTGACACAACTCTACAGAGAAAAACATAAGTTGGCAATTATACTAGATATTTCTTAAAACATATAAAATAGCAGACATCAAAGATTTGAAACATACAAATTCTAAATTATTATATTTACATAGAACTCTGCATCCGATGGAGACTATACTTTTAAAAATGCATAGAATGTTTACACAATTTGATCATATATCATGAAAAATGTATTTAGCAAGAAAGAAACACAATAAACTCTAAAGCAACAAAGTGTGTTCTAATGTAATAGTAAAATAAATTTTGAAATAAATAACAAAAGGATAGAAGTTTTAAAATACCACATTTTTGGAAAGGAAATGACATTACTAAATATCCCTTGGGTTTAAAAGTAAACCAGAAGAGGGTTACAAAATATTTAGAACCAAATGAAAATAAAAACAAAAATGTCACACTTTGTGAAACAATGTTAAATTAGCACTTAAAAGAAATTTTATAATTTCTAATGTATTTACAGGAAGCAAGAAAACTTCAAAATAAAACAAAATATTCAATACAAAAATCTGAAAACTGAATAGAAACACTGAATACATTGAAAACAACAAGAAGAAAGGAAATAATGAATATAAGGACAGAAACAAATAAAAACTTATCAAAAAGATTAGCCAAAAAAACCACTACTTCTTAGAAAGATTAATAAAGTAGAGCTTGAAAAAGACCAATCAAACCAAAAAACAAGCAAGTAAGATACAAATCAACAAAATATAGAACAAAAGACCCTACAGATATAGAGAGATTTGCTAACATAAAAAAGTACTTTTTAAAAAATGTTACATTAGTTAGGAAATATAGATGAAAGACATATGTTTTTCAAAAATATAAATGCTGAAATTGTAACAAGAAGGATTTCTGTAAAAAAAATCCTGCATGATTTCATGTGTAAGACGGCCTAGAACAGGTTAACTAATCTAAGTAGAAAAATAAACTAGAAAGGGATCAAAGACCTAAATGTAAAAGGTAAAACTAGAAAACTCTCAGAAAAAACTATGAGTGTCAATCTTTGCAGTCTCAGGTTAGGCAAAGCCTTTTGTGATATGATCCGAAAACCACAAACAACAAAAGAAACATAGAAACTTCTAGAAACATCAAGAGAGTGAGAAGACAAGCCCCAGAGTGCAAAGAGGTCTGTGCAGACCAGGTGTCTCATAAGTGGTGTGCATACAGAATAGATCCAGAACTCTTCCAACTCCACGATCAAAGAATTACCCTACCAGGCCAAAAGGACACCGGATGTGAAGAGGCGTTGCTCTCAGGAAGACACACGAAGGGGCCAGGTGCCAGTGAGGTCACTCAGCGTCATCAGCCATCAGGGAAATGGGAAGCAAGCCACACTCAGGCACCACCGCGCACCCACTAGCATGGCGGTCGCGACGCAGATGGGCAGTAACAAGGGCTGCTGAGGATGTGCCGAGCCCGGAACCCTCACGCACTGAAGGGAGCGTAAAGCAGCCAAGAGTGCAGGTGCTTCGTGAAACGGTCTGGCAGTTCCTCAGCATCTAACCAGCAGTGGGACCCAGCAGTTCCATTCCTAGCGGAATACATAAGAGAGGGGACGCCTATGTCCCCACAAAAACATGCACATGATGTTCATCCCAGAACTGTTCATAACAGCCAAAAAGGGCAGATGACGCAAATGGCCATCAACTGATGGACAGCTACATAAAATGTGGTCAATCCATACGATGGGGTATGATTTGGCAATAAAAGGGAATAAAGAACTGGTACACGCTACAACACGGATGAACCTTGAAAACATGGTGCTGTGTGAGAGAAGCCAGCTGCACAAGGCTATGTATTGTATGATTCCCCTTATAGGAAATGTCCAGAATGGGCAAATCCATAGAGACAAAAAGATAGCAGTTGCCTAAGGTCAGGGAGGAGGACTGGGGCGGGGCGGGGGGAGGGGGGGCGGGAGTGAGGGTCGGGGGGCGGGAAATGGGTAATAGCTACTAATGGGGACAAATACTTTTTTTTTTTTTTTTAGGTGATAAAAATGTTCTAAAATTGATTGCGGTGGTTTCACAATTCCATGAATACTAAAAAACACTAAATACACTTTAAACGGGTGAATTTTATGGTATATGAATTATAGTTCAGGAAAGCTGTTAAAATAAACGAACTGGTTCCTTTTGGAGAAAACAGGGCAGGAGAAATAGAGAGGAGAAGACATTTCTCTGGGCACAGCTTTTTGAATAGTTTTAACTTTTGGAATCATGACATTTTACATATTCAAATAATAAAATTATCAAGAATCGGGGAAAATGCTACAACAGAATGCCAACAAAGGAACCCAAGTGTCTGTCAAATGATTAGCCATCATCTGAAGGGGAGTCGGGACAAAACAAATTTAAGTAATTTTTGGAGACAGCACTTTGACTGCATACCCTCAGACTAAAGAAAAAAGCTGCAAACAGATCTGGAACTCTCCATGGGTTTGTTTCTTGTGGCCCTGTGGGTGGAGCCATTCCAAACCTGCTCTGTGTTACAGCGTGTTTGAGCCATGCGTGATGCTGTCTCTGCTGTTGTGAGCCGGGGTCGTCACCATGCAAGACGGGATGCACAGGAATGAGGCAGGCAAGGAAGTGCCGTGGGGCTGGGTTGCAGCAGAGGTAGAAGGGTGTGGAGGTTCTGATGGCCCATGAGCAATGAGCACATCTCCCACCCACATCTTAACTTCTAAATTCCATTCCTCACTAAAAAGAACCAGAATTCTCAGAGAAAGGGCTGGATCCAACCACACGGCAGAGAAGGCGTGTGTCTGCTGCATACAAAATAAGGACGTGGCCAGGTGCGTGGCTCACGCCTTCAATCCCAGCACTTTGGGAGGGCGACGCAGGCGGATCACAAGGTCAAGAGATCGAGACCATCCTGGCCAACAAAGTGAAACTCCATCTGCACTAAAAATACAAAAATTACCCAGACATGGTGGCACATGACTGTAGTCCCAGCTACTTGGAAAGCTGAGGCAGGAGAATCGCTTGAACCCAGGAGGCAGAGGTTGCAGTGAGCCGCCACTGCACTCCAGCCTGGCAACAGAGTGAGACTCTGTCACAAAAAAAAAAAAGCAAGAAAGAAAAGAAAAGAAAGAAGGACGTGCTCCATATACACCACGGAATACTATGCAGCCATAAAAAAGGATGAGTTCGTGTCCTTTGCAGGGACATGGATGAAGTTGGAAACCATCATTCTGATAAAACTATCACAAGGATAGAAAACCAAACACCGCATTGTTCTCACTCATAGGTGGGAATTGAACAATGAGAAGACTTGGACACAGAAAGGGGAACATCACACACCGGGGCGTGTCGTGGGGTGGGGGGAGGGGGAGGGATAGCATTGGGAGATATACCGAATGTAAATGACGAGTTAATGGGTGCAGCACACCAACATGGCACATGCATATGTAACAAACCTGCACATTGTGCGCATGTACCCTCGAACTTAAAGTAAAATAAAAATAATAATAATAATAAAAAGAAATGCAGACATGTAAAAAAAAAAAAGAAAAAAGAAAATAAGGATGTGCTCAAAACAAGGACTGGTACAAAGAAGGACGATTCAACAGCCTGAAGAGACCCCCACAGCAAACCTGGAACAACGGGAGCAGCAACATCACAACAACAATCAATTATAACCCACTATAAATAGAATACCGTTGCCAAACAGAGAATCCAAGAACCCACAGGGATAATAAACAAACACTGGGAAGAAAGTAGCCCTTCTTTATAGAATGCAGTAAGAAGTGACGGAGTTGGAAAATTAGCAATATTGAGCCATCACCGTGAAGGTTGACCCAACTGAGTGCAAACGTGACTTGGTGCCAGTGAGGCCAGCTTGGGGCAGGAGGCAGCTTTATGTGCAGACAGGGCGTTCTCAGCCTCAGCAGATCTCCCGCAATATACCCAAGGACGAGGAAAATCAGTGACTGTTCAGAGGAGGAACCACCTTATCAGGGACCAAAATTAACATTGCCAATCAGGGCAAGCTGACAGACGTCTCTGTGTTTGATATCTCAAGGACACCGTTTACAGAGCACTCCAGCCAGAAATATATAACTCGAATTCCATCCTGACAAAATACCAGACCAAACCAAATTGAGGGCATTCTTTAATATAACCAGCTGGTATTTGTTCAGAAATATCACTGCTGTTAAAGACAAAGACAGGCTGAAGAACTGCAGCAGGTTAAAGAAGAATAAAGAGATATGATTACTAAACAGAGCATGTGATCTGGTACTCCGTCCTGGACCAAGAAAAAAAAGGATAGGAAAGAAACCGTCAAAGTTGGAATGAAAACGGTAGATGAGATAAAAGGTACTGGCTCCATGTTACATTTCTTGAATTGATAGCTTATGTGGTTACATAAGAGAATATCATTATTCTTAGGAAATAAACATTGAATTTTTTATTTTTTTTTTAGACACAGTCTCACTCTGTCACCCAGGCTGGAATGAGATTGCGTGATTTCAGCTCACTGCAACCTCCACCTCCCGGGTTCAAGCAATTCTCCTGCCTCAGCTTCCCTAGTAGCTGGGATTACAGGTGTGCACCTGGTTAATTTTTTGTATTTTTAGTAGAGATGGGATTTCACCATGTTGGCCAGGCTGGTTTCGAACTCCTGGCATCAGGTGATCCACCCGCCTCAGCCTCCCAAAGTGCAGGGATGACAGATGTGAGCCACTGTACCCAGCCAATAAACACGAAAGTATTAAGGGGTAAGGGATATAAAGTAACGTAGGGGAAAGAAAGAAAGAGGAAGAGGCAAGGAGAGGGACAGAGACAGTGGGAAAGGGAAGAGACACTGCTATGACAAACGTGGCAAAAAGTTAAAAATAGATAAATAGGGATAAAGAGTATATGGAAGATTTGTTCTTTTTTCCCCCTCAAATTTCTGTAAGTTTGAAATTAGTTCAAAATAAGAAGCTAAAAACAAAAATAAAACGGAACAGAGCAACTTCCTTTAAACCAGGAAGCCTCCTTTTGAAGCTGCAGCATCTGAGATGCAGGCGGCGAGTCCAGCCCCTCCACTCTGTCTCCCCTCCCAGCCAAGATGATTTTTAAAAGTCCACAGTTGCAAACCGTAAGTGTCTCCTAGGGAGAGCTTTCTATCATTCACGTGGTTAACATGGTTAGCAGGTTAACACCTTCATCCTGTGTGTTTAGGAACGTCTGTGAGAAAGGGTAAAGGTGAACACGGCAGGTGGGGCGTTTCCTTCACTTTTGCGGTCAGGCCGGTGTTTTCCTTGCGTGATGGGACCCCAGGCTGGTGGCCCAGGGCTGTGCCACTCGTTGCTTCCCATGCCTGAGTGTGGATGTGGATCCTCATGCCTGCCCCTCATGGTGCCAACGGCAGGTGCCCCTATAGGCATCGGGACTGTATTTCAAGGAAAAAGGAGGCAGGAAGGGGCGGGAAGGTGTCCTCAATCCAGGCTTGCCTTCACTTGCAAAGGCAAACGCACTCAGCTGCAAGCCCTCCCCTTCTCAGTGGCCAGAACTGTGCTGTGTGCATGCCAAGGGCCAGAAGACAGACACCAGCTGGCAGAGGACTGGCTGACCAGGGACCGACGCTGGCAGAATGCAATTCCAGTCCTGCAACTAGTTCCAAATTAAAATGTAAAAAGCCACATTTAGCAAATGAGATTTTTCCTGAGCTTTATTTTTTTAAGGGCTGCGTGCTTTCTATTTGAGATAATCTGAAATTACAGAAAACACACAATGGGAATATCGCATGGTGGCCTCCACCTTTCTAAGCTTTGGCTGTTGCCACAAAACCACTCTATGGCTCTAACGTTCTGTGCTCCGTGATTGTTTTGTGTGGAAACAAAATCTCTGGGGTTGACCAGATATGCTTGGAAATTCCTTGCAACAAATGAAACAGCAGCTAAAATGCACTGTGTTCCAATTGGGATTTTGCATTTCCCATATGATTTTTGAAAAACAACACAGAAAACGTGAACGTTACAAGGACTATAAAACTTTTCTGTGTAGGCCAGGCACGGTGGCTCATGCCTGTAATTCCAGCACTTTGGGAGGCCAGTATGGGAGGACTGCCTGAGCCCAGGAGTTTGAGACCAACCTGAGCCAGACAGCAAGACCCCATTTCTACACAACAAATTTAAAAATTAGCTAGGCATGGTGACATGCGCCTGTGATCCTAGCTACTTTGGAGGCTGAGGCAAGAGGATCACTTATGCCTAAGAGTTTAAGGTTACAGTGAGCCACGATCACGCCACTGCACTCCACGCCTGGCCGATAGAGAGAACCTGTTTTAAATTAAAAAAAAAAAGTTTTTTATGTAAAGTTTTGGCAGAAACTTTTCAGATTGAGACTTGACATTTAATAACTTTCTGTAATAATGGAGGATTTTAACTTTGGTTTAATTTTTGGACTCTTTTGATGGGTTTGAGGTTGCAGGTATCAAACCCTGCAGGAATGGGCTGTGCACGGCTTCAGGCGGGCTGGAGTGCTAACTGAGGCTGCCAAGCGTGAAACAGCACAACGGTAAAAGCAAAATACATGCAGAGAGAAAAGAAATGAATTCACTCCATGGGCCTGCAGATGTGGAAAAGAAGTGTCACTAAGGCCAGGCGCCTGTGCTCTGGGGTTCCTGGCCAGGTTCCCAGAAGGAAGGGTGTGGTTTCTTTTTCCTCTTGGATGGCTGGCTGTGGGTCCTGGATACCTCGGAATCAATTCCAGACATTTGGGGTTGAGTCATCGGAAGAAAGGAAATAGAGACGTCTGAATTTTTCACATCACTATATTTTAAACATGATTAGGCAAGTATATTTTTGTTACTAAAATAGTAAATACATTTTACTAAGAGTGAAGTACATTTTGTTACTAAAAAGGAGAAAAGTTATTCAAAATGATAAATATGGAATTAATAAGCTCTCGCATTAGAAGAAAATAGGAAGAAAGTTAGCAAAGAAAGGGGTGAACTGAAAGCGTCAACATGCATTCGTGAAAGTCTGGGTGCAGTTTATTCTGATTTACTCTGAGGTGAGCTGAAATCAGGACCGCAGGGTGGGCGATGCATCTGTGACAAGGCTGGACAGACTCATGGGTGCCTGCCCCCCCTCCTCCTGCAGCCCCTCCCCCAGGGCAGGCCTCCTGTCCTGGGAGCCAGGCTGCTGGCATGTCACACAAAATCACGTGTGCTGGGTTCTGCACAGAGCAAAGCCAGGTATGCAGCACAAGGCAGGCTGTCTGGCTCTCGAAGACCCCGATAGAGAGCCCCCGCAGGCTGGGCATATTCTGACCCCAGAGGTGGCAGCTTCCTGCAGTTCCCTGATCTGTCATTCCTGTCCTGTGACTTCCAGGGAGGGGCAGCTCCTGGGAGACCCACCAGCTGACACCTGGGACTCTGCCCTTCCTTCCTAGGCTGCTGTGTGAGTGGGGCTGGGGTCTGGAGACCCTGAGGGCTGCCCCAACACCAACACCCCTGCCTGTGCTCCTCTTGTGACATGGGTGCGTCCTGTCTTTACTGCCGAAGCCACAGCAGGGGTTTAGGGAGCCCGTGCATCTGACCAGTACCTGTCTAACCCCACGCCGCCTGTGCCACCGTAATCTGACCGGTACCTGTCTAACCCCACGCAGCCTGTGCCACCGTAATCTGACCGGTACCTGTCTAACCCCACGCCGCCTGTGTCACCGTAATCTGACCGGTACCTGTCTAACCCCACGCCGCCTGTGCCACCGTAATCTGACCGGTACCTGTCTAACCCCACGCCGCCTGTGCCACCGTAATCTGACCGGTACCTGTCTAACCCCACGCTGCCTGTGCCACCGTAATCTGACCGGTACCTGTCTAACCCCACGCCGCCTGTGCCACCGTAATCTGACCGGTACCTGTCTAACCCCACGCCGCCTGTGCCACCGTAATCTGACCGGTACCTGTCTAACCCCACGCCGCCTGTGCCACCGTAATCTGACCGGTACCTGTCTAACCCCACGCCGCCTGTGCCACCGTAATCTGACCGGTACCTGTCTAACCGCACGCCGCCTGTGTCACCGTAGTCTGACCGGTACCTGTCTAACCCCACGCCGCCTGTGTCACCGTAGGACAGAGCACAAAGGAGCACCCAGGATGCACACCTGACACACTTCGCGGCCGAGCCGCAAGCCTGAGGAGCGGGAGACCCTCGCGGTTCAGCGGCGTGAGGGCAGAGCGACGGAGCCCCTCCGCTTCTGTCTGCGTGAGCACATTCGCATAGAACAAGAGTTCTGACCTGGTCAAACACTTGACACGCACATAATGGAGGAAACTTTTGGCATGCTATCAAATGCTTTCTCACATGCACACAACATCTCCTCCCCAGCATGAAGGAAAGGCAGCTGACCCTGGCCGACCCCACCCCAGGCTGGCCCCCACCAGAGGCCCGAGCGTTTCCCCTTCTGGCCACACGTTTCCAGTGGCCACCGTTCTCTACTGAGGACATCACCTCCAGCCGCTGGTCTTGCCAGGCAGCCTGTGCGAGGGTGAAACTGGCTGCCCAGCCTCCCAGCCCTGCCCTTACCGTGGTAAATTCCCCCCTCAGCAGGTGTCCCCATATCAGCCCTTGGGTCTGTCCCCTGCAGGGCCCTGCCTGGCAGCCCTGGGTACTACTGGTTCATCCACTCCCTACTGCCAAGCAGCCATCCTGTGCCAGGGACATGGGGCTTAGAATCAATCAGAGAATAAAACAGATGCAACCCTGCCCGTGTGGAGCTCACAAAATTCGGACATGGGAAGAGAACCACATTCACCGGGTGCTGATGCTGCAGTGTGACCGTGTCCCCTCCAGAATTCACATGACATTGTAATTGTCATTGCGGTGGTATTAAGAGGTGGGGCCCCCTACTCTTGCAAATGGCTTAATGCCTCATAAAAAGGCAGCGGAGAACTAGCTGAGGCCTGTTGACCTTCCATCCCCTCCACCACGTGAGGATGCAGTGTTCCCAGCAGAAACTAATCAGCCCACACCTTTATCTTGGACTTCCAGCCTCCAGAACTGTGAGAAATGATGTCCGTTCTTTTTTTTTTTTTGAGATGGAGTCTCACTGTGTCACCCAGGCTGGAGTGCAATGGCGTGATCTCGGCTCACTGCAATCTCTGCCTCCCAGGTTCAAGCAATTCTTCTACCTTAGCCTCCCAAGTAGCTGGGACCACAGGCATGCACCACCACCCCCAGCTAGTTTTGTTTTTTTAGTAGAGATGGGGTTTCACCATGTTGGCCAGGCTGGTTTCAAACTCCTGACCTCAAATGATCCACCCGCCTCGGCCTCCCAAAGTGCTGGGATTACAGGCGTGAGTCACCGTGCCTGGCCTGAATGTCTGTTCTTTATAAACTACCCAGTCTTAGGTGTTTTGTCACAGCGGCCCATACTGCCTGAACCACGACTTTCTGCGCTAAATGCCGTGTTGAAGAGCCCAGCTCTGGCGCCGGAGGCTGCGCCCAAGGCAGGCACGGCTGTTCACGAGTTGCGTCACCTTGGGCACGTCATCACCTCTCTGAGCCCCGAAGCTCCTCGACAGAAGTGGAATCAACAGTGCCCATTTCATTCAAGTTGTCCGGGCGAAGAAAATGGAAAATCATGTCCCTTAAGCGCAATACCTGGTAAAAAATCTCACACTGAACTGCGGCCATGACAACTCCAGCATCACCCAAGGAGCCTGGACACCGAGAAGGGCAGAAGCCTGTGCGGCCCAGCCCCCGCAGCGCGGCGAGGAGGCTGCACCAACCCTTGGTCTTCAGTCACTCAACCTCCCTGGCCCATTCTGTTTCCCAACTTAAGAAACAAAACAAAACATAGGTATAGAGAAGGATTTCACTATCGAAAGAGAAAGCGCACTGACAAGTGATCACACTGAAGCCAAGCTGGAGAGCCACATCCTGGCTAAACGCAGGGCCATTTTCTATCCGGGTCACCTGCCATCAGGTGGAGTTAAGGCCGATATTGCCCAATCGTCCTAGTTTTCAAGCAGTTCCAGAATTCCTGTTATGTGAACTCACCTCGTTTAACACTTGCTGTAACTCTCAATAGAGGATGTGAAGCACGCAGCACACACGTGCAGCTGAATGCTGGCCAATGTGGGCCGCTGAGTGGGCCGGGCCCAGGCTCACACCAACCTGGCACCAAGAAGTCAGAGCTCATGAATGTCGCTTGTACCATGCTCCACTATAGCTACATCCCCTCACACTGCCGGTCAGGGAGACTGAGGCCAGTGAGGACCATGGGAAAGTGCTGTGCCATCTGGAAGGTGTACGCATCATTAACATTTCACGAAGCCTTTTCCACCCCTAAACCCCCAACTTCAGGCTCTGCACTGAGGGGTCCCCGGACCAATGTGTGGGTGACACTGGACGGAGCGGGTGAGCCTGTGCTTCTCTACAGCACCTCCATCTCTATGCATCCACACACGCGTATGAAGATACAGGAGGTAAAGTGTGGACCCCTGGGAAGGTCAAAGTCCTAGTGGAGGTGAGATAAAAATTAGGCTGTCCACTTCCAACTCCAAATCGAATTCTGAACACATGATGAATTTATCATTATATTTTCTATCTCCAAGATAAAGCATTCACAGCAATATGAATAGGTTAGTTTATTTTGAGAGAGAGGAAGACATCATTTGGGTTCTGTAAACATCAGTCACTTTATTATGCCTCTGTCTGGCTGAAAAACACCAGCTCCTGCTGACTCCACAAGGGCACGGCTGCAGAGAGTGCTGCCTGCCAGGTGTGAGGTTTCCAGTTAAAAGTTTCAGCAGGGACACCATTTGCTGGATGTGTTTAAGATTAAAATTGCTTCGTAAAATGTGATAAATAGGTTACTATACACCTTGGTCAATATAGTTAAAGCACCAGCAATCAAAATACACCGCTCCGGGCCGGGTGAAGTGGCTCACGCCCGTAATCCCAGAACTTTGGGAGGCCGAGGTGGGCAGATCACTTTTAGTCAGGAGTCAGAGACCAGCCTGGCCAACATGGTGAAACCCTGTCTCTACTAAAAATACAAAAAATCAGCCAGGCATGGTAGAGGTACCTGTAATCCCAGCTACTTGAAAGGGTGAGGCAGGAGAATCCCTGGAACCCGGGAGGTGGAGGTTGCAGTGAGCCGAGATCACACCACTGGACTCCAGCCTGGGAGCCAAAGCCAGGCTCCGTCTCAAAAAAACGAAAACAAAAACTAAACAAAAACAAAACACTGTTCCGAGAGTTCCATAAAACATAAGGAACGTAAGTCACACATGATTCTCACGAGCAGCCGACGTTTTCCACGTACATTTCAAAGGTGCTTGTGATAAAAAATAAACTTTGAATTTTAATTGCACGTTTATATCAAAACACTCACACACACACACACACACACACACACAATTCTGTATGTCTGTTAACAACATTGCTAAATTGCTGTGTAACTTCTACCTGGGTATAAAACAGTAGAACAATGTACCTTGGGACTCATCATCAGGCAGCTCATTGCCAGGGGCTGCTGCAGGACCACTCTAGGGACCCCAGGACCCTGCAGTCGAGCATCTCTGAGGGGTCCAGGTCCACCCTACAGCTCAGGGAGAAAATGACATCACTACTTGTCTTGAAATCTACAGAGGAACACCAACCACAGAATTAGGGTCTAGATTGGGTGCCTGTAGGTAACTCAGTCAATTAAAAACAGCTCTGAAACCCAGACAACCTGATTATGAAATCCTTACCTTATTTTGTCAAATGAGCAACACAGTATGAATAATAACTTCTCATTTTAAAACAGGTACCATGATTTAAAAAAAAAAAAAACTTGCAAGATTTCATCTTTACCAGCCCACGCTCTGGTTGGTGGGGGTTAAACTCCAAGGCGTCTCTGCTGCTACAGGAGTCACTACCCCTCAGCGTTGTCTTTGTACCACTTGCCACCAGATGGCACTGCCGTACACTTCGGTCTAGAATTTTTTTTTTTTTTTTTTTTTGAGAGAGAGTCTTGCTCTGTCACCCAGGCTGGAGTGCTGGAGTGCAGTGGTGCGATCTCAGCTCACTGCAACCTCCGCCTCCCGGGTTCAGGCAATTCTCCTGCCTTGGCCTCCCAAATAGCTGGGATTACAGGTGTGTGCCACGACACCCGGCTAATTTTTGTAATTTTAGTAGAGATGGGGTTTCACCATCTTGACCAGGCTGGTCTCGAACTCCTGGCCTCAAGTGATCCACCTGCCTCGGCCTCCCAACGTGCTGGGATTACGTCGGGTGTGAGCCACCCCACCCAGCTTAGAATTTCATACGCTGGGAAGCTTTAATAAGGAACAAATCATGTTATTTTCTATCTTAGCCCAATTCTCTCCAACTGAAAAGAATGTGACTTCTGAATAAGACACACGGCATATGAGTGTGCAGCTGGAAAGAGTCAACGCTGACCCACCCGCCCTGTGGGAGGCACTTCACTATGAAGCCATTTCCAGCATTCAAAGCCACCCCACTCCTCAACAGGTGTGACGCCCCGATGCCTGGACACCATGGACTCCTCTCCTAGATGCTTGACACGGTCCGGCGCGGCTAAACTGACAGAGCCTGCCAGACAGTCATAAAATTATAATTTCTTAAAAATACTTTGTAGCTACTTCAAAATTAATACTAATGCGAAAGAAAGTTAGTATTTCCCTTAGAAGTAAACACAAAACATTCACTGCCTCATTAATTCAAAAGCCATCATTCGCGGGGCTTCCCAGAATCGGTGTGCCAGCTCTGCTGCCGCCCCGGAGCCCCGGCTGGAGCAGCTATGGCCTCTTCTTCCGCAGCAGCTGCCCGTTGCCTTCTGGCCTGCTCTTGGCTTCTGGCTGTGCGAAGTTCCAGTCCACCGGATTGAGAAGCTGCTGAGTCTTCTTATGGGTCCAATATGGATTAATGATTAGCGTAAGCAGAGCCAGTCCGACAAGGAACAGTGTCAAATGAGGCAGATACAGGCTGCTGACCAGGCCGTCCCAGTGCCAGAAACACACCCACCACATGTGGTAGGTTAGAACCATGCGGCAGTGAAACATGTGAATCATCAGCCACTGGTTGAGCTTCCAAAACAGAGACTCGGACCAGCCCGCCTGCATGGAGAGAAGACAAATGCACAAGTCAATGCGAAACTGCCAAAATTCATTCTTCACATCACAAAAAGGTATTTGCTACCTTACTTACCAAACAAAACAAATTCATTTCAAAGCAAAAGAATTTCCTCCCCAGGGCTCTGCTCTCATTGGGACTTCATTCTGAAAGGAGGCCACCAGCTCTGTGGGCGCACCTGGGCCAGCAGGGCTGACCCTTGCCCGCTCATGCTGTTTTCCTGCTCCTCTTGCTCTTTGGCTTCTGCTCCCTAAAGCTATGATAAATTCAACCTTTCTTTCAGTATCCCTTCAATCTTTGTTTTATCTTGAATTTTCTCATATTAAGTAAATAAACAATACTTATTTGGCAAAACCAGACACAGGTATATCAAGCTCCCATACCTAGACCCTGGGAAGTGATGAGGTCATGGGGGTAAGGCCCCATGATGAGATTAGTGTCATAAGAAGAGAAAGAGACCAGAGCCTTCCCCTCCTCCATGCTAGGACACAGCCAGAAGGTGGCCATGTAAACCAGGAAGTGGGTCTTCACCAGACATGAATCTGCTGGTGCCTTGATCTCAGACTTGCAGCCTCCAAAACTGTGAGAAAGGAATTTCTGCTATTCCAGCTGCCTAGTCTATGGCAGTCTGCTGTGGCAGCCTGAGCTGACTAATACAGTATACCTCCCCGGCAAAATATTCTAACTTGGGCCAGGCACGGTGGCTCACGCCTATAATCCCAGCACTTTGGGAGGCCGAAGTGGGTAGATCACTTGAAGTCAGAAGTTTGAGACCAGCCTGGCCAACATGGCGAAGCCCCATTTCTAATAAAAATACAAAAAAATTAGCCAGGCATGGTGGCGCACCATGTAATCCCAGCTAATTTGGGAAGCTGAGTCATGAGAATCATTTGAACCTGGGAGGCAGAGACTGCACTGAGCTGAGATCGTGCCACTGCAATCTAGTCTGGAGAAAGAGCAAGACTGTCTCAAAAAAATAAAATAAAATAAAAAATTCTAACACGTTCTTCTGGTGTTTTTGAATATTTAAAGCCCCAGGTATATTAGCTGTTATAGACAGTCCCCTACTCACAATGGTTTGACTTACAATTGTTTGATTTTATGGTGCAAAGATGATACACACTCAGTAGAAACTGTACTTCAAGTACCCACACAACCATTGTTTCAACTTTCAGTAGAGCATTCACTGAATTACATGAGCTGTTCAGCATTCTGTTGTAAAACAGGCTTTGTGCTATATGATTTTGCTCAAACGTAGGCTGATCCAAGTCTTCTGGGCATGTTAAAGGCAGGCCAGGCTATATACCATGATGTTCGGGAGGCTGCACATTTCTGACACAATATTTTTAACTTATGGTGGGCTTATTGGGATGTAACCCCATCCTGAGTCAAAGAGCATCTATTCTAAGTCTGGACTGAAAAAATTAATGTGAGGACAATTAGAAGAGAAAGGCCAGCGGAATGGAGTAACCCAGCCTGCCTCATACAACTGTCACGGGAGTCCTTCCCAGGTCTCAGAGGGGACCTCAGGGCTCTCGCATGTGCATCACGGCACCCTCATGCACACACACGCCTTCAGAGACCGCCAGTGCGGCTTTCCACAAACATACCAAGCACTTAGTTCACCCCAACCCCAGGTGCAAATGAAACACTCCCACCTGTGGTTGGGGCCACCTCAAGGTGGGCCAGGACCACATGCTTCACCGCACTCAGCATTGCTGAGGCACAGTGAACACTCAGGAAGAAGAGCAGAGGAAGCAGGATCCAAAACAAGCCTGGAGCCTCCAAACTGAATGGGACAGGGGAGAAACCCACAGACCAGAAGAACCTATGGCTGTCAGTTCCGGATGGTTAAGTGACATGGGATTGAAATGAAATGTGAAGAGTTAATACTATAACTTATTTCTTACTTGTGAAATTATAGAGTTAGGCTACAAGTTCTTGGAGGTTTTTGATATGTCCAAAGCAAAAGTCACAAATATAGCTGGTTCTCAGACCCTGGGGTGACTGCAGATCCTGGTTTGCCTGGGGCAGTCCCTGACATCCTTGTCTGGGTGGTAAACAGTATAGTCACTCTGACAACTGGCCACAACCACCAGGTCCATAAGTGGTGAAGGACAATGCTGGACTTTGGCACAGGCAAGTTTTCGATCTCACACCTCCCTCAGACCCATAGCGGCAGTACCAGGTGGGCCCACACCCAGGTGAGGCTGGACAACTGCACCTACAGCAGTGCCCAGGGCTCAGCGCCTTTATTTCAGTCAACAACGCACAGTGTATAGACAGTGGTTCCACACAAGATTATAATGGAGCTGAACAATTCCTATCATTTACTATTTTACTATACTATACTTTTTATCATTATCTTGGAGTGTACTCCTTCTCTGATGAAAATAAAGTTAACTATAAACAGCCCCAGGCAGGTCTTTCAGGAGGGTCCAGAAGAAGGCACTGTCACCATAGGAGGTAGCAGCCCCATGTCTGTTACTGCCCCTGAAGTCTCTCCAGTGGGACAAGGTGTGGAGGTGGAAGACAGTGATATGGATGATCCTGACCCTGTGCAGGGCTGGATGAATGTGTATTTGCATCTTAGATTTCAACAATTTAAAAAAAAGTTTCGAAAATTAAGAAAAGCTTACAGAATAAGGGTATAAAGAATATATATATATACACACAATGTATTTGTGTTTTAAGCTAAGTGTTATTACAAAAGAGTGGAAAAGTTTAAAAAATTAAAAATTTATAAAGTAAAAATGTTACAGTAAGTTAAGGTTACTTTATGATTAAAGAAATTTTTTTATATAAATTTAGCATTGCTTAAGTACACAGAGTTCATAAAGTCTATAGGAGAGTACAGTGACGTTCTAGGCCCTCACACTCACCACTCATTGTGACTCTCGCAGAGCAGCTTCCAGTCCTGCAAGCTCCATTCCCAGTGAACGCCCTGCACAGGTGTGCCATTTTTCATCTTTAACATGGTATTTTTACTATACCTTTCTATGTTTAGGTATGTTTAGATACACAAATATTTACAGTTGTGTTACACTTGCCTACAGTATTCAGTACAGCCATATGCTGTACAGGTATGCAGCCTGGGAACAATGGGCTTTGTCGCATAGAGCCGAGTGTGGAGTTGGCTTAGACATGTAGAAAGGTACTCTATGACGGCCACTCGATGACAAAATAGCCTAAGGACACATTTCTCAGAACACAGCCCGTCGTTAAGCAACGTATGACTGTACATGGAACGGTATCACACGCTGTGTACTCTTTTGCGTCCGGGTAACGTCTCTCACCGTGTCTGTGTAAACCATCCAGACTGCTGCCCACCCTTCTGCTGCGTGGACAAACTCAGCTCACAAGCCCTTTCCACTGATGATGGGACTTCAGTAGGACTCAGTCTGAGGCCAAATGAACAGCGTGGCTAAGACAATCCAAGTACCCCTGTTCGAGTGAACATGTGGGTGCACTGCAGTCAGGCACAGACCTATGCATGGAGCCGCAAGGACACCAGAAGTCTCACACGCTGTTTTCCTTTGCTAGTTATCAAACTGAAGACACTCAAGCATTTATCAAGTAAACAAAGAGCTGACAAAAACCAAAGGAAAGACAATGCTCCTTCTGCCACGCAATGGACTGCAGCATCGCTACACAAACGTGCGCCCCTCACAGAGTCCAGATTCCAGAACCTTCTGTCATCACGTGTGTGTGTGTACTGGAGCAAGGCCACACACACATCTGCCCGCACAGATTTCACCTTCCAGAACCTTCTATCATCATGTGTGTATATTGGAGCAGGGCCACATGCATATCCAACCCTCACAGATTTCACCTTCCAGAACCTTCTGTTATCACATGTGTGTGTACAGGAGCGGGGCCACATGCATACCCAACCCTCACAGAGTTCACCTTCCAGAACCTTCTGTCATCACATGTGTACTGGAGCATTACCACACATACAGCTGCCCCTCACAGATTCCAGCTTCCAGAACCTTCTCTGTGAACAGAAGCACAGTCACATGCAAGTATCCCCCTGACAGATTCCAGCTTCCAAAATCTTTTGTCATCATTTGTGTGCCGGGGCACTGCCACGCATGTGTGCCCCTCACAGATTCCAGCTTCCAGAATCTTCTGTCATCATGTGTGTGGAGCACCACCACCCACGTGTGCCCCTCACAGACTCAGCTTGCAGAATCTTCTATCGTGTGTGCTGGAGCACCACCACACACGTGTGCCCCTCACAGATTCAGCTTCCAGAATCTTCTGTCGTGTGTGCCGCACCACATGCATATGTGCCTCCCACAGATTCCCACTTACGGAAGACTGAGAATCGTCTTTGTTATGACCCGGCACCTGGCACAGGGCCTGCAAGAGTGCTCATTGCTCCTCAAGAGAGCGTACAGTATCAACAGGAGTGAAAAGAGTGTGTGTCTGAAGACAAAACACTGAAGAGTCGATGTTCTGAACATCAGAATCCTCTACAGTAGCTGGAAGGCCCCACACAGTGATGAACTGTACAGTACACTGTGCACTCAGCCCCAGACTCTCGCGAGCTCAGTCTTTATTCACTCACCATTCCCTCACAATTCACAAAAAGTTCTCCTCCACCATTTTCCTCACTTACTGAAAGTAGTCATCTTAAATTACCAATAGTAATATCAGAATGCAATCACTACCTTAAGTTTAGAAAACTCAAAGCTTGAGAACCGAAGAGTTCTTTGGTTTTACTAAGGCACTAAAATTTTTGTAGTCAAAGTCACCAAAGGCTTTGAGAAGAGTAGCAAAATCTACAGGAACAAAATCTGTGACATAACACATGCAAAGCTCTGGAGCCCGGCAGTTACATCTATACTTAAATATACAGTCACCCTCAGTATCCTTGGGGGACTGGTTCCTGGGCTCCCTGCAGATACCCAAAGCCACGGATGCTCAAGTCCCTTATATAAAATGGCTTTGTATGTGCATATAACCTAAGCACACTGTCCCTTACTCCTTAAATCATCTGTAGATTACTTATAATACCTAATACAATGTAAATGCTATATAAAATTGTTACATTTTATTGGTATTTATTTGTTATATTTTTTATTGTTATATTATTTTAAATTTTTCCCAAATATTTTTGATCCACAGTTGGTTGAATCCAGACACAGAACCCATGGATACAGAAGGTCGACTGTATACATACATATATATACACACACATGTATATATACAAAATATATAAAAACTGACAGCGGGTTGTGTTTTTGTTTGAGATAGGGTCTCACTCTTGCCCAGGCTGGAGTGCAGTGGCGTAATCACAGCTCACTGTAACCTTGAACTCCCAGGCGATCCTCCCACCTTAGCCTCCCAATTGGCTGGTACTACAGACGTGTGCCACTATGACCAGTTAATGTTTGTATTTTTTGTGGAGACGAGGTTTTGCCATGTTGCTGGTCTTGAGCTCCCGGGCTCAAGTGATCTGCCTGCCTTGGCCTCCCAAAGTGCTGGGATTACAGGTGTGAGCCACCGCACTTGGCCTGACAGTGCTTTTATATCACCTCATTTGTATTATGAACTAGTGAGTCTGTGGATAAATAGTAGAACCAAATCTAAGACAGAAATACGAAGAATAAGCCACTGTGCTTGACTTAGACCCCCATCCTAAATTGATGGTAATATTTTGTCTTTACATCCTTTAGTTCTGATCAAATCAGACCTTGATGGGGGAGAAATGTTGAATCCTCATGCCCTACTACTATGCAAGAATCTATCAGCTTTAAAAGAATTTCAAAGAATTTCAACATTTTAGACATAGTGTTTTCTTACTGCATTTATTAGTATTTCAACTAGAGCAAAATAGAACTATGTAGACATACTGGCCCTGAGCTATATTAATTTAGGTTATAATTTTCTCTTATTAGGGTCTGTTGGCTTTATACAGTTAACATGAGCAGGGTTAGAAGTAAATACTTAAATAACCCTTTCTCCATTCTACACAAACAGCACCCTAAAAGCTTTAGAGAATGTGCAAACTTCAAAATAAAATCTCGCTGAGTCTGTCCTCCTGGAGGCTGGGCTCCACCACCACACCAGGGGAGGGAGAACTGCTGGAGACGCTGTCCCCACACCTGGCTCCAGGAGAAGCACAGATAAAACCCTGGAGAAATCCAACACTGCTTTCCCCTGAGGACTGGAGAGACAGAAAGACTCACGTCTTTCTTGTTGTTTTTAAAGAACTTGTAATAAAAATAAAATACAAGATAACTATTAATCTATTTCTCAAAATACACTAATGACCTCAAGCACACCATCTTGTGGGATGTATTAATAATTTAGTCACTATTTACCACTTGGGACATTGATGTGGTATTGATGTTTAGGGCATCGATGTGAGTGAGCGCCTCTGCTTTCCTTTCAAGAACTTTATTTTCTGCCACAGCCGAGTGACTCCTGAAGTCCGGTGTTTCCAGGTGAGAGGAGTAGGCAATGCGGAGCACAGGCCAAGGCCTCTTCCTCCAGCACACACCTCTCCACTCCACACTGATCTCACTCCAGAGAAACCCAGGGAAGTCACAGCCCTGACCTGCATCCCAGAAGTCTGCACTCTTATGGAAATAACGCCCACAAAGAGAAAACTGGAAAACTGCAAGCTGCGTACAGGATGCTGATGGGGTCCCAGGTCACAGCATCGTTCCCAAAATGACCCACACTTAGACCAGCAGCTTCATATTCAGTCATTTGCTCGCCAAGGGAACTCAGTAGCCAGGTCACCGGAGGGGCTCTTTCAAACTATTCATGGTTCCAACCCTTCTTCCTTGGTAAGTTCTACCCAAATCACACCGGCCCCCAACCTCCTCCTGCCACCGCCCAAACCACGCACTCACCAGGATGTCTCCAGTATCGCCTGCCATAGGCTCCATCTACTTCCATGGCCACCCTGTGAGGCTCTGTACTGGCGACGACTGTGCCTCACTCACCCTCATTCACTTGCCTTAACTCCGAGGTGCTCACCTGCTCCTCCTGCAGAGGGTCCGCATCTGGGGCCATGGTTTCTCTGCACTTTCCTGTCACTGTGCTCACACACCCCATCTGGTGCCAGATGGGGCCAACCTCAGGGGACACCAGGAACACAAGTTCCTCCTTGAGTTCCCAGGTGCCAGCACAGTATCTGACACCCGGCTGGTGTCCATGGTGGTTATGCATGAACAGTCTGTACTGTTTACACTGCAGTGCACTTTTGATGGACTGATATCATCTACCCACCTCGACCCCGAAGGCAGGAGTGATTTGTTATGCTTATTTTTCCTCTCGAGGCTACCAGTCTCCTGTAGACAAGAAATGTGCAGTAACATGACCCATTTGTGTGAATGGCTGAACATTTGCAGGATCTCAAATTTCATATCAAATATCCCATAAACAATGTGATGGGTCATAAAAGATAGCAAGAATCTATGTAAAAACAATTTTAAGGCTGTGCACGGTGGCTCATGCCTGTAATCCCAGCATTTTGGGAGGCCAAGGCGGGGAGATCACCTGAGGTCAGGAGTTCAAGACCAGCCTGGCCAACACAGTGAAACTCCGTCTCTACTAAAAATACACACACACACACACACACACACACAAATTAGCTAGGCGTGGTGGTGGGCGCTGTAATCCCAGCTACTTGGGAGGCTGAGGCAAGAGAATTGCTTGAATCCGGGTGGCGGAGGTTGCAGTGAGCCAAGATCATGCCACTGCACTCCAGCCTGGGCAACAGAGCAAGATTCCGTCTCAAAAGGAAAAAAAGTTTAAAGAGTTTAACATGAAGAACATTTTGACATCAATATGACAATCAAGTGACAAATATTTTTAAAACATGTTCTTCAAAAACAGAAAGAAAGTGCTAGGCAAATAACTATGCTAGGTCCCAACACTTCTGAGCACTAGTACAACAACCTTATTCAAAAATAAAAAGCAAGCAAGGTATGTGTGTACGCACAGATATTACTTCAGTTTTTCTAAAGTATTAAAAGAGGCCAGGCACGGTGGCTCACATTTGTAATTCCAGCACTTTGGGAGGCCCAGGCAGGCGGACCACAAGGTCAGGAGTTCAAGACCAGCCTGACCAACATAGTGAAACCCCATCTCTACTAAAAAGACAAAAAAGGTAGCCAGGTGTGGTGGTGCGCACCTGTAGTCCTAGCTACTAGGGAGGCTGACGCAGGAGAATCACTTGAACCCAGGAGGCGGAGGTTGCAGTGAGCCGAAACCATGCCATTGTACTCCAGCCTGGGCGACAGAGTGAGGCTCCGTCTCAAAAAATAAATAAATAAATAAATATAGTATTAAAAGAAAGGAAAAAATTAAGTGCTTCCAGACGCTATCTACTGAGCCATAAAATCTACTGAGCTTTCTTTCCTTAAGGAAGAGAAAGCCTAAAAGACTTAAAATTAAGAAAATTGCCTCCAGCCTGGACGAGAGCCAGAATCCGTCTCAAAATAAATAAATAAATAAACAAAACCAGAATATTGCATTCAACTAAAATGAGTTTGTAACTGAATGTGTGTGCTGCAATCCAGCCTGCTGTTGAGTTTATGGCAGCGTCCAGGACATTGTAGCCAGTGATTAAATGCGTGAGGCACATGTCATCTTCTGCTGATGCATGCACTTACCTTTAAGAGCATCCAGGAAACGCAGGTAAAGGGCGTGCTCATCTCCAGGAGCAACGTGGTCATAGCTAGATAGTGGCCAGCTTGGAGATTGACCAAGCAGCCAAGAAACCCAAGAAAGGCAAAGAGATGGTGGATAACCAGAAACAAGTCAAATGTCCGGAAGATCAAGTTGGACAGGTGGACTGCAACATTTTCAAAGCAAAAGAATCCCGTTGCTGTCGTGATGTGAAACCAGCACCAGTTCTGCTGGCCACGCGCCTTGTCGGCATGCAGCACAGGGTCCCCCAGCAGAGCCCACAGGCCTGCGGCTGTGCTCTGAACACCAAAGACTGCACGCGTGGCCGCCAGGTCCCAGAAGACCTTCTCTCTGGCCACCAAAGAACGGTAAGTGGCATTCAGGGAAGAGGACAGCTGGTGGCAGACCACAAAGACGCCCAAGTAGAAGACAAAGCCAGCGACCATCAGCGTGGAGCGGATCCCCCAGGATGCATAGTCCAGGTCAAAAATGCTCTCTGATGTGCCCCCATCGCTCGCAGGATTCATTGTCCACAGCTATATTCCAAAGGAGTCCTGGGGCCAACACGGGCCGGGCCCTACACTGTGTCTTGTCTAAGGAAATGAAGTCAGTGCAGCGGTCCCTGGGATTGTCACGTATCCATCTTCAATCTAAAAGAAAGATCATTCATTTTGTGTTGACTCGATAGAAACAAGGACACATCACTACCCCAGTAACGCAAACATTAAACTACAAAATATTTAATTCTGTACCTTATTCTTAATGAACTTACAAGGGTGCATAAACATACCAAGGTAACATCCACTGACAGTATAGGAGGAAAGAAAATGAAACTAAAGCTAGAGCGGTCCAGCCACGAACAGGAGGCCGGAGCCGTGCTGGCAGGAACACACGGTCCTATGCTCGTCCTATGTGCACCCCACCAGCAAGTCTCCCGCCTTCACAGCAGTCCCAATCAGTCACACAATTCAGGCATCGCAGGATGAAACATATTTAAGTCATTACACTGGGATACACTTTGTTACAGCACTGAACTTCTGCTGTTTGATCCTAGTTAACACCCCAAGGATGTCACGAAAACCTGTGCTCCTGTTCTTCATGTTATTCCTTGGTTAAGGCCATGGAATGCCTTCTCAACAGCAGCAGGGAAGGCCTGAACTCCTCACTGTGACCTACGGCACTCTGCAGAATGTGATTATCAATTATACCTTCTCTGGTTCCACTCTCACCATCCCCTGCATCTCACTCCATGCTATAACCTTCCAGTCCTTTGAAAACATCACACTCTCCTGCACCTCTGGGTCTCTGCAGCTGCTGGGCCCTCTCCTGGAAAAGTCTTTACCTTCCCCAAGTTGGCATCATCTTACCTGTCAGGTCCTCACTTAAAGGCCATTTGCTCCAGATGCCCTCCCAGAGTAGGGGAGACCCATGGACTGGGTTAAGTACCTTTGCTACAAGCTCCTGATGCATACCCCAAACACTCATTTTTGGTGTTTGGGGTGTTAACTAGGATCAAACAGCAGAAGTTCAGTGCTGTAACAAAGTGTATCCCAGTGTAATGACTTAAATATGTTTCATCCTGCGATGCCTGAATTGTGTGACTGATTGGGACTGCTGTGAAGGCGGGAGACTTGCTGGTGGGGTGCACATAGGACAAGTGCTTACTGAATCCTCACCTCCACTGGACAGCAAGCTCTGTGAGGGCACAGACCACACCTGCCTTCCATCACAGCATCTCCTCTGCCTGATGCAGCACTGGGTCCACAGTGGGCCCTCAAGAAACATTTATGGAACACATGAACAGATGCTGAATCATGCTGAAAGGGTCCACTTTACCTAAGCCTGAACCTGTCTGCAAAGCTACAAACACCAGAGTCTCAAGTTCTTGAAAAACTGGAAGGGACGTGTGATTGATTCCAGCCTTTCCTTTTACACGGCAGGAAACCCAGGCACACAACGATGACATAGGAACGGCTACCGACAAAGACTCAGGTCCCCGCCTGGTCCCCCCTCACCCAGTGTGCAGGGACTTGTCCAGGTAATGGAATTTCTGCAGGGAGTGGGGACTCTTGTCACTCACACCCAGCGAACAGACAGCAGGGCTGGGAACACCACACTCCCCACGCAGCTGGACCCTCTGCTCTCCGGAAGAGACCCCAGAATTGACTCAATTGTGAGACAGCAGGACTAGAGCCAGAAGCATAGGAGGAGCCATTCACTGTGGCCATTCAGCAAAAACTTGCCAATCATTATTCAGGCAAAAAGGTCGCTGTGACCACACCCCAAGGACATGGAAAACACTAGCTCACACAAGCATGCAAAGAATGTGAGTCCTGGGACCTGATGCAAATGACAAGGGAGCACTGATCACTCCTAACCTCTTGCTTTGATAATGGTCTATAATCAAAGGCAAAATAGTACAAGAGTTTGTCTGTTTCTCCATTAACACTCCAGCTTTAACACAGACTAGCTCTGTTTGAACACAAATCTGATGTGGGGAAAGACAGCACTGGTACTCATGTTTCTCCCTAGAGAAACGGCTCCCGTGTCATGCTGCCCCTGGTGCGTGAGTTCAGGGCACACAGGCGTGCTCTCTGATAGATGCTATGGATGACAACTGAGGGGCTGCCATGCCCATGTGTGCCCTCGTGACCCACACTTCTGGTCATGCTATATATCAAGACTCCAGTGTACTTACACATCTCCAAACACATTTCTGTTAACCTGTTGACAAATCAGGTTGAACATGGTATTAAGGGGCTGGCAAGAGCACTCGGCTCTGGTATTCAGTGTGCAGCAAGGCATCGTTGAACCCCTATGCACTTCACAGGAGCAGATCAACTTCAAGTGCAGCCTAATGCCTGGAGGGGAGACCGCTTACCAGCATTAAAGAAAAGCAGGCTGGGTGGAAAGGACAGGTATCAGGCAAGGAATAGCATCCATTACAAGGGTTAACGTGAACAACACTGTTAAAGGTTAAAATATGGACCCCTCGTAAAACTTCTCCCTGTACTTTTCCACGAGTAGGTCATCAGCTCTGACTTATAGGTCCCATTTTGCCACAGTTGCATCAATGTCCGCTTGGCCAAGACCACTAACTTCTGTAGGACCTCTGCCTTGAGACGAGAGAAACCCCGACTCCAGAAGGCTCTGCCCAGATCAATGACTCAAATCCACCTCAGTGGAAGTGGTGAGCCCAAGTGATGCTTCAGGAGGTCTTTGGTTTGGTCAAGGTGAGAGGGACTCCAGGACATGAGAACCAAAAACCAAGAAGAGCGGCTGGCTTAGTGGGCTCTGATCTTGATTTCACTATTTAGGAGCTAAGAAACCAAGTTTCAGGCTGGGTGTGGTGGCTCACACCTGTAATCCCAGCACTTTGGGAAGCCAAGGTGGGTGAATCACTTGAGGTCAGGAGTTCAAGACCAACCTGGCCAACACGGCAAAACCCTGCCTCTACTAAAAATACAAAAATCAGCCAGGCGTGGTGGTGCGCACCTGTAATTTGAGCTACTCAGGAGGCTGAGGCAGGAGAATTTCTGGAACCCAGGAGGGTGGAGGTTGCAGTGAGCCGAGATCACACAACTGCACTTCAACCTGGGCAACAGAGCAAAACTCCATCTCAAAAAAAAAAAGAAAGAAAGAAAACAAGTTTCTTTCCTAACCACCCTGGACCCCAGAATCTGACTACAGGAAAAAGAAATACACAGAGCAGGCCGAGTGCAGTGGCGCACGCCTGTAATCCCAGCACTTTGGGATGCCAAGGCAGGTGCATCACAAGGTCAGAAGTTCGAGACCAGCCTGGCCAACATGGTCAAACCTCGACTCTATTAGAGATACAAAAAATTAGCTGGGCGTGGTGGTACATGCCTGTGATCCCAGCTACTTGGGAGGCTGAGGCAGGAGAATCGCTTGAACCCGGGAGGTGGAGGTGGCAGTGAGCTGAGATTGCGCCACTGCACTCCAGCCTGGGTGACAAGATGAGACCCCGTCTCAAAAAAAAAAAAAAAAAAAAAAAAGAAAGAAACATACAGAGCAGCGGGAAATGAAGCACCTACTACAAGCCAGATGTTCAACTAGTTTGTGTGATCTTCACCATAAGAGCAAATAGCTACCAGGTCTTCAAGCTTTCTAGATATCTTTTTGGAGAGATTACCATATCTACAGAAAAGTGGCAGATAGGTGAAAGACATGGAAACAGAAACAGGTAAGCCACAGCTGAGTGGGCAAACCCTCCTGGCAGTCAGAGAACAGGTGCCAATTAGGGATGCAGAAACAGCAGATTATAAAGACCAGAATGCTTACTTCCCCTTCCAGTCCTGTAGTGAATCCCCCATTCTGATTCTTTGCTCAAACCTCCTGACTTTCTGGGTAAGCTGGTGCTGTTCTAGTCTAACTCGTTACTGTGGGTCTCTGAGTTTAGTTAATGCCAACCAGCATCCTCCAGCCAGGAGTTCACAAAGGAGGTGAACTCCTCAGCTCTCTCAGCCATGAGGGTAGAAGGCCAGTCCCAGAGGCAGGATCCAGCCCAAGCGCCCAGTCTTCCTGGAGTCCTGCAGAGCTCTGCTGTCCTTTCGTGGCATCAGCGTTGTACTGAGAACAGCTGTGGTTCACCCCAAGTCACAAGGTGGGCACCCACAGAAGTGTGGCTAGGCCTTGTTCTGTCAGGCAGCACAGAAGGGGTATGGGAAGAGCTCAGCTTCTCCTTTTGCTTCTATTTCTGCTCCTTGACCCAACCACACCCTCTCACTCTTGATACGCAAAATGGGACACAGGGGTTCCCACTGTTCCCTTGCTGTGCACCATAAGGCTCAGGCCACATGAAGGAGTCCTTAAGTGTAATGCACAGCTGGAAGTCACTGTTCCTTCCATGGGTAAAACTGGAGGCCGAATCGGCCGGGCAGGGTGGCTCACACCTGTAATCCCAGCACTTTGGGAGCCCAAGGTGGGAGGATCACGAGGTCAGGAGATCGAGACCATCCTGGCTAACATGGTGAAACCTTGTCTCTACTAAAATACAAAAAAAAAATAGCCAGGCGTGATGGCGAGCGCCTGTAGTCCCAGCTACTCGGGAGGCTGAGGCAGGAGAATGGCGGGAACCTGGAAGGCGGAACGTGCAGTGAGCTGAGATAGCGCCACTGCACTCCAGCCTGGGTGACAGAGTGAGGCTCCGTCTCAAAAAAAAAAAAAAAAACAAAAAACTGGAGGCCGAACCTAATGGACTCATCTGGTTCTTTCATTCTGGAAGGCTTCCAAGCCCTTCCACACCAGCCCCTTTCCTCTCTGCAGTAGAGGAAGTGGAGCCGGAGAATAAACAACTCCTGGAAGGCCACCATCTCTTGACGCTGCAGATCTTCATTTTCTTTGGAGAAAATGTATACAAAAAGCTTGTCTTATAAGATTCTGTGGTTTCAGCTCTTCTATTGCACTGGGCCATGAAGTTTTTTAAAAATCTGAATGCAAACACATCAGTAAGAGTGTTAGCTCTGTTGCTGCAGTGTGACCAGGAACCAGGCTCAGTGGCCACTGGAACCCTTCGACTCTGTCATGCATCTATGCGCTCCTCCGGTTTATGGGGGCTAAACTGCTATGGATACCAGCATTTTTGTTTTTCATTGAGATAATTTATCCAAACTTGGAAGTGACGTCAAAAGGGAAAAAAAAGGTTGCATGCTTTTTTCCCTGCTAACGCAAGTTCAGTGTTTTACAACCCCAACAATCACTTGACTTTCTAGGAGAAATAACTAAACTATTTACCACTGATTGTGGGTCACGCATTTTACAATCTGCAAAGCTAATTCTCCTTTCCATCAAGAAGAAAAGACAATCCCAAAGGCTGTGGTTTCAATGCACACAGGATATTCACCAATCTTATTATCTAATCTGGCAATCTTCTCTCAGCATTCCTGTTACCCACTCACTAAGAAAATCCTAGTTTTGTGTATTCTCTTTTGAACTGACATTCCTATCCTGCTGTATACTGCATTAATGACTGAAATATAACCTGACAAGAGCTATTTACATGAGAATTATACTTCTAACATTTTGAAAATTATACATTGATGGGTTGTAAAAATGTTTTCCAAAATCAACAGAAATACATGTTTAATACACAAAATTCAGAAAATATAAACAAGCATAAAAATACAAAAATAAAAATTTACAATCCTCTTACACAGCTCCAAGCACCATCACTATTTTTTGGTGCCTGCTGGGTCAATTGTTTTTCTAGATATAAACTCTTCTTTTTACATAAAAGGGGATAACAGTATACAAGCTGCTCCCCGGCCTGCTTCTCTTCTCTCAGCAACAGCTAATCCTCCTCTGCAACACGGTTGCAGGGACTCCACCATTTACCTACCCGGTGTCCTACCAGGCTTTTGCCCAGTTCCTCGTTATCAGAAGACATTGTGTATTGAACATCTCTGAGGCCACCTAGAGAACCTGTGCTCTTTGTATGGAAACTGGATGCTCAGGAAGAACTTCCTTAACAACCACAGCCTCCATGACGGCCAATCTGAAAGTGAGGCACAGAAGTGTTCAAGCTCAGTGGGGAGCTGTGGCCATCTCATATTCCCTCAATCACTCACACTTCCTGCACCATTGCTCTTTCCTCTCACAACCTTCCTGAAAAGTTGTATGTAAATAAAAATCAAAATACGGGAGTGAGGTAAGCAGAAGCTGGATAGTTACAGATTTCACACAGAGGGTAAACTGAAACAGGAGTCAGAAGCAGCCGCCTCGCGCCAGTCTTTCAGAGAAGAGTCACTTACAGCAGAATCTACACAGGCTGGGGAGCCCCTGGCTCCCCTCCCTACTGTCCACACCCAACCCCAACCTAGAGCAGCTGGCTATAGGGCCCAGAGCCCAGGCGGGTCCCACCTCCTGCTGACCTGACCCAGCGCCCGCTCTCTCCCCCGCACACTTTGGTGACCTTACCCAGCGTCCCTCCCCGCTCCTACAGGTTCTGACTGACCCAGCGTCCCTCCGCCTCCCACACCATGTTGAGCTGCACCTTGTCCCCTTCCGCCCCAGCTAACTCGGTGACCAGTGGAGGCCACACCCACGTGACACCTGCTGTCCTTGACAGCAGCTCCGACGGCACCTCTGTGGCTCTGCAGGAGCCGCCTCCCCGCCTCGTGGGCACACAGGTGAGCTGACCGTACTTGCCCAGCCGGTCTGAGGGAAGCGAGGTCAGGGGCGACGGCGCCGCCTCCGCCTCCGCCTGTCCCCTCCCTCCGTCCGGCATCCGCGCCGCTCAAGGACTCCAAAGTCAGCGTCGCGGTGAGGAGCCCCCCACGCCCAACCCGCGCAGGCAGGACCCCGGGCTGCGGGGCTCGAAAGTCCCCCACAAGCTGCTGTCCGGGAACCGCACGGCCCGGGGTGCCGCACGCCCACCGGAAGGCAGGGCTGGGACCGCGGACGCCAGGAGCCACCCCGGCCCCTCACCCGGGCTCCCCCTCACGTGGGCTCCCGCGCGCCCATCTGGGTTCCCCCTCAGCTGAGTTCCCGGCCCCTCACCTGGGATCCCCGGTCCCCTCACCCGGGCTTCCCAGCCCCCTCGCCTGGGCTCCACGCGCGCTCACCTGGGCTGCCCCTCACCTGGGTTCCCGGCCCCTAACCCGGGCACCCCGCGCGCTCACCTGGGCTGCCCCTCACCTGGGTTCCCGGCCCTCACCCGGGCTCCCTGAGCGCTCACCTGGGCTGCCACTCAGCCGGGCTCCCTGCGCTTGGCGCCGCCCCGCCCCTGCAGGACTCCCGGCAGTCACTGACCTCATTGCCGCCCAGTCACGACTGGCCGGCCTCAAACACCGCCCGCGCACGCGCGTTCGCACGCGCGTGCGCACGCGTTCTGCCCCCCTGGGGGCGTCGCTACGAGAGGCCCCGCCTAGGCGCTACGACGGCGGCGGGCGCGGGAGGGGCGGGGCGGCGGGCGCGGGAGGGGCGCGGCGGGGGGCGGGGCGCGGCGCGGGGGGCGGGGCGCGGCGGGGGGCGGGGCGCGGCGGGGGGCGGGGCGCGGCGGGGGGCGGGGCGCGGCGGGGGGCGGGGCGCGGCGGGGGGCGGGGCGCGGCGGGGGGCGGGGCGCGGCGGGGGGCGGGGCGCGGCGGGGGGCGGGGCGCGGCGGGGGGCGGGGCGCGGCGGGGGGCGGGGCGCGGCGGGGGGCGGGGCGCGGCGGGGGGCGGGGCGCGGCGCGGCGGGCGCTGTGGGGCGGCGGGGTGGACGCGCTGAACCACGGCCGGCGGGAGGGGCGGGGCCGGGCTGAACCATGGCGGGCGGCGGCATGGGGGCGGTGGGGCTCCGCGGGCAGCCTGGTTGCGCTGCACCCGGACGGGGCCGAGGGGACCTGAAAGCTGCGGCAGAGCCTGACCGCGCCGTTCTCCAGAAGAGCCCCGGCCGCGGCTGAGTCGCGCTCCGGGTGTGGACGGAGCCGGAGCCTCCCCGGGGCTCGGTGAGGACACAGGGCCCAAGCCCCGGACCTTCAAGTCTTGACCGAGCGCATCCCCGGCCCTTCTGCGCCCACACCTGAGTTTTTGTCTGTAGGAGTTTCCGCAGTTTGCTAAGGTTGTTATTCGAGTTACTTATGTTTCTTCTCTCTAAGGTTGTTATTCGAGTTACTTATGTTTCTTCTGTCTAATGTGTTTTGTTCCCTCTTTAGAATCGACATCTAGAGGAGTACTCACCACTTAATTGATGATCAATACACGTTCCTTGAAAGAACCGATAGCATGCGATCGATACAGAGCATCTGCACTGGGATTGTCCGCCCCGCCTGTCAGGGAGGCCTCGGGGGCTAATGGAGCTGAGGGTATAGTCGGCCTTGGACCCTCGCTTTTTTCCTTTCCTGTACTATGAAGATAACTGCCTTATCTCCCCCTCAGGACTGTTTTGGGGATTAAATAGGACGTTTAAATTACCAACGCTCTTTGAAATAAACATTTCAAAATTATTATAACCCTTTAGTACATGTGGGAAAACGTTGACATTCATGTTCAAGTTTATTTTTCTGCTGGCTCATTTAGGTTTGTTGAAGCCTTGAGTCCCTAGGATTGTCTAAGAACATGGGTAAATGTGTGTGGAGGCCTCCCTGGAGGCCAGAGAACTGCCAGCAGCCTTCATGATGTTAGGGGAACAGGAACCTAGGAGAGCCAGGGTGACATCGTTTTAAAATCAACAACCCATCTTGGCGGGCGCGGTGGCTCAAGCCTGTAATCCCAGCAGTTTGGGAGAAAAAAATTAGCCGGGTGTGGTGGTGGGCACCTGTAATCTCAGCTACTCAGGAGGCTGAAGCAGAATTGCTTGAACCCAGGAGGCAGAGGTTGCAGTGAGCTGAGATCACGCCATGGCACTCTAGCCTGGGCAACAAGAATGAAACTCTGTCTCAAAAAAATAAAAATAAAATAAAATAAACTCCATCTTAAAACCAGTGAAACCACCATTGCAAAATTATAACTGAGACAGTGAGAGATCTGACCTAACCAACTCCATCCTACTTTTAACCTCCAAACTGTCCTTGTTCATTCCTGGGTGTAGGCCAAACTAACTTTGGAAGAAACTTAGTTTATGGTTTCCCGAAACAAATCCTTTTCTTGTCTGGAGACTAGACTGCCTTTGTAGGACTAACAAATTAGCCACAAGATTAGAAATTATGGTTTAGAATTCATGCAGCTGGAGATTACAAGATTCTGACCCTCCCTAAATTGCTCCTGGGGATAACATCACTATTGAAAAACCTAACAACAGTGCTTGAGATATTTTGCAGACCTTGCACTTGCTGAATTAGCTGGGACCATCCAGATGGATAAACTGGCTCATCTGATCTTGTGGCCCGCACTCAGCAACCGGCTCAGGCCAAGAGGACAGCTTTGATCCATACGATTTCATCTCTGATCTGACCCCTCAGTGCTCCCAGCTTACTGGCCCCCTACCTACCAAATTATCCTTAAAAACTCTGAACTCCAGGGCTGGGCACGGTGGCTCACACCTGTAATCCCAGGACTCTGGGAGGCCGAGGCAGGCGGATCACTTGAGGTCAGAAGTTCAAGACCAGCCTGGCCAACATGGCAAAACCCCGTCTCTACTAAAAATACAAAAATTAGCCAGGCGTGGTGGTGCACGCCTGTAATGCCAACTACTTGGGAGCCTGAGGCAGGAGAATTGCTTGAACCCTGAAGGCGGAGGTTGCAGTGTGCTGAAATCGCACCACTGCACTCCAGCCTGGGCAACAGAGCAAGACTCCATCTCAAAAACAACAGCAAAAACTCTGAACTCCGAATTCTTGGGGAAATTGATTTGAGTAATAATAAAACTCTGGTCTCCCGCACAGCCAGCTCTGTGTGGATTATTCTTTCTCTATGCAGTTCACCTGTTTGGATAAATCAGCTCTGTGTAGGCAACATGAACCTGATTGGCAGTTACAGTAGCCTGTAATCCCAGCTACGTGGGAGGCTGAGGCAGGAGAATTGCCTGAACCTGGGAGGCGGAGGTTGCAGTGAGCCGAGATCATGCCACTGCACTCCAGCCTGGGCAACAGAGCAAGACTCCATCTCAAAAAAAAAAAAAAAAAAAAAAAAAGATGGCTATAGTCATGCTTAGATGTAGTTACGCACTGAAATGCCAAGGATAACGTTATTTACATCCACCAAGTACTAGATCTTGTCACACTGCCAGCCCACCTGCACTTACACGTAGCTTGGCTTTTACATTGATACAAGATGCCTTTGAAACAAAGATGGCACATTCTTCTTCCTGCTTTCCGCGGGCTCCCCACTCTGTATCAGAGCAGCTGTCTCTCACTGCACTCTGCGACTGCCTTGAGTTCCTCCCTGCGCAAGATCCGAGAACTCTCTCTTAGGGTCTGGACTGGACCCCTTTCTCCATCAGCACTGGGTTCCTTAGATTCCTACTAACAGCATGCTGAGGCCTGTCTTAACAAAGAATGAAGTGAGGCTTAGAAAGATGGAACCATAACTTGCTCAGTCACGTGGCTAGTAAGCTCTTCAGCTTGAATTTAAACATTCCAGGACTGTGTCTTTCCACTCGGCCATCTTTAAAGCAGAGTGATAAAATAGTTTTGTTTTCTAAAAAACCATCACAGGCATAACTGATCACAGGTATAACCAGTATCCATGCGGGGTGTGGAACACTGAATGAAACCCGGGCGGATTCCCAGCTTGCTCCGTCTCAGCTTGGGCACTGCTGTTTACAGCCTGTGTACTCCCCTCCCGCCCTGCCACCCACAAGTGTCTCACCTCCTTCCTCGACAGATCGAATGACACAACAAACATTTATCTTGGGTGCACAGCGTGTCAGGCGTCAGGCTAAGCACTTTGATAAACTGGTTCTTTCAAACATCACAGGTGTCTGACGCAGGCACCATTATCCACGTCATAGAAAAAAAACAGTGTTCAGTGAGCCTGAGGTTAGCAATGTGTGCACCTCCACACACTGCTAAATGACAAAGCTGAATTTTGAAGTACGATGCCATGAGGTGTCTGGAGTAGACAACCAAAATGACTTAATTGAGGTGTCAGGGGACTGTCTTACTTTCTGGTCACACAAGCAATATACGCTCATTGTGAGGTTTGGTTGTTCCATTACAAAAAAGACTGTTTTAAAAGCCATTAGCGGAGGGATGGGAGGAGTTCTCTTCTGCCTGTTTCTTCCTCCTAAACAGCAAAATGACGGTGTCCTCAAAGGGATGTATAATGAGCGAGAGGCGAAAAAGAACGTCTGTGATTTTAAATCCAGTGTCCTTCACCAGTGAGCAATAGTAGTTCTGTGAGTGGGAGAGCAGGACCGCGGTGCTTGCAAACAACACTTTAAAACACTGGAACCCAAGTTCAGGATCTGCTGACAGCACATCTGCAGGAAGCATGAGGGTCTCTGGACTCCCGCAGATCAGCTGCTCAGCTTCTCAGCCTCAATGTGGCAAAGACTCTACCTGACCTAACTCCAGGCAGGGTCCTCGAAGCCCTCAAGGCTCTGACCTGGACCCCTGTCCCCTTTCGTCCAAAAGAATCCTGCTGGGTCAATGCAGTGACAGTTCCCCGCCCCTGATATCATACTCCTCATCCCTCACCCTCGGTATCTTATCACCTGGCCTGCCTGTGGCACGAATCCTACCAAGTGGTTCTAGCAAGAACCCCCCTGGCCTGATGTAGCCTCTTCATAGTTTTCCGTCCGTTCTCACCCTCTCCGTGGCTGTACATTCCCGTTTTTCTTCTTACACTCAGAGTTGAGCCTAGTCCCACTGCAGTGGCCCCTGCACCTATCGCGATTCCTTTGAGACTGTAAAACAAAAATAAAATTCTAGTCCCCCGCCAACCCCGTTAGCCACGAGCTTTCCAAAGTAAACCTTAGAGACTAGTTCAGACCGTGATGGGAAGTGGGGGTGGGACAGGCTCCTTATACCCGCCTTCCGTTGAAATCCAGGCACAGCTGACCTGCATTAACGTCAAAGCAGAGATCTTAAGGTTGACAAAACAGACTCTGTAGCAATAAGATACTACATTCCAACCTGACTCTAGTATAGCATCACATGATAGAGAGCAGGCCCTGGAAGAAATCAAGCATTTTACCCCAGAATATATTTCTTTGACATATTTTGAAGGGGCCCCACACGGCTGTCTCTTGAGGGGAAAATCCACATCCTGCCAGAATCCCCTTCCCTTTCCAGGTCTTTTCCCTGATCTAGGAGAGATTTAACTAAGAGTCTGGCACCTCTTTTAGGTCCAATAAGAGCTCTGAAGATAAAAAACCTTGGTCTCCACAACCTTTATCGTAACCCAGACAATCCTTTCTATTCATTCCAGGTCTCTACAATAATAACTTAACTCTTTCAATTAATTGCCCATCAGAAAATCGTTGAATCCATCTGTGACCTGGACACCTTCCACCTGCATCCATGGAGTTGTGTCACCTTTCTGGACCAAACCACTGGACACCTTACATGTATCGATTGGCAACATGTACACCTCCACACACTGCTAAATGACAAAGCCGAATTTTGAAATACGATACTGTGAGGTGTTTGGAGAAGAGAACTGAAATGACGTCATGGAGGTGGCAGGGGATCGTCTTGCCCTTTTCTTATTTTCTGCCTGTAACTTCTGTCCCCCTAAAATGCATAAAATCCAGCTAGAACCCAACCACCTTATGCAGCAGTTCTTAGGACCTCATGGGGCTGTGTCATCAATCAAAGTCCTCATATTTGGCTCAGAATAAATCTCATCAACTAATTTACAAATTTGACTCTTTGTGTTGACAAGTCTGTCTTACCGTTCTTTAATAAGGGCCGTGTATAATGTTTTCTTTAGCAAGTGTGGCAAAATTAAACCTTAGAAATAAAGAGAAAAAGAACTCATTATAGAAAACTGTCTTTCTGCTGATGCGGGCATTCACTGTGTCCATTTCTTTTTCCAAAAAGTGTATCTTTCTTAAAAACTGAAAAATATTGAGCCACAAAACACAGTGCCGATGGCTTGCATGCGGGACACTCGGGATATCGTACTAAAGGGCTCTGATGCTGTCTTGGTGATCTCTATGCTGGGTGTTACTTCTGCTGGCTGTGTGACCTTGGAGGGGTTGCTTAACCTCTCTGAGCCACAAGTGTAAAAGGATGAGATTGGTCCCTAAAGTCTCCTCCAACATGAAAGCTAGACGATCCTGAATCTTCTGCTATTTGAGGATCAGACAAACAACATTTGGCAGGGTTCTTCCTGTTGAAAATGATAACCCCGAGATAATAGCCGTAATTATCAGTACCCAAAGAAGCCTTAAATCCCCATTGGACGAAGCCATTGGCATAACAACCAGCCTTTAAAAATGCCCATAACAACCAGCCTTTAAAAAGTGCCCAAGCATGGTGGCTCGTGCCTATAATCCCAGCACTCTGGGAGGCCGAGGCGGGTGGATCTCCTGAGGTCAGGAGTTCGTGACCAGGCTAGTGAAACCTTGTCTCTACTAAAAATACAAAAATTAGCTGGGTGTCGTGGCACATGCCTGTAATTCCAGCAATTTGGGAGGCTGAGGCAGGAGAATTACATGAACCTGGGAGGCAGAGGTTGCAGTGAACTGAGACTGTGCCACTGCACTCCAGCCTAGACTACAGAGCAAGACTCCATCTCAAAAAACGAAACAAAACCAAAAAAAGTGCCTTGACAAGATCATGTTGATTCTAGGGCAACAAAGATAGCTACTGTGGGGCCACCATAGCACACTGTCCTCTACGCCCCCTCCCGTGGGGACATTTGGCAGTGTCTGGAGACGTTTTTGGGTTGTCATGACCTTGGTTGAGAAGCAGGTTGCTGCTGCTGACCTTCAGAGGGGAGAAGCTACCAGGCTTCCGACAATGCCCAGGGCAGCCCCACGGCAATGGCCCAGCCCCAACATCAATGGTGGTGAGCTTGAAAAATGTATATCCTGGAAGAGGACACACCTCCGCTTAAAAACTAAAACTGTAGAGAGAGGGACGCTGGCCTCGAAGTGGACTTTCCGCTGCCCCAAATAGGCCTGCTCTCCAGCTTCATCTCTTGGAATGATATCAAATGGCACTTGGGTGACCTAAAGGACTTTAGTGCAGCTTTAAGAAATGCTTAATTCAGGCCAGGCATGGTGGCTCATGCCTGTAATCCCAGCACTTTGGGATGCCGAGGTGGGTGGGTCACTTGAGGTCAGGAGATCTAGACCAGCCTGACCAACATGGTCAAACCCCGTCTCTACTAAAAATACAAAAATTAACCAGGTGTGGTGGTGGTTGCCTGTAATCCTAGCTACTTGGGAGGCTGAGGCAGGAGAATTGCTTGAACCCGGGAGGCAGAGGTTGCAGTGAGCAGAGATCATGCCATTGCACTCCAGCCTGGGCAACAAGAACAAAACTCTGTCTCAAAAAAAAAAAAAAAAAAAGGAATGCTTAATTCATACCTAGAGAGAGGTATAATCACTTTGATTTATTTTTCATCCTGTTACTATTTTAGGAACAAATTTATAGACTCAAACCTAGCCTCCCCTCTCCCCCAAACATACAGCATAATATGGTATAAATCAAATATACAGATGTATAAAAGAAATTTAAATTTAGTGAAATTTCTTTTTTTTTTTTTGAGATGGATTCTCACTCTGTCACCCAAGCTGGAGTGAAATGGTGCGGTCTCGGCTCACTGCAACCTCTGCCTCCTGAGTTCAAGCAATTCTCCTGCCTCAGCCTCCTGAGTAGCTGGGACTACAGGTACATACCACTACACCCGGCTAATTTTTGTATTTTTTTAGTACAGACGGGGTTTTACTATGTTGGCCAGGCTGGTCTTGAACTCCTGACCTCATGATCCGCCTGCCTCAGCCTCTCAAAGTGCTAGGATTACAGGCGTGAGCCACAGCGCCTGGCTGAAATTTAGTGAAATTTTGTGTATTTAAAATGTCAGGTAGAATGTTACAAAGTAGGCAGATCCAGAAAGCAGCACAGGGAAGTGGTGTATTTGTTAAACACCAAACAATGAAAACTTACCTAAGAGTTTTCTTTACAAATCTTCTTCCCACACAGCAGCATTGAGTTTAGCTTCACAGACAAGGATGTGAAACTTGGGATCAGCTGGTCAGAAACCAAGAACAGTACTTAGGAAATAAAATTCCAATTCACATTTTCCCCCTCTCTTATGAAATAACGAGACCCACACGGTCGTGATGGGATGAGACATGCAATGTCCTCCGTCTCATAGGGAATCCGCATTTCACATCAACTCGTGAGTCTCCTGCCTGGGACAAGCGGAGCTGACTCATTCTGAAGATGACTCTGCAAGCATGGAGTTCATTCCAGAGGAGGTTAGAATCACTCAGCATGAAGAGAGGGTGTAACAGGATGTTGTCTCTGCTGAGGAAGTGGGGCTGCCACCCGATGGATTGGATGGATTGTCGGTCATCCCCGCAGGAGAGGCTGGGCCAGGTTGTGGTGCGTCCAACCCCCAGCCCTCTGGGCAGACCGGTTGTGATCTAAGTCATTTCAAGGTAAAGAGCAGCTGATATGTCAGGACCTGCGACACGGTGTTCAGAGAACATGTAACACAAGCCAGCTGTCTCTGAAGGGGTAGAACGGGGGGAGGCACTTGTATCTTGTGGGCAGAGGCTTCTTGCCAGACCACAAAGGTGGGGAGGGGTCTGTGTGGGGCCACTGAGGGGCTTGGAGACTACAGCTCCATGCCAGTGAGAGAAAACAGGATGGGAAGAGCGAGGGGAGTCGGGTGGGGATCCAATCTCTGACTCCATGGAGGACTTTGTAAGGTTTGGACCCAGAGTAAAGGAAAGTTTAATGCATGACATAGACTAACCTCTCTGTTAGTTAGACTAACCCATCTGTTAGTCTATGTCAGGTTGTGTCTATCAAGACCCGTGTCATTTCACCAACTTCTCCCTTTCCCAGAAGGGTCACTTCTTTTTCACTTGCTGGGAAAGGGAGAAGTTCATGGAATGACGAACGTCTTGATTTCATGGAATGACGAAGGTCTTGATAGACTCAACCTGAAGTGGCCCTTAGAAGCCAGCAGATCTGGCAGCCCCAGCAGATCTCATTGGCTCGGAGGTCTGTAGGGAAGAGGATATCACAAGACCAGCAGCACTGTCACGGAAGGGGTTCTGGAGCTTTGCAGCAAGGCTCCTTCTCCTTCAGTGGCTGATCTCTTTTGAAGAAAGAACTTCCGGCCTGCTTCTGGGCAGGCAGAGATGGCCTGTTTGACCCCAGGGCACCAGGTGAGCAGCTGAACCCAGACATGCGCTGTGAACTATCCACTGAGCCACCAAGCCTTCCCCAGCTCATTGCATCCTCAGAGCAGGCATGGTGTTGGGATGTCTACAGACGGCTTGCCCATAGTCCCTGCTCTCCACTTTCACCCAGCCTTCCACCAAGTTCCCTCTTGGGTGCTTTCCTATGAGTAGTTGTCTGAGGATGAAAAATGTGTGTTCGACAGCAGCTTTAGATGCTGAAGTGTTTTGGAGAAGAAGTATATCACTGCTATACTCTCAGAAAGATCTCAAGTTCTGAAAATATCCGTTATTTCCTGGGAATGCTTATAAGAACGTCCTCACTACAAAAGAGAATCAGGCTGATAGACATGTTGAGACCAAATAAAGATATTCAAAACAAATAAAGATAGTCAAAGACAAATAAAGAGACCCAGTGGAGAGGGAAACTTCATTTTTACATAAGACTGGAAAGTAATTGTTGTGGGTGCCTGGCGATTATCTAAAGCCAATGGTGTAATGCAGGGGTTAAGAAGAATTTACCAAGACAGTTGTTGGTAAAGAAAGGCAGATTTATTAGAAAAAGTATGAAAGTACATTGCAAGGGAGCAACGGGCAGGCCAGCAGGAGAGGAGCTGACTGCCAGGAAACAGACACTTGCAGGGGATTTGATAGGATCATGCTCGTGGTGTGTGCTGGAGAGGGCTATGTGCAGTGCTAGTAACGCCAAGGTTGCAGGGAGCTAACTTGCAATTTTTGTATCAGCGAAGGTCTGGTGATTGCTGGGCACAGGAAGACTGAGTTATTTGTGCAGGGGGCCTGTGTGTCTTGGACAATGAAGAAAGGCAGACTCACAGCTTATCCTTTTGCTTTCCTTTGGTCCCACCAACCTGAATCCCCCTCCTTGATTAGGACTGTACAGTAATGAGTATGCAAGAGAATGAGAAATTTTCTTTTCTTTTTTTTTTTTGAGATGGAGGTTCACTCTTGTCACTCAGGCTGGAGTGCAATGGCGCGATCTCAGCTCAGTGCAACCTCTGCCTCCCGGGTTCAAGCAATTCTCCTGCCTCAGCCTCCCATGTAGCTGGGATTACAGGCACCCACAACCACAGCCGGCTAATTTTTTTGTATTTTTAGTAGAGACGGGGTTTCACCATGTTAGCCAGGATGGTCTCGATCTCCTGACCTCATGATCTGCCTGCCTCGGCCTCCAAAAGTGTGGGATTACAGGTGTGAGCCACTACACCCAGCCTGTTTTTTCTTTTTCTTTCTTTTTTTTTTTTTTTTGAAACAGTTTCACTCTTGTCACCCAGGCTGGAGTGCAATGGCGTGATCTTGGCTCACTGCAACCTCCACCTCCTGGGTTCAAGCCATTCTCCTGCCTCAGCCTCCCGAGTAGCTGGGATTACAGGTGCCTGCCACCATGCCTGGCTAATTTTTGTATTTTTAGTAGAGATGGGTTTTCACCGTATTGGCCAGGCTGGTCTCGAACTCCTGATCTCAGGTGATCTGCCCACCTCAGCCTCCCAAAGTGCTGGGATTACAGGCATGAGCCACCGCGCCCAGCCAGGAATGACAAAATTTCAAAATCACCATCTGTGAACTCCTAATAAAAATAATGAGGTGGGCAAGAATCAGTAACAGATTCCTGAAACCATTAGGCAGAAAGACAGTGAGGAGCTGCACACCTTGCCACGTACCAACCTCCCAACTTATGTAATTATCAGAAAGGGGAGAATGTACCTTGCTGATGAGGAGATGAGGCTGCCACCGTCTAACTCAGAGGAAGATCTTTGCGTCATCATAGTGGGATGTGAGCCACATGCCTTCTGAGGCTGTCCAGTAGGAAGCACACAGGACCACCTGTGAGAGACTCTCGAGTAAATATTTAACTTAAATACATAGAACTCTTGATCAACCTGCCAGTCAGCAGGAAATACAGGGAATAGGAAACAAGTTAAATGACACCACAAGGAAACAGACGAATTCAGACTTCAGGCATTGTCTTCTCAACAATTCAATGCTATGAAAGAATAAAAAAAAGTGACAGGACTATTCCATTGAATGAGACTTAAGACAGAAAACCAAATGTGTAGTCCTGAATTCAATCCAGATGTCAACTAACCAGTTGGAAAATACATTTTTCAAGTAATTGGGAAATTATGGATATAGCCAGCATTAGATGATGTTAGATCCTTAATTTTATGGGATGGTTAGTGGCATTGTGGTTCTACAGGAAAAGGTTCTTATTTTTTAGAGATGTGTAGAGATGCTTTTAGGGATGAAATGTCGTCATGTCCCCAATTTACTTTAAAATACATCAGCAAGAAAGAAAGCTAGATGAAGCAAAGAAGGCAAAACGTTAGCAGCCGTTAAAGATAAGAGCATGTTTCTGTTCCTTATTTATTGTCATCTCAACATGTCTATATGTTTGGAAATTTTCATAATAAAAAGCAAATAATAAGAAGAAAATGATATTTGGAAAGATTCTATTAAGAGTGAAAAAGATAACCAGGTAGGCCGATGACATCTTCTCACCTGCTGCCCACCCTCCTCCTCTGTTTTGTCCACAGGGTTTCTCAATGGACCGATTGCCAGAGGTTGGGGTGTCAAGAATTTGGGGTATCAAGGTTAAGTACAAAACATGGATCTTTGTCTGACAAGACAGGCTGGCCGCTGACTGTTAAATACTTCCCCACAAAAGGGACAAGCCCGGAGCCAGGTTACCGGCCCACACCGCAAGACAGGCTTTCTTTTAGGAAATGGACAAAGCTCTATGACCAGAACAAGCACTTTGGGGAATTTAAATTTGCTTTCCCTGACACGACTCCACTTTCATCACTACCCCTGAACTTAAGGGGCATCCAAACCTCAGTCTCAGCAGGTTTGTTTTGTGTCTGTGTGTGTCTGTATGTGTGTTCGTGTGTGTCTGTATGTGTATCTGTGTGTGTGTGTCTGTGTGTGTCTCTGTGTGTCTGTGTGTGTGTCTGTGTGTGTCTGTGTATGTCTCTGTGTGTCTGTGTGTGTGTCTGTGTGTGTGTGTCTGTGTATGTCTCTGTGTGTCTGTGTCTGTGTCTGTGTGTGTCTCTGTGTGTGTGTGTGTTTTGAAACACGGTCTTGCTCTGTCGCCCAAGCTGGAGGGCAATGGTGCAATCACGGCTCACTGCAGCGTTGACTTCCTAGGCTCAAGCGATCCTCCCATCTCAGCCTCCTGAATAGCTGGCACCACAGGTGGGAGCCACCACTTCTAGCTAATTTTTGTATTTTTTGTAGAAATAGAGTCTTTCTATGTTGCCCAGGATGGTCTTGAACTCCTAGGGTCAGGCAATCCTCCTGCCTCAGCCTCCCATGGTGTTGGGATTACAGGCGTGAGCCACCATGCACAGCCAGCATATTTCTTAACATCAGATTTTTTTTTTTTTTTGAGACGGAGTTTCACTCTTGTTGCCCAGGCTGGAGTGCAGGGGTGTGATCTCGGCTCACTGCAACCTCTACCTCCTGGGTTCAAGCGATTCTCTTACTTCAGCCTCCTGAGTAGCTGGAACTGCAGACACGTACCACCACGCCCAGCTAATTTTGTATTTTTAGTAAAGACGGGGTTTCACCATGTTGGTCAGGCTGGTCTCGAATTCCTGACCACAGGTGATCTGTCTGCCTTGGCCTCCCAAAGTGCTGCGATTGCAGGCCTCAGCCACCACGCCCAACCAGATTATTTATTTATTTATGTATTTATGTATTTATCTGTTTATGTATTTATTTATTTATTTTTCTTTTGAGACGGAGTTTTGCTCTTGTTGCCCAGGCTGGAGTGCAATGGCATGATCTCAGCTCACCGCAACCCCTGCCTCTGGGGTTCAAGCGATTCTCCTGCCTCAGCCTCCCTAGTAGCTGGGATTACAGGCATGCACCACCATGCCTGGCTAATTTTGTATTTTTAGCAGAGATAGGGTTTCTCCATGTTAGTCAGGCTGGTCTTGAACTTCCGACCTCAGGTGGTCCGCCCTCCTCGGCCTCCCAAAGTCCTGGGATTACAGGCGTGAGCCACCGCGCCTGGCCAGCATTTTTATTAACATTAGAATTTTTTACTGAATTATCTTGCTTGATACATCTTTGACTATCATTAAAATGTGTGTGGTCAGCCTGAGGGGACCTGGCTCCGGGCATGATGCTGTGAGTCGAGGTATTCCCTGTGAAGCTTTCTGGCCAATCAAGGCTGAAATTCCATGTGGCAGAAAATCCAGGCCACAGAGGAACCAGTTAAACGAAGCCATAGGGAACCGGACAAATCTAGAATGTGGACAATTGGCCAGGTCTCCATAACAGATCAGTGTGCTGGGAGCGGGTTGGGGAGTGTGTGTGTGTCAGGGAGTTGAGTCTAGATTAAAACAGCCAAAGACATGTGACAACTGCACTCACCATGTGAGCCGTGATTGGGGGCTTTTCCAACAGGCAGTGGTCAGACGCATCCTCAGGGACAACTGGGGACATTTCAATATGGACTGAGCATTCGGTAGTCTTAGTGACTTATTGCTGACTTTCTTTTTTTTTGAAATGACGTTTCCCTCTTATTGCCCAGGCTGGAGTGCAGTGGCGTGATCTCGGCTCACCGCAACCTCTGCCTCCCGGGTTCAAGCGATTGTACTGCCTCAGCCTCCCAAGTAGCTGGGATTACAGGCACGCGCCACCAAGCCTGGCTAATTTTGTATTTTTGTTTCTTTTAGTAGAGATGGGGTGTCTCCATGTTGGTCAGGGTGGTCTCGAACTCCTGACCTCAGGTGATCCGCCCACCTCCGCCTCCCAAAGTGCTGGGATTACAGGTGTGAGCTACCGTGCCCAGCCAAAAGTTTATGTTTTTAAGAGAAATGTGCTGAAGCACTGGGCTCGAGTGACAGTATGGTGGTTTATTCTGAAAGGGCTCAGCTGTGTGTGCAAGAGTGTATGTGAGTGTGTGTGTATGTCAGCATATGTGTGTGAGTATGTATGTGTCTGTGTGAACGTGTACGTGTGTGTATGTGTATGTGTGTGAGGATGGTGTGTATGTGTATGTGCTGAAGTAAATATGACTGAACAATAAGAATCGTCGATCTGGTTGTTTGGTACATGAGTATTCATCTTATTTCTTTTTCACTTTTTCTGTGCATTTGAAAGCTTTCATAGGAAGTCAGAAAATGTATCTGGTTGTTAAAACAATATTGTAACGTACACACACAGTCCATTTCCAGTCCCAGAATTGAGACAGTTAGTGCAGAGGCCACTGGCTCAGCTGTGGAAACCAGACTGCACGGTCCATCTGCACCCATGCTGTCTGTGAGCCCTGGGAATGTCGCTTCCTGTCTCTGGGCCTCAGTTTCCTTCTCTATAAAATGGGCTGATGCTGTTCCTGCCACAGAGGCTGGTGGGATTCAGGCCACATACCCCGGCACATCAGCGTTCCGTTGTTACACATTTGAATACTCCCAAGCCAGTTGGTAAACAGTTGACTCTCCGGGACCCCTTGCACGTTTCCACGACTCAGCAATCAACGTGGAGCTGAACTGGCTGTGAAGCGTTTTGAGCACTGCCCGTGTTTGTCTCACAGCCCTCACGGGAATCCCGGTTAATATACTCAATGAGCGGAGCCCTGAAAACCCCGCCTGCCACCTCGTAAGTGTTCTATAAGCGTTTGCCATTTTAGTAAGTCCTTGTATTTTTATCCAATCTTTGTTTTATGTTACAAAGATAGATGGAAGGTTAACGTTGAAGTAATTAACTTCTTAATGGAAGTGTAGAATTACAAAGTAATTGAAAAGAAGAATAGATGAGATCTGTGAGAGTTTCTTGTCTTTCTGCCTCATGCTAAAATGTAAGCTCTTGTTGTAAACGAAAGCCTGCGTGCAAATGGTTTGCAGGCTGATTAGCGAATCTGGGGCACGGAGCTATCCAGGAGCTCTCACTGTAGATTTAACATCCACGCATTTTATGTAGCTTCTTGATGCTGATGTTGGTAAGAGACGCTAAATTGTCATGGGCATTATGTGGAAAACCCGTAGATGATTTCTGGAGCACAAAAGCCTGACCTGGAATTGGGGCAGAGCTGGGGAAGGTAGGGGGAATGATTCATTTTTGCAGCAAGGGGGATGTGGGGGGCTCAGGCCAGGGCAGGGTGGGGCTGCTGGAAACAAGATAAAGAGAAGGACATAGATATAATGGCAAGGACTCCTTAGCTGTGGGCTAATCGGTGAGCTCAATTATGTCGGGCAAGTTTAAAGAATTTAAACATTAAACCATATGTTCCATACATAAAATAATTTTTGAGGGCCAGGGAACTTCCAGCCAGACACCGACCTCGGGTTGTTCATCACCATAGTGGCTGGTGGGGTACCATTCACGTGGGAGGTCGGAGGAGTGAGCAAGCGGGTTAGGCTGTGTCAGCCTTCCTGACAGGTGCTCAAGGACATCCGCTGTGTGCCTAGGTGCAGCTGTGTCACTGGGATGGACACAGGAAGCAATGTGGGGTCTTTGCTGCCAGTGAGCTCCCGGTCTAGGAGAAGAGAGAGGAAGCATCTTTATCTGTGTTATCCCAGGTACGCGTGCCAATTATATGTCTGTATCCTTATCTGTGTCTACATATACACCTACATCTACATCTACAGTCATATCAATATCTATACCCATACCCATATCTCTATATTTCTACATCTATACCCATATCACAGCTGTGTCTATATCTGTTAAGTCATTCTTGCATTGCTATAAAGAAATACCTGAGACTGGGTCATTTACAAAGAAAAGAGGTGGAATTGGCTAACGGTTCTGCAGGCTGCGCAAACATCGTACCAGCATCTGCTCCGCTTCTGGGGAGGCCTCTGGGAGCTTTTGCTCATGGCGGAAGGTGAAGCAGGAGCAGGTGTGTCACATGGACAGAGCTGAAGTCAGAGAGAGAGAGAGTGGGTTGGGGGAGCTGCCACACACTTAAACACCCAGACCTCCTGAGAACTCACTCACCATTGTGAGGACAGCACAAAGCCACGAGGGATCTTCACCCACGAACTAAACCCCTCCCGCCAGACCCCATCTCCAACACTGGAGATTACAACTCAACATGAGACTTGGGTGGGGACAAATATCTAAACTATATTACTATATCTATATCTATATACATCTATGTCCATAGCTACATCTATGTCCACATCTGTATCTGTAATCTGTGTGTTCAGATAGATACACATGTCTTTTTACAAAGAAAATAAAGCCAGGTTGCAGTGGCTCACACTGGTAATCCCAGCACTTTGGGAGGCTGAGGCAGGTGGATCACCTGAGGTCAGGAGTTCGAGTCCAGCCTGGCCAACATGGTGAAACCCTGTCTCTATTAAAAATACAAAAAAAAAAATAGCTGGGCATGGTGGCGGGTGCCTGTACTCCCAGCTACTCAGGAGGCTGAGGCAGGAGAATCGCTTGAACCCAGCAGGCAGAGGCTGCAGTGAGCTGAGATCATGCCACTCCACTCCAGCCTGGGCGACAGAGTGAGACTCCCTCTCAAAAATAAATAAATGAAAAGAAAATAAGCTCAGAGAAATCAGGTGGTGCCACCATCAATAAGCATCAGAACTGGAATGCAAACGTGGGCTTTGGTGCCTTCAAAGTCAGAACTGTGTTCACCCCTCTCGCTTTAGGGTCTGTATCAGTTTGTTAGGGCTGCCATAACAAAGTGCCACAAACAATAGGACGGTCTTCTCTCCCAAGCCAGAAGTCGGAGATCCCGGTGTCCGCAGGGTTGAGCTCCCCTGAAGGCTCCAGGGGAGGGTCTGTCCCAGCTGGGCCTGGATCTGGCCTCCGGTGGCCCCTCGGCTGGGTGGCCCCTGGGCTGAGTGGCTCCTCGGCTCGGTGGTGGAGCTCCAGTCCTCACGTGGTGTCCTTCCTCTGTGTGTGTCTCTCTGTGTCCCAGTTTCCCCTTTTTATAAGAACACTGACTGTATTCAATTAGGATCCTCCCTCATGACCTTATCTGAATTTGATTTAATTTCATTCCCTCTTTGGAAATAGACAAGACCCTATTTCCAAATAAAGTCACATTTCCAGGTATGGGGGGTGGTTAGGTCTCCAACATACCTTTTTTTTTTGAATGGGGTATAATTCAACTCATAACGGTGTCTTTCACCAAAACCCAGTGATCCTACTTAATCCACATCCCATCTCTTAATGCCTAGTCCCATCGACTTGTCACTAGATGATGCTGAGAACAAAGGTTTTGTATCTGGGATAAAAGCTTTTTCATCATCATAGAAATTTGGCAAACTTCAGAAGCACCATTACTGTGTTTCAATTTTGTCAAGCCTTTTAACAGCTGTACCATATCCTTGGACTACTTCTATTTTGTAGATAAACGCACGGATACTTGTTTATGTGTACACGTGGTGCTCACACCGAATGTTAGAAGTATGCAATGTGCTTTCTTACACGTGTGGTCATTTATGGCAAACAGCTCTGGGAGGAAAGCAAGGCAGGAAGCAGCTTGTGCATCTGCAGAGGGCACGATGGTGTCTGCTGGGCTGGGTGACTCACCAGTCACAAGCTGGGGTGGGTGGGGCCAGAGAGCCACAGTGCAGAGCTGCTGGACCTCAGGCCCTCACAGCTGAATCAGGGTTCACTTTTTAGGGCTTATTGTTGGGCACAGTCCAGAGACAGCCAGAAATCCCCACATATTAAAGCAGAAAGCACCTTCTAGCCGAGCCACGTTGGACGTGGGACCCATCACTTGTCTTATTTCCACATCTTATAACTTGGAGGAACACAGTTATTGCAATCTTTGCACTGTCTGCCTTTCCTCCATATGTGCTCTGTAGTGTTATTTTCTTGACATTTCTCTTCCTTTGGGGTGGAAAAAGAGGAAAAAGGTCACGGTGGGTGGAAACAAAATGAGAAGAGAAAGTGCATGGGCAGAATTTCAGTGAGGATGTTGTCACTTCAGAAACCCACACCTCCAACTTGTGGTCTGACGAGGTGATCAAACTCAGGACACAAGACGGCGCTCCTCGCCCCACCGCAGCTAACGTCAGTCACGTTACAGGGCAGGTAGGATGGAAAGCGCGTGGCCTATGCTGCGGTCCAGCTTAGATTCTAGCAGCGCGGCTTTCATATCCTGCTCAGGCAAGCCTTGGTCACTCACTGGGCCTCTGATTCTGTGACAAATCCATTGGGCAGACACCCCGAGAGAGCAAGAGGTGACTGAGTCATGGCCTGGCTGTGAGGGACAGCCCACAGTCTGGAGATAGCAAGCCGCCAATGCTGCAGTCACCCTTATAAAACATTTGGAATTACGGAAGCTGAGCAGAGCAGGTTTTGCTTGTTTACTTTGTTTCTGGTTTGCAGAGAGCATTAGGTTGGAGGAAGTTTTTTTTTCTTGTTCTTACATCACAAAATGTAAACTATCAGAGACTTAAAGCTTAAGCATTTTTGTGCATCCAGACAAACCACGACAAAACAAAACAGCCAGCCACAGCCTACACGTTTGGGCCAGGGTCGTGGTTCTCTCACGGAATGCTGTTCAGAAGCGAAAAGACACCAACATTGACAATTCAGGAGAAGGAGAATTTCAGACACCGTATTCAGTTCTCTTTGTGGCTGAGTCTCTGCAATACGCTGTCTTCCATGTAAGGACTAGAATCAAAGGCTGAGCTGTCTCCATCGCTCCCTGCCCATTGAGAGCCTATGGTCATATGGGGAAACTACCTTTTCATCATGGAAAAGAAGAACTGGTGAGCTTCCTTTGCTGACTCATTAAGCCATTCATCTAGCATTCACCAAGTGCTACATTCATCCAGCGTTCACCAAGTGCTACCGGAGTGCCAGGCTCAGGGCCACATAGAGCTGTTTAGCTGTTCTTGTGACTTTTTTTCCGCTTTTTCTTTTTTTTTTTTTTTTTGAGACGGAGTTTTGCTCTCATCGCCCAGGCTGGAGTGCAATGGTGTGATCTCGGCTCACTGCAACCTCTGCCTCCCGGGGTGAAGCAATTCTTGTACCTCAGCCTCCCGAGTAGCTGGGATTACAGGTGTGTGCCATCATGCCTGGCTGATTTTTGTATTTTTAGTAGAAACGGGGTTTCCTCATGTTGGCCAGGCTGTCTCAAACTCCTGACCTCAGGTGATCCACCAGCCTCGGCCTCCAAAAGTGCTGGGATTACAGGTGTGAGCCACCACGCCCGGCCAATTTTTTTTTTCTCCTAACATCTCAGGGGAACGTTTTTATCCTCGTGCAGTTTGCCCATCACGAGCCGGGTCCCGTGTTGATGCCAAGGTCATAGCAAGTGTCATGCGGCACGCCATTGGGTACTCGAAGTGTTTAGGTGCCTGCCCTCCCCTCGGATCCGGCCCCATCCAGGGGCCCTGCTCCCATTTCCTGCCCTGCACCTTCCTCCAGGAAGTCCCCCTCCCGGCCACGCCAGCCCGTTTCCAGACCTCACCCTTGACCTTCACCCCTTATTTGTGCACGTGCTGCCATCCTTCGCGGTGTCACGTCTCACCGTCACATTCCCAGCCGGGATAGTTCCTGCATATCACGGAAGACCTGCCTAGGGAGCTGCCTTCCCGAGTTTTCATCTTCTCTCGTCCTCAAGGAGCCTCCCGCCAGGCACGCGGCTCCTTCCGCTGGCTCTCCCCTCTCTCTTCTGTCACTAGAAGGGCCTTGACCCTATCAGCGTCGAGCCTTTGTCGTGATGACGCATTTGTCTTCTCTCTGAGTGGCTCTGTACCGCGTTCTCTTAGCTAATCTGTGTTTCTCAAAGTTCCCTTCCCTGAATGGTTCCAACGTCCTGTTGGAGGAAAGAGAGATTTGCAGAAATTTGGAAGGTGGAAATGAAGGAGCAGCTATTTTCTACAGGACGATCATCTGTGTTTATTCACACCGTGAGGCTCAAAGAGGTTGCTTCCCCCCTACCAGCGGAAAAGGGATGCTGCACGAAGGAATTTTAGGCAGTGACACTGTAATGGTGGGTACGTGTCATTCTACATGTGCCCAAACCAGAGAACGGCCAACGCCGTGACTGGTCCGTGTGTTACAGTTGATGAACCTGCATTGGAGTATCGGAGTCGCCAGTGCGGGCACAGACATCTGCGGAAACATCAAGCCCCGCTCATCCCCTCCTAGTGGGAAGCCCCCCCTACATTCATCAACGCCACAGGTTTCTTTATGGGAGAGTTTTAAAGGTTGTAGTTTTAGGCTGCCTATTTGTTCAGAGCAGAGAAAGAGAATAAGCTCTGAAAATGGCAAAGGCATAGCAGGAGGAGATTGGAACCATGGTGGAGATCAGCCCCCAGGCCAGGACTGCACAAGCCGTCCCTCAGTGGGAGGGACCTTCCTGCTCGTGGTGGTCACTTGCCTCATAGTGAGCACTCATTCCCCCGCCGGGGGCGGCTGGCACCCATCATTGCAGATCTGTGGGTGCTCCTATCCCTCCAGAGGACACTAAAGAGCAGGGGAGATGCACTTTCCTTCCAGTCCAAACCAGCCACCTGCCCGAAGGAAGAAGGAGAACCAGGGCTGCATCCAAGGAAAACACTTTCATTTCTCAAAGGAAAACATTAGGAACCTGAGGGAAGCTATTGCCAGGTGTGTAACTGACCCAGGATCTTCATCTAGAGCAGGGCTGGCAAAACAAGGCCCTCAGGCCAAATCAGGTCCACCATCCATTTATTTTGTATTCTCTGTAAGCTAACCATGAATTTTATTTTTTTTTAATGGTTCAAAAATGTAGAAGGAGAATGATGTTTTGTGACATGTAAAAATGATATGCTGTTCACGTTTTCAAGTCCATCAAAATAAGATAAACTGAACAGCACCAGGCTCATGGGTTTAGTATTGTCTGCAGCTGTTTTACGTGACAGCAGGAGAAAAGGTCCCACAGAGACCACATGGCTCACAAAGCCTAAAAGGTTAACTTTCTGGCTCATTACTGGAAAAGTTTGCTGATCCCTGACTATTTTTATTTTATTTTATTTTATTTTATTTTATTTTATTATTTTTGAGACAGGATCTCACTCTGTCACCCAGGCTGGAGTGCACTGGTGCAACCTCGGCTCACTGCAGCCCTGACGTCCCAGGCTCAAGCGATCCTCCTATCTCAGCCTCCCAAGTACCTGGGACTGGGACAGCAGGAGTGCAACACCCACACCAACACCAGACCACAGCCTTGACCCCTGAGTTTAGAGCATGCAAGAAATTCCTACAAATCAATTAGAAAAAACAAGCGATTTAAATAGAGAAATGGGCAAAAGACCTGAACAAGCACTGTACCAAAGAAAAGATCAAAATGGCTACTCAACGGATGCTCCCCTGTGTTATTCATCAGTGGCTGCTGCTTACAACCACAGTGAGATATCACTACATAGCCGCCAGGACAGCAAAGTCAGGAAAGAGGAGCAGGAATCAGTGTGGATACAGAGAAACTGAACTCAGACACTGTTGGTGGGAACTGAACTCACACACTGCTGAGGAGAACTGAACTCACTCACACACCATGGGGGGACTGAACTCACTCACACAGCACTGAGGGGACTGAACTCACACACCACGGCGGGGCCTGAACTCACTCACACACTACTGTGTGGAAACTGAACTCACTTGCGCACCCCTGGGGGGAAGTAACATTTTTGCATTGACCCTGGACCAATAACCACTGAAACTGAACTGAAGCTTCCATGGCGACACTGTGATTCCCCACGACCAGCAGAAATGCAAACATATTGCACACAAGGTCATGCACAAGAATGTTGACAGGATCACTGTTTGTGTGTTTATCTGAACCTTCACCTGCTCATGACAGATAAAGGTTATCATGTGAACGTGGGGAAGACATCGCCAAACACCCAGGGGAGGTTTCCCTGGGAGCAGACACCTCCTCCCCTCGCCGTCCTCTTTTACCTCCCGTTGCCGTCCTCTTTGAAATGCCCTGCAGCACGGTCAAGGGACTCTGCTGCTCTGCCAGTCCACTGTGTAGGTCTTCCTGCTTCTCCACTTTATTTCCACCAAATTATAAACTCTTGGAAACAAAGATTCTGCCATCACGCATTTCTTTATCACTCACAGCATCTGGATGTCCTCCACAACAGCAAGTGGCACCTGTCATATTTTGTTTTGTGTTTTTTGTTGTTGTTGTTTTGTTTTTTTTTGAGACGGAGTCTCGCTTTCTTGCCCAGGCTGGAGTGCAGTGGTGTGATCTCTGCTCATTGCAAGCTCCGCCTCTCGGGTTCAAGCGATTCTCCTGCCTCAGCCTCCCTAGTAGCTGGGACTACAGCTGCGTGCCACCACGCCTGGCTAATTTTTTGAATTTTTAGTAGAGACGGGGTTTCACAGTGTTAGACAGGATGGTCTTGATCTCCTGACCTCGTGATCCACCCGCCTCGGCCTCCCGAAAGTGCTGGGATTACAGGCATGAGCCAACGCGCCTGGCCACCTGTCACGTTTTACAGCTAAGGAAGCTGAGGTCACATGTCCAAGGAGTCAAGCATGGGACGTCTCTGTCCTTACCCAACGTGGGTCTCACCACCACTCCTTATTGACTCCACTCTGATCAGACTGTGCCTCTGATAACTCCCAGGACAGGCTCAGCCTTTTCAAGCTTCTGGGCCTTCACATTTGCTTTTGCCTCTCTACCTGGGTCTTTATTTCTTCTATTGTCCAAGGACCAAGTCCTCCTCATCCTTCAGGTCTCAACTCTGGCTGGGCTCCGAGGAGGAGCTACCACCTGGGACGCCACTACCTGTCGGGCCTGCCTCCCTCTCTTACTCGCTCATGTCCTTGCATTTCACTCATTGAATGATCTTAAACATTCATGATAGAATGATCTATCATGTCATAAAAATGACATGATAATTATTTTTATCTCTTTGTGGACTGTTTATTTTCTGTCCTGCCCTTCCCACCTCACAAGAATGGGAAGCCCCATGGTGGGCTGGGACATCATCTGTCTTATTCACACGTGATGTTAAAAGAGATTGTTTTCTTCCTAACGGTGATGAAGTTACACTGCACAGAGGATCTTCAGGGCAGTGAAGCTACTCTGCATGGCACTGTCATGGTGGATAAGAGTCAGTGTACATCTGTGCAGACCCAGAGGATGAACAACACCTAGAGCGAGCCCTCGTGTAAACCACGGACTCCAGGCAATGAAGACGTGTCCATGTGGGTTCACCAATGGTAACAAATGCACCACACTTGCTGGTGGGGGGTGGCTATGCGTGCAGGGGAGAGGGGACAGGCAGCGAATGGCAGGTGTCTGTACCTTCTGTGCATTTTACTGTGAGCCAAAAACTGCTCTAAAAAAATTGTCTACTTTTAAGTTCTGATGGGTTCTCTGGCTTCAGGGAGTTGCCATTTTGGATCCTGAAGAATAAAGAGATAGGCTCATTTGCATGAGGTAGGCAGAGTCAAGTTGGAGGTTGAACTACGTGCTGGGACTGAGGCCATCAGACTCTGGAGGGAGGAGGGGAGCATAGCTGCTGTCTTGCTGACAGCTTCATGGGGAAGCTGGGGTCTGAGTTAGGATGAGTGTCTTAGTCCATTTGTTTTGCTATCAAGGACTACCTGAAGCTGAGTAATTTATAAAGAAAAGAGGTGTGTTTGGCTCACCTCTCTGCAGCCTTCACAGGGAGCATGGTGCCAGCATCTGCGACTGGTGAGGCCTCCGAAATATTAGAAATTGGCCGGGCGCAGTGGCTCATGCCTGTAATCCTAGCACTTTGGGAGGTTGAGGGGGGCGGATCACCTGAGGTCAGGAGATCGAGACCAGCCTTCCCAACATTGGTGAAACCCCGCCTCTATTAAAAATACAAAAATTAGCTGGGCGTAATGGCAGGCACATGTAATCCCAGCTACTCGGGAGGCTGAGGCAGGAGAATCGCTTGAACCCAGAAGGCAGAGGTTGCAGTGATCCAAGATCACACCACTGCACTCCAGCTTGGGTGACAGAACTAGACTCCGTCTCAAAAAAAAAAAAAAAATGTGAGAAATCATTCTGCTCGTGGCGTCATGGCGGAATGGGAAGCGGAGCAGGCATCACATGCCAAGAGGAAAAAAGCCATAAAGAGGGACAGAGAGAGAGGAAAGGAGCTGCCAGGCTCTTTTTAACAATCAGATCTCGCGAGAGCTAATGAAATGAGACAAATAGAGTGAGGATGGCACCAAGACATTTATGTAGGGGCCACACCAGTGACCAGACACCTCCCACCACAACAATGACCAGACACCTCCCACCACACCAGTGACCACACACCTCCCACCACACCAGTGACCACACACCTCCCACCACACCGGTGACCAGACACCTCCCACCACACCGGTGACCAGACACCTCCTACCACAATGACCAGACACCTCCCACCACACCAGTGACCCAGACACCTCCCATCACACCAGTGACCCAGACGCCTCCCACCACACCAGTGACCAGACACCTCCCACTAGGCCGGCACCAACACTGGCGATCCAATGTCAGCCTGAGGTTTTGGGGGTGTCAAACATCCAAACGATATCACTGGGGTATGTCTGGGGAGGCAGGATGATGGCAGAAGGCCTCGAGACAGGAAGACCTTGCCTTGGGTCCGAAGCCTGTGCACAACCATCAGGAAACTCATCTGTTTCTGCTGGAGTTTAACTTGACTTTGATTGGTTATTAAAAACCATCCTGTAATCCCAGCAGTTTGGGAGGCTGAGGTGGGCAGATCACAAGGTCAGGAGTTCGAGACCAGCCTGGCCAACATGGTGAAACCCGGTCTCTACTAAAAATAGAAAAAATAGCTGGGTGTGGTGGCGGGTGCCTGTAATCCCAGCTACTCGGGAGGCTGAGGCAGGAGAATTGCTTGAACTCAGGAGGTGGATGTTGCAGTGAGCTGAGATTGCACCACTGCACTCCAGCCTGGGTGACAGAGCAAGACTCCGTCTCAGAAAAAAAAAAAAAATCATTGGGCCGGGCATGGTGGCTCACTCCTGTAATCCCATCACTCTGGGAGGCCGAGGCAGGTGGATCACCTAAGGTCAGGAGTTCAAGACTGGCATGGCCAACACAGTGAAAACCTATCTCTACTAAAAATACAAAAATTAGCTGGGCATGGTGGTGGGCGCCTATAGTCCCAGCTCCTCAAGAGGCCGAGGTGGGAGAATCACTTGAACCCCAGAGGCAGAGGTTGCAGTGAGCCAACATCGCGCCACTGCACTCCAGCCCGGGTGACAGATTGAGACTCTGTCTCAAAAATAAATAAATAAATAAAATAAATAAATAAATAAAAATAATCATTGGTTCTCACCTCCTTTATGATTCTTTTGCCCCATTCTCTCTTCTCTTCTGGGGCTGTGTGTGCACAGAGGACCTGCTCCCCCGTCCTGAGCGCCCTGGTCTCTTGTGCCCCCTGCCCATTTCCCTCCTCCGTTCTCCACCTGTCCTGGCTGTGCAAATGCTTCGGAGGACTCGCCCACTTTTCCCGTCCCCTCCTTTGCTGCCTACAGTCCACGTTAGAGTTCTTATTTTCCGTATCACATTTCACATTTCTAAAACTTCTACTTGATTCTTTTATTATTATAATTTTCACTTTTCTGGTGAAATTCTCCATCGGCTCACTTCAGTACTTGGATGGAGTAACCCCATGTTTTTTAGAGGACGCATCTCATAACTCCAGCCCCTGAAATTCCCGCGATCTCTTCCTATTGCCTGTTTTTCTTGGCTGTCGGTAATTTCTTTCTTGTCTTATCTCTGTCAGGTAAGTTTTGGTTGAATGTTGCTGTTGCCTATTAAAGGTTGTAGAAATGATTTGAGGATCTGGATGTATTATCTTCAGGAAGCAATTTCTGTTACTCATGGCAGGCATGTGGGTGGGGACAAAAAATCTCACTCCAGTCAGGGTTTGTGCTGTTTGGGGGCTGAGTTTCAGGGGTTTTTCCTCCCCTAAACTTACTACTATATCAGATAGTGAATATGTTTCGTGTTTAGAATTCTAAATTAGAGGTTATTTCCTATTGCCCAGCTCAACCTGGGTAGAGAAATGTGAGCCCAAAGCTAAACATTCCAGCTTTCTCATCCCAGCATTCACAACCACAACAATGTTTGGCTGTCGGAGTCCCAGGTGAGAGGGGTGAGCCAGGCAGGCTTGGTTTTCAAGTAAAGGGGATTTTCATGGGGATAGGGCACTGGGGGCAGAGGAGGGAGTCTGTGGGGGTAGCAGGAGCTCTGGGAGACAGCAAGGCTCCCACAGGGGAGGAGGGGTCATTGTATTTGAGCCCAGCACAATTCCTTACAAGTGATTTTTTTTTTTCAAGAACAAGCCAATTGATATAGTTGGATGTGTGTCCCCTCCAAATCTCCTGTGGAAATGTGACGCCCGGTGTTGGAGGTGGGCCTGGTGGGAGGTGACTGTGTTGTGGGGGCGGATCCTTCCTGAATGGCTTGGTGCCTTCCTGCTGTCTCCAGTGAGTTCACTGGAAATCTGGCTGTTTAAAGAGCCTGGCGCCTCTTGGCCGGGCGCGGTGGCTCACGCCTGTAATCCCAGCACTTTGGGGGCCGAGGCGGGTGGATCACAAGGTCAGGAGATCAGGACCATCCTGGCTAACACGGTGAAACCCCGTCTCTACTAAAAAATACAGAAAATTAGCCGGGCGCGGTGGCGGGCGCCTGTAGTCCCAGCTACTCAGGAGGCTGAGGCAGGAGAATGGCGTGAACCCGGGAGGCGGAGCTTGCAGTGAGCTGAGATCGCGCCACTGCACTCCAGCCTGGGCGACACAGCCAGACTCTGTCTCAAAAAAAAAAGAGCCTGGCACCTCCTTCTCTCTCTTGCTCCCTCTCTTGCCACCTGACACACCTGCTCCCCCTTCACCTTCCGCCAGGAGAAAAATCTTCCTGAGGCCTCCCCAGAAGCAGATGCTGGAACAACCCGCAGAACCATGAGCCACATATACCTGTTTCTTCATATACTATCCAGCCTCAGGTGTTCCTTATAGCAACGCAAGACAGACGAATACACCAGCCACATTAAGGTGGGGAATGGTTCTTGCTAATCTATCTTGAGACCAAGCATGTGTTAGGGTTAAATAGGAAATAGGTGTTAAAGTTTTCTGATGTTGTGCACGACACCTAATGAAATTGGCTTTCTTCCTCCCCATCTCCCTCCCTTTCTCCCGTCCTTGTCTCTCTGTCTTTGTCTTTGTCTCTCTGTTGGTCTCTCTCTTTCCTTCCTCTCTTGGTTCCCTGGTGTGCAGAATGACTAAGAAGGGGAAACACACAAGTGCACTCAATACTTTTTTTTTTGAGACACGGTCTGGCTCTGTCGCCCAGGCTGCAGTGCGCTGGTGTGACCTTGGCTCACTGCAACCTCTACCTCCTGGGCTCAAGCCATCCTCCCACCTCAGCCTCCAGAGTAGCTGGGACTACAGACACATGCCACCACGTCTGGATAATTTTTGTCTTTTTTTTTGTAGAGATGGGTTTTCACCATTGTCTCGTCTGGTCTTGAACGCCTGAGCTCAAGCCATTCGCCTGCCTCGGCCTCTCAAAGTGCTGGGATTACAGGCATAAGCCACCATGCCTGGCCTCAAAAGAATTAAAACGGTTAATGAGTTAAAACAAGATTAAGTCTGTACATTATATAATGTAGAAGCTTCTGTGGAAAACTCCCCAGCCCTATGTGGACGACATCACATCTGATTTATCCTTGTGGTCTACACCGCTGGGTGCTCAGCCTTCTCCTGAGAGATGCTGTGAAACTTCTCTACCACCTGGAACAGGAGAAGGGAGGCCCATGTGGGGGCAGAGACCTCTGTCCAGAGTCCAGTGGCAGCTGGTAAGGATTTTTCATGCAAGGAATAGCTTAGAAGAGACAACAGTTATTGGCTGATTTTGATGAAGGATTAAAATTAAAATATCTCAGCCACTTCCTACTCAATGTATCCTATACATTTTCTTGTTAATCTAACATGCAGTTTACTTTCTGGGTGATAGCTCATTAGTTCAGAGGAGAATTGCTAGTTATGGGAGATACTACTTCCTGTTGAGTAGGGCAACTAGCTCTGCGATAGCTTTTATTGGACTGCTCATATTTTGAAATACAATGTTGTTTTACTAATCGTTGTTTATTCAACATCCTTGAACACTGGCTTTATGTGAGATAAACTTAAGAATCAGGGTTTAATCATAGTTTTCTTAGTTGTCAATTCCAATTCAAGCTGAGTCCAGGAAGAGGCTCCGCTGCTTCCAAATGCTAGCACACTGCCCTCTTGTGGGAGACCCTGAACACTGCAGAGCTTTACACTTCGAATCTCATCTAGTGAATCTAATTTCATTTCCCCGAAGCCAAACATATCCTTAGGCAGCAAATATAAAATATGTTTTACTTTACAAAGTCTGTTAGCCCTTCATAGCTCCTTCGTAATGCATAAATCTGTAAAACGTTTGCTTGGTGTCAATTACTTAATTCAAATAAGGAATTCCTGTACAATCTCTTCATGGTTATTATGGTGAAAGCTGGTTGGTGCTCTAGAACTGAATATGTGCAGAGAATTGTTAAACTCAAAAGCCAGTTTCCCATCTCACCTCTGGAAGCCTCAATTCGTCATGTTTCAAATGGAGATGGCCTGAGGGCATTTCATAGGGAAATGGCTGGATCGGTTTAGGAGCCCAAACGCTGCTAGAATTTTGTTTTTTCTGGAATGCCTTATGAAATCGCCTTCTTCTTTGATACAGTTAAAATAGGCTGTTATTAGAGCTAAACGTTTAAAATATTTCTACTTTTCCCTTTAAAAATTTTTTTTTAAATTTATTATTTTTTGAGATGGAGTCTTGCTCTGTCGCCCAGGCTGGAGTGCAGTGGTGCAGTCTTGGCTCACTGCAACCTCCGCCTCCCAGGTTCAAGCGATTCTCATGCCTCAGCCTCCTGAGAAGCTGGGATTACAGGCACCTGTCACCATACCTGGCTAATTTTTGTATTTCTAGTAGAGACAGGGTTTCACCATGTTGACCAGGCTGGTCTTGAACTCCTGACCTCAAGTGATCCACCCACCTTGGCCTCGCAAAGTGCTGGGATTACAGGCATGAGCCACTGCGCCCGGTCCCCTTTTCTTTTTTTAAAAAACAAATTACAGGTCACACGTCCTTAGTGAGCACACACAATCACTTTGCAAGGCTAGGCCTGGAGAATTCAGGGAGCTAGAGAAGGTCCAAGGTTCATTGGGAATTAGACTGTGGGTGTTAATTTAAGAAAGGACCTGCAAATCACAGGTGCTGTCCATAGTCCTGGAGTGAGGCAGGCACTCCTGTCTGGACTGGCCAGCCGGTGCACCAAGGCCTGACCTTCCTGCTCCCGGGCTCAGATCACAGCGGCAGCCCCACGACGACGCGGCAGCAGGTGCCAGCTGTAGGTGGAGGCAGGGAGGGTGGTTTGGAGCTGTGGGGTGGACTGGGGTTCGAAACAGAAAACGGCAGTGTCAAGATGGGGGTAAGAAAATGCCACCTGGACTTCTCAGTACAGGCATCTTATTATCTTTGTGGCTTCAGAACAGAATGTTACTGGATAGAGTTGTCCAGTTTCTTGGCGTGTTGAACGAAGAACTGAACAAAATGCACAAAGTAACAAAAGAACAAAACAACAGAAGAACAGAGGGAGTAACCAAGGCACAGATCTATTGAAGAAGCAAAAGCACAATTCACAAAGTGGGATGGGCTTGAGCAAGCGACTCAAGAGCCTCTCTAATTAGGTTTTTTGTTGTTGTTGTTTTGTTTTTTTGAGACAGGGTCTCACTCTGTTGCCCAGGCTGGAGTGCAGTGGTGCGATCTCAGCTCACTGCAACCTCTGCCTCCGGGGTTCAAGTGATTCTTGTGCCTCAGCCTCTTGAGTAGCTGGGATTACAGGCACCTGTCACCACGCCTGGCTTATTTCTGTATTTTTAGCAGAGATGGGGTTTCACCATGTTGGCCAGGCTGGTCTCGAACTCTTGGACTCAAGCGACCCACCCACCTTGTGCTGGGATTACAGGTGTGAGCCACCGCGCCTGGCCCAATTAGGATTTTTATAAAGCCAAAAGAACTTGGCAATACCCCTAGGTGCCCTTTAGCGGCCTCCAGTTGGTTATTCCCTATGAAGGATGGACCTGTGACCAATCAGATGCTGAAGTGGAGAAGGCCGTGGTCAATCAGAGGCTGAAGTGGAGGTTTCTGTCTTCTTATCACAGGAGAGAGGCTGTGGCCTGTGTACCGCCGGATCCTGCCTGGAACTGACTGCACCTGCTGTTATTTGCTAAAGCCCCAGCCCGGGGCTGCCCTAATTCCCTATTCTCCTCACGAAGCCCATAGCTGTTGGGAAAGACAGTCCCAGGGTCCTTCCCACGTGTAAGTGTCTTCCTCAGGCGTGTCCAGAGCACTGTGGCTGGATTGCTCTTTCCCGGACCATCTCTCAGGGCTGTGCGTGCAGGGAGCCATCCTCGAGGGAGGAGGAAATGTGTCCCCCGCGGACAAGGAGCAGGCATCGACTGTCTGCTATAGAACAGGGTCCCAGCGTCCGTGTGCCTCGGCCGGGACACAGAGCCAGCGTGCACCCGGCACCGAGCTGAGCTGTTCCACGCGGCCCTGTGGGATGTGGGGCCAAGGGAACCACAGACTCCTGCCCGTGCTGTCTTCTGCGCAGTGAGGAATAAAACCCTGGTCTCTGATCGACGCGTCTCCCGACTTCTAGCAGCGTCAATGAAATAGCAAAAGGCAACTTATTAGCTTGTAAGTAAAGTGAAAGAAAATCCGTGACCTTGTAGTTCAATGTAAGTTCAGGGCTGATAATTTAATTTTAAATTTTTTCCACATGGAAATTGCTTTAATGAGCTTTTACGTCCCCTGCTGATAAAACAATTAGAAAAGGGAAAAGAGTTTTACAGTGCTAACAGATACAATTTCACACCACTGAATTAGGTATTAGAAATGGTGAAGTAGACTCTCCGTATGTCCGTAGGGTCTGCAAAAGTAACGTAGCGTTAATTTAATGTTCGTAACGTAATTAATGTGCCTTGAAACAAAAAAACTCATTAACTTGAGAAGCCAGTTTGTGGCCATAACACTCTCCAATGTCACCTCCTCTACCATGATCTGTGCTTAAAATTCTGCAGTACTATCTTTGGAATAAAGATGATGAGTCCAAAATACAAGCATTTCTTTTCATTGCCCTTGACAATTATCTTTTTCCTTTTTGAGACAGGGTCTTGCTCTGTCACCCAGGCTGGAGTGCAGTGCTGCAATCTCGGCTCACTGCAGCCTTGAACTTCTGGGGTCAAGAGATCCTCCCGTCGCAGCCTGTTGAGTGGCTAGGACTACAGGTGTGAGCCACCTCACCTTGCTAATTTTTAATTTTTTTTGTAGAGACAGGGTCTTGCTATGTTGCCCAGGCTGACAGTTACTTTTGTTTCCTTATTTGTTAATGTTTTTCTTTTTTTAAATCGCTCCTTGTGGAGCAGTGCTAACTCTTAGGCAGTGCAGCTGAGCTGTCAACAACTACTGTTATACAGAGAACATAAGAATGGGTAATTAGAGGAGGTAGGATATTGTTGGTGCAGCTATATTATTTAAAATTGGTGGAAGTCCAGGCCGAGCACCGCGGCTCACACGTGTGATCCCAGCGCTTTGGGAGGCCAAGGCAGGCGGATCACCTGAGGCCGGGAGTTTCAGACCAGCCTGAACAACATGGAGAAACCCCCATCTGTACTAAAAATACAAAATTAACCAGGCCTGGTGGCATATGCCTATAATTCCAGCTACTCAGGAGGCTGAAGCAGGAGAATTGCTTGAACCTGGGAGGTGGAGGTTGCCGTAAGCTGAGATCGCACTACTGCATTCCAGCCTGGGCAATAAGAGCAAAACCCCGTGTCAAAGGAAAAAAAAATTGGTGGAAGTCCTGAAACTGGTTGGGCCAAAATTTTAAAAAAAGAAAAAAATGGGCCGGGTGCAGGGGCTCATGCCTGTAATCCCAGCACTATGGGAGGCCTAGACGGATCATGAGGTCAGAAGATCGAGACCATCCTGGCTAACAGGGTGAAACCCTGTCTCTACTAAAAATACAAAAAATTAGCTGGGCGTGGTGGCAGGTGCCTGTAGTCTCAGCTACTAGGGAGGCTGAGGCAGGAGAACTGCTTGAATCTGGGACGCGGAGCTTGCAGTGAGCCAAGATTGCGCCACTACACTCCAGCCTGGGCGACTGAGCGAGACTCTGTCTCAAAAACAAAGAAAAAAATGGGGGAAGGGCATATGTTGAGACCTAAGATAGCTTTTCCAGAAGGGGCAAAAAGCCAGTCTCCCACCCTGTCGTGGAACGTGCTCTAGGGTAGTCGGTAGAGTAGGGCTTGGGTAGTGAAACAACCAGGCTGATAGCAATAACAGAGACAAGGGCTTTCCCTGGCACACTTCCCGCTGCAGCTGTGTGGGGTCTCGCCTGGCTGGCCTAGGGTTCTGCGGGTCTCCGGAAGTGAGTTCTTCCCGGCGAGAATGCAAGCTCTGCGTCTGTGCAGGGCGAGCACCTGGTCACCAGCCTCTTGAACAGTTTGTCTTCGTAATGTCCCCGTTCAAAGCAACAGCCAGTGCCTTGGGGTCTTCCTTGGTAAGCAGCTCCACATCCTGAGTAGATACACCAGCTCCAGGGCTGGCTTCTCTTGCAGTGTGGGAAGGGACTAGCTCCTCAGTGCAATTTCAGGGGAGTTTTTTTTTTTTTGGAGATGGAGTCTTGCTCTGTTGCCCAGGCTAGAGTGCAATGGCGTGATCTCGGCTCACTGCAACCTCCACCTCCCAGGTTCAAGCCATTCTTCTGCCTCACCCTCTCAGGTAACTAGGACTATAGGCATACGCCACCATGCCTATTTTTTTTTTTGTATTTTTAGTAGAGATGGGGTTTCATAAGGCTGGTCTCAAACTCCTGACCTCAAGTGATCTGCCTGCCTTGGCCTCCCAAAGTGCTGGGATCACAGGCATGAGCCACTGCGCCCGGCCCAGAGGAGGTCTTTTTGTCAAAATCATGTCTACTGCCTCTGCCTCATCACCAAAGGCTGCTTTGGACTCCTCTTGCCTTGACAAGAGGCTGCCCTCTTTCTCCAAAACCAGGAGGTACAGCTCCAGGAGCTGCCCGGACAGACCACTTCCTCTGTGAAGCACCTGCTGGAGCGCGTCCTGCGAACCTGGATGGTGGCACAGCCTTGGCTTAGTTCCTGAGCCAGATCTGAACACAGAATATGAATGAGCACGGGACAGTCTTCCTCTGATAGGAGGATGGCACTGGATGGAGCCTTGTTCAGCTGCCTGGCCACATTCTTCTGCTTCAACCATGCCCCGCTATAGTTCATCCACATCAAAGGATGCCTGGAAACCCAAGCCATATCTCCATCAGAATTGTCCTATGCCCTCGTCTCGTTATTGGTCAATGCCATACTCTTAGTATTGGAAGGCAGACACAGGAAGTAATCCTCATCACCGTGGTGCCAGCCTCTGCAGGACCAGGGTGATCAGTGGCAGGGACTTGTCAATGGCCAGGCTGTCACAGGCCTTGCTGCTCAGGTCCTCGAGGCGGGAGGTGACCACCTGTGCTGCTCACGGCTGCAGTTGCGGTGCAGCCGGCCCAGCTTTAGAGTCTGAATCTCGCCGGGTTCTCATGCCCTGGTGTCCCCAGTCACATCCATCCTTTTCAAGGTGGGACCTGACTGCCTCTGGGAAGCCGCACCCATTGTGGTTTGTTTGTTTGTTTAAATACAGTATTTCCAGCAGAGTGGACAGTACATAAGTGTTGTTCAGTACATATTTATTGAATCAATGAATGATACACAGAGGAGTTTGGTCTTGTCATTATCCAACCTGTCACCCACAGTGCGCTAAGAATGCTGTGAGGGTGTATCCAGTGCCACACTTTCTTGGGAGCCAGTCATAAAGAGGAATATATATATTTGCTCCTGAAAGCCCCACAATTTGATCACAAGCAAGTTAACAAATGCTTGCTGTTCATTGTGATGTATGATGACAGTTACCAGGTTGACCGTCATTTTGGGAGAGGGAAGAGGAAGGTGACCAGCTCACCCCGAAGGACCAGGGAGGCCCTTAGTGGTGATGGTCCAGGCAGCATGGGGGTGCTGGCACTGAGGGCGCGTGGAGGGAATGGCACAGCCCTGGACGGAGCATGGATTTGGGAACCGCTAGGATATCGAGTGCACAGTGGCTTCCAGAGGAGGCAGGGCTGGAGAGCAAGGTGGATTCAGATGTGGAGATGTTCTGTGAATGTGAGGAGGAGTCATTGAAATTGTTTAGCCAGGAGCAGCCATTTGGGGAATTTGAATTTTAGAAACAGCTTATTGCCAGCAATATGGATGAACTGAGTAGGAAACGGATGTTTTGCGAGCGCGAGTGGAGGAGGCTGCCGAGGGCAGTAGGGCTGACTATGACCAGGAAGACAAACAGGAGTGAGAGGCGTGGACATCGGCTGCCTGCCTGGCCCCTCGTGCCCACCCCCCAGGCAGAGTCTCAGCTCCCAGAAACTGGCGCTCCATGCCGGGGTCCTGTGCTGTGCAGAGAGTGGGGAAGGTTGGGCGAAGGCTGGAGACCTTGAGACGGGGCAGGCGGCCCAGAAAGGGGAGGCTCATGGAGCGGCTTTGCTCTTCCTCTTGTGGCCTGCACACGGAGGGCCCCTCGGAGGAGGGAAACCGAGGGCAAGGCTGTGAGCACCAGGCTGCCACTGGGGAGGACCAGAGCCACAGCAGCCCACGCACAGGGCGGCGTGTCATGAATGTTGTCTGAATCTTCAGAGACTCTTGACTGTGCAGAAATGTGGTGTTGGTATAAAATTGAATTTTTCACACTCGAAATTGTTACAGACCATAGCAGTGTAATGAGGTCATTTGGAAATGGATTTCCATCTGCACTGGACCCTAATTGTTCGGGAAAAATCCATTTAGCCCATTTTAAACTGCAGTGGAGGCTGCATGGAGAACTCCCCAGAATTGAAGCTGCACCCTGTGGCTGGATGCCAATGCTTAGAGCGGTCCTCTCCGAAATCTTTTCTTTCCCAGCCCAACATCTGTGCATTGCTCCTCACCTTCACTAAGACGCAAGTAGCAATTCTCGGGACATATTAAGTGATGCTAACTTAAGAACTCACAATATTAAAAATAAGGAGCAGAACTCTTTCCAGTGTTCTAATTTTAAAAAGCCAACTTCATTTAAAATCTCAAATAATGGAAAAGAAGCTGAAAACATTCAAATTGTTGGATCTGAAATTTTCTCATCATCGCCTCTTGTTTTGTTGCTGATTTTAATTAATATAACTTTTTTTTTTTAGCAGTTTAGGTTCACAGAAAAATTGGGCAGAAAGTACAGGGAATTCTCTTATACTGCCTCACTCTGACCTCCATTTCCCCCCTTGTTAATATCTTGCATTGGTGTGGTATGTTTTATTATTGATTTTACAATTTCACATTAATATTAACTAAAGTCCATAGTTTACCTGTGGGTTCACTGTTGGTGTACGTTCTGTGGGTTTGGAAAATGTGTAATGACACGGATCTACCGTGACGGTATCCACAGAATAGTTTCACTGCCGTAAACATCCTCTGTGCTCTGCCTGCCCCCCCACACCCCGCCCCCACCTGCCCTCCAGCTGCCCTAACTCCTACCAACCACTGATCTTTATACTGTCTCCATAGTTCCACCTTTTCCAGAAGGTCATGCAGATGGAGTCACACAGTGGGTAGCCTTTTCAGGTTGACTTCTTTCACTTAGTAATAAGCATTTCATGTCCCCCATGTCTTTTCATGGCTTGATAGCTCATTTTTAAAAAGTGCTCAATAATATTGCATTGTCTGGATGCACCAGAGTTTATTTTTCAGTTCTGGGATATGTGTGCGGAACAGGCAGGTTTGTTACATAGGTGTACATGTGCCATGGTGGTTGCTGCACCTATCAACCCGTCATCTAGGTTTTAAGCCCCACATGCCTTAGGTATTTGTCCTAATGCTCTCCCTCCGCACCCACCAACAGGCCCCAGTGTGTGATGTTCCCCTTCCTGTGTCCATGCGTTCTCATTGTTCAACTCCCACTTATGAGTGAGAACATGCAATGTTTCGTTTTCTGTTCCTGTGTTAGTTTGCTGAGAATGGTTTCCAGCTTCATCCGTGTCCCTGCAAAGGACATGAACTCATTCTTTTTTATGGTTGCATAGTATTCCATGGCATATATGTGCCACATTTTCTTTATACAGTCTGTCAATGATGGGCATTTGGGTTGGTTCCAAGTCTTTGCTATTGTGGATAGTACTGCAATAAACATATGTATGTATGTATCTTTATAGCAGAATGATTTATAATCCTTTGTGTATATACCTGGTAATGTGATTGCTGGGTCAAATGCTATTTCTGGTTCTAGATCCTTGAGGAATTGCCACACTGTCTTCCAAAATGCTTGAACTAATTTACACTCCCATCAACAGTGTAAAAGCGTTCCTATTTCTCCACATCCTCTCCAGCATCTGTTGTTCCCTGATTTTTTAATAATCATCAGTCTAACTGGCATGAAATGGTATCTCATTGTGGTTTTGATTTGCATTTCTTTAATGACCAATGATGATGAGCTTTTTTTCATATGTTTGTTGGCTGCATAAATGTCTTCTTTTGGGAAGTGTCTGTTCATATACTTCGCCCACTTTTCGATGAGGTTTTTTTTTCCTTATAAATTTAAGTTCCTTGCAGATTCTAGATATTAGCCTTTTGTCAGATGGATAGATTGCAAAAATTTTCTGCCATTCTGTACGTTGCCTGTTCACTCTAATGATAGGTTCTTTTGCTGTGCAGAAGCTCTTTAGTTTAATTAGATCCCATTTGTCAATTTTGGCTTTTGTTGCCATTACTTTTGGTGTTTTATTCACAAAGTCTTTGCCCATGCCTATGTCCTGAATCGTATTGCCTAGGTTTTCTTCTCGGATTTTTATGGTTTTAGGTTTTACATTTAAGTCTTTAATCCATCTTGAGTTAATTTTTGTATAAGGTGCAAGGAATGGTTCCAGTTTGTTTGCTGCATATGGCTAGCCAGTTTTCCCAGCACCATTTATTAAATAGGGAATCGTTTCCCCATTGCTTGTTTTTGTCAGGTTTGTTGAAGATCAGATGGTTGTAGATGTGGCATCACGATTCATTCACCCACAGAAAGACATCCTGGCTGCTTCCAGGTTTTGGCAATTATGAATGTAAACATTTCTATGCAGGTGTTTGTGTGGACACAAGTTTTTAACTCCTTTGTGTAGACACCAAGGAGCACAATTCCTGGGTTGAATGGAAAGTTCAACTAGAAATGTCTAAGCACTGTCCGTGCTCCAGGCCGGGTTGTGCCGATGTGAGAGCTGCTCTATCTAAAAGTCCTGGATCTGAATCCGTTTTTAGGCCTAGAGATGGGGGAGCTCAGGAGGGCAGTACGTCTCCAGATGAGACTGATATGTGGATAGACATTTCAACAGGTAAGACTACCCAGTTACCAACTTCAAGGAGTGGTAGTTCTCCTGGTTTAAGGTCTGCTGTGGGAATTAGATAGGGATCAAAATTTAGGTCTTCATACTCTGCATTTTAATAGCTTCAGTATAATATTTATGTTTATGAGACACTGCCAAACTGTCTTCCAAAGTGCCTGCACCGTTTTGCATTCCCACCAGCAGCAAACGAGGGCACCTGTTACTCTGCATCCTTATTGGTGTTTGGAGTTGTCAGTGTTTTGAATAGCAGACATGCTCATAGGTGTGTGGTGGTGTCTCACTGTGGTTTTAATTTGCATTTCCTTGATGGCATGTGATGTCCTTTTATATGCCTTATTTGCCTTCTGGATATTTTCTTGATGAGGTGTCTCCTTAGGTCTTCATCAATTATTATTATTATTACTATTATTATTATTTTGAGATGGCGTTCTGTTCTGTCACCCAGGCTGGAGTGCAATGGCATGAACTTGGCCCACTGCAACCTCTCCCTCCCGGGTTCAAACGATTCTCCTGCCTCAGCCTCCTGAGTTGCTGGGACTACAGGTACCCGCCACCATGCCCGGCTAATTTTTTGTATTTTTAGTAGAGACAGGGTTTCACCATGCTGGCCAGGCTGGTCTCGAATTCCTGACCTCAGGTGATGTTCCCGCCTCACCCTCCCAAAGTGCTGGGATTACAGGCATGAGCGACCATGCCTCTTTGCCAATTTTTAAATTCGGTTATTTGTTTTCTTACTGTTGAGTTTTAAGAGCTGTTTGTATATTTTGGATGCCAGTCTTTTATTAGATAAATGTTTTGCAAATATTTTCTCCCAGTCTGTGGTTTGTCAATTCATTTTCTGAACACAGTCTTTCAAATGAATAGATGGGTTTTAAAATTTTAATGAATTCGAACTTATCAATCCTTTCGTTAATGGATCATGCCTTTGATGTTGTATCTAAAAGATCACCACCAAACTAGAGGTCACCTAGATGTTCTCCTATGTTATCTTCTGGAAGTTTTATAGCTTTGCATTTTACATTTAGGTCTATGATCTATTTTTTATTTTAAAATTTTCTATATTTTTACTTTTTATTTTTTTGAGACAGGGTCTTGCTTTGTCATCCATGCTGGAGTACAGTGGTGTGATCTTGGCTCACTGTAGCATCGACCTCCTGGGCTCAAGCGATCCTCCTGCTTCAGCCTCCCAAGTAGCTGGGACTATAGGTGCCGCCACCACACCTGGCTAATTGTATTTATTTTTTGTAGAGTCAGGGTGTCTCTATGTTGCCCAAGCTGGTCTCACATTCCTGGGCTCAAGTGATTCTCCCACCTCAAACTCCCAAAGTGCTGGGATTACAGGAGTGAACCACTGTGCCAGCCAGGCCATGATCCATTGTTAATAAGACTTTGTGAAAGGTCTAAAGTCTAAATCTAGATTCTTTTTTTTTGTCTGTGGCTGTCCAGCTGTTCTAGCACTATTTGTTTAAAAAACGATCTTTTCAGCACTGACTTGCATTTGTTCCTTTGTCAAAGATCAGTTGACTACATTCATGTGGGTCTGTTTCTGGGTTCTCAATTCTGTTTCATTGATCTGGTCTGTTATTTAGCAAATCACACACCATCCTGATTGCTGTGGTGTTAGAGTCAGACTCGAAGGTGGGAAGTGTCACTCCTCTGACTTTGTTTTCCTCCCTCCCTATTTTGTTGGCTGTTCTGGGTCTTTGCCTCTCCATATAAACTTTAGAATCCGTTTGTCAACAGTCACAAGGTAACTTGCTGGGATTTTTATTGCAGTTGCATTAAAGATGTTTTGAAATTTCAGATTCCAATTGTTAATGGCTTCTATGTAAGAAAGCAATTGATTTTTCATATTAACTTTTTATCCTGCAACCTAGCTGTAATTGCTTTTGGTTCCATGAGTGTTTTTTTGTTGTTGTTGTTTCTTTGGTATTTTCTACAGACAATTGTCATCTGTAAACAAAGACAGATTTTTAATCTCTTCCCAATGCGTGTGCCTCGTCTTTCCTTTCCTTGCTTTATTGTGTTAGCTGGGATCTTCAGTGTGATGATGAACAGTAGTGGTGAGAGGGATGTTCCTGCCCTGTTCCTGATCCTACTGGGGAGCCTTCCAGTTTCTCATAATTAAATAGGGTGCTTGTTGTAGACTTTTGCAGATGCAGATTTTTTTTTTTTTTTTTTTTTTTTTTTTTTTGAGACGGGGTCTCGCTCTCTCTCCCAGCCTGCAGTGCAGTGGCGCGATCTCAGCTCACTGCAAGCTCAGCCTCCCGGGTTCACGCCATTCTCCTGCCTCAGCCTCCCGAGTAGCTGGGACTACAGGCACTGGCCACCACGCCCGGCTAATTTTTTGTATTTTTAGTAGAGATGGGGTTTCACCATATTAGCCAGGATGGTCTCGATCTCCTGACTTCGTGATCCGCCCGCCTCAGCCTCCCAAAGTGCTGGGATTACAGGCGTGAGCCACCGCGCCCGGCTGATGTTCTTTATCAAGTTGAGAAAGTACCCTTTATTCCGAGTTTGCTGAGACTCTTCACTGTGAATGGTGTTGGGTTCTGCCAAATGCTTTTTCTGTATCTACTGATAAAATTTATGATTTTTTTCTTTAGCCTGTTGATGTGGTGATTACATTAATTGATTTTCAAATGTTTATAACAGTCTTGTGTACTGGGGATAAATCCCTCTTGGTTGTGGTATACAATTCTTTTTACATATCGTTGCGCTTGATTTGTTATTTTTGGGTTTTTCTTTTTTTGAGGATTTTGCATCTATGTTCCTGAGACATACTGATTTTAGAATTCCTTTCTTTTAATATCTTTGTTTGGCTTTGGTTTTAGGGGAATCCTGGCCTCAGAATGAGTTAGGAAGTAGTACCTCTGCTTCTATTTTCTAAAAGACATTATGGAGAATTGGTGTGATTCTTATAGTTACTGGTGAGTTTGGTGGAACTCAACAGTGACCTCATCTGGGATGGGTGCTTTCTGTTTGGGAAGAAGGTTATTTAATTTCTTTAATAAATACAGTCCTATTCAGAATACATATTTCCACTTAGGTGTGTTTTGTTGGATTGTATCTTCCTAGGAATTGGTTCATTTCGTCTACGTTATCAAGTTTATAGACATTAGTTGTTTATACAATTCATTTTTTTTTTGAAACAGGTTCTCTCTCAATCACCCAGGCTGGAATGCAGGGGTGCAATCGGGGTTCACTGCAGCCTTGACCTAGTAGCTGGGACTGCAGCTACTATATCAGGTGCATGCACCAGAATCAGGTGCTTGCTACTACACCAGGCTAATTTTTTTAGATTATACTTTAAGTTCTGGGGCACATGAGCAGAACGTGCAGTTTTGTTACATAGGTATACATGTGCCATAGTGGTTTCTGCATCCATCAACCCATCATCTACATTAGGTGTTTCTCCTAATGCTATCTCTCCTCTAGCCCCCACCCACCGACAGGCCCTGATGTGTGATGTTCCCCTCCCTGTGTCCATGTGTTCTCATTGTTCATCTCCCACTCATGAGTAAGAACATGAGGTGTTTGGTTTTCTGTTCTTGTGTTAGTTGCTGAGAATGATGGTGTCCAGCTTCATCCCTGTCCCTGCAAATGACATTAACTCATCCTTTTTTATGGTTGCATATTATTCCATGGTGTATATGTATCACATTTTCTTTATCCAGTCTATCATTTGTGGGCATTTTGGTTAGTTCCAAGTCTTCGTTATTGTGAATAGCGCCGCAATAAACATACGTGTGAATGCACCTTTATAGTAGAAAGATGTATAATCCTTTGTGTGTATACCCAGTAATGGGATTGCTGGGTCAAATGCTATTTCTGCTTCTAGATCCTTGAGGAATCGCTACAGTATCTTCCACAATGGTTGAACTAATTTATACTCCCACCAACAGTGTAAAAGCATTCCTATTTCTCCACATCATCTCTGACATCTGTTTCCTGCCTTTTTAATGATCACCGTTCTAACTGGCGTGAGATGGTACCTCATTGTGGTTTTGATTTGCATTTCTCTAGTGATCAGTGATGGTGAGCTTTTTTTCAATGTTTTTTGGCCGCATAAATGTCTTCTTTTGAGAAGTATCTGTTCCTATCTCCCACCTGTTGATGGAGTGGTTTGTTTTTTTCTTGTAAATTTGTTATAGTTCTTTGTAGATTCTGGATATTAGCCCTTTGTCATATGGATAGAATGCAAAAATTTTCTGCCATTCTGTAGGTTGCCTGTTCACTCTGATGATAGGTTCTTTTGCTGTGCAGAAGCTCTTTAGTTTAATTAGATCCCATTTGTTAATTTTGGCTTTACTTGCCCTTGCTTTTGGTGTTTTATTCACCAAAACTTTTTGCCCATGCCTATGTCCTGAGTGGTGTTGCCTAGGTTTTCTTCTAGGGTTTTTATGGTTTTAGGTTTTACATTTAAGTCGTTAATCCATCTTGAGTTAATTTTTGTATAAAGTGTAAGGAAGGGGTCCAGTTTCAGTTTTGTGCATATGACTAGGTAGTTTTCCTAGCACTATTTATTAATTAGAGAATCCTTTCCCCATTTCTTGTTTTTGTCAAGTTTGTCAAAGATCAGATGGTTTTAGATGTGTGGTGTTATTTCTGAGGGCTCTGTTCTGTTCCATTTGTCTATATCTGTTTTGGTACCAGTACCATGCTCTTTTGGTTACTGTAGCCTTGTAGTATAGTTTGAAGTCAGGTAGTGTGATGCCTCCAGCTTTGTTCTTTTTGCTTGTGATTGTCTTGGCTATGTGGGCTCCTTTTTGGTTCCATATGAAATTTAAAGTAGTTTTTTCCAATTCTGTGAAGAAAGTCAATGGTAGCTTGATGGCCATAGCATTGAATCTGTAAATTACCTTGGGCAGTATGGCCATTTTCCCGATATTGATTCCTGCTATCCATGAGCATGGAATGTTGTTCCATTTATTTGTGTCCTCTCTCATTTTCTTGAGCAGTGGTTTGTAGTTCTTCTTGAAGAGGTCCTTCACATCCCTTGTAAGTTGGATTCCTAGGTATTTTATTCTCTTGGTAGCAATCGTGAGTGAGAGGTCACTCATGATTTGGCTGTCGTTTGTCTGTTATTGGTGTATAGGAATGCTTGTGATTTTTGAATATGGATTTTGTATCCTTAGACTTTGCTGAAGTTGCTTATCAGCTTAAGGAGATTTTGGGCTGAGACGATGGGGTTTTCTAAATATACAGTCATGTCATCTGCAAACAGAGACAATTTGACTTCCTCTTTTCCTAATTGAGTACCCTTTATTTCTTTCTCTTACGTGATTGCCCTGGTCAGAACTTCCAATACTATGTTGAATAGGAGTGGTTAGAGAAGGAAGCCTTATTTTGTGCTGGTTTTCTTTTTTTTTTTTTTTCTTTTTCTTTTTTTTTAAATTATACTTTAAGTTTTAGGGTATATGTGCACAACGTGCAGGTTTGTTACATATGTAAACATGTGCCATGTTGGTGTGCTGCACCCATTAACTCATCATTTAGCATTAGGTGTATCTCCTAATGCTATCCCTCCACCCTCCCCCAACCCCACAACAGGCCCCGGTGTGTGATGTTCCCCTTCCTGTTTCCATGTGTTCTCATTGTTCAATTCCCACCTATGCATGAGAACATGCAGTGTTTGTTTTTTTATCCTTGCAATAGTTTGCTCAGAATGATGGTTTCCAGCTTCATCCATGTCCCTACAAAGGACATGAAGTCATCATTTTTTATGGCTGCATAGTATTCCATGGTGTATATTTGCCACATTTTCTTAATCCAGTCTATCATTGTTGGACATTTGGGTTGGTTCCAAGTCTTTGCTATTGTGAATAGTGGCGCAATAAACATATGTGTGCATGTGTCTTTATAGCATCATGATTTATAATCCTTTGGGTATATACCCAGTAATGGGATGGCTGGGTCAAATGGTATTTCTAGTTCTAGATCCCTGAGGAATCACCACACTGACTTCCACAATGGTTGAACTAGTTTACAGTCCCACCAACAGTGTAAAAGTGTTCCTATTTCTCCACATCCTCTCCAGCACCTGTTGTCTCCTGACTTTTTAATGATCACCATTCTAACTGGTGTGAGATGGTATCTCACTGTGGTTTTGATTTGCATTTCTCTGATGGCCAGTGATGATGAGCATTTTTTCATGTGTCTTTTGGCTGCATAAATGTCTTCTTTTGAGAAGTGTCTGTTCATATCCTTTGCCCACTTTTTGATGGGGTTGTTTGTTTTTTTTCTTGCAAATTTGTTGGAGTTCATTGTAGATTCTGGATATTAGCCCTTTGTCAGATGAGTAGATTGCAAAAATTTTCTCCCATTCTGTAGGTTGCCTGTTTACTCTGATGGTAGTTTCTTTTGCTGTTCAGAAGCTCTTTAGTTTAATTAGATCCCATTTGTCAATTATGGCTTTTGTTGCCATTGCTTTTGGTGTTTTAGACATGAAGTCCTTGCCCATGCCTATGTCCTGAATGGTAATGCCTAGGTTTTCTTCTAGGGTTTTTATGATTTTAGATCTAACATTTAAGTCTTTAGTCCGTCTTGAATTAATTTTTGTATAAGGTGTAAGGAAGGGATCCAGTTTCAGCTTTCTACATATGGCTAGCCAGTTTTCCCAGCACCATTTATTAAATAGGGAGTCCTTTCCCCATTGCTTGTTTTTGTCAGGTTTGTCAAAGATCAGATGGTTGTAGATATGTGGCATTATTTCTGAGGGCTCTGTTCTGTTCCATTGGTCTATATCTCTGTTTTGGTACCAGTACCATGCTGTTTTGGTTACTGTAGCCTTGTAGTATAGTTTGAAGTCAGGTAGCGTGATGCCTCCAGCTTTGTTCTTTTGGCTTAGGATTGACTTGGCAATGCGGGCTCTTTCTTGGTTCCATATGAACTTTAAAGTAGTTTTTTCCAATTCTGTGAAGAAAGTCATTGGTAGCTTGATGGGGATGGCATTGAATCTATAAATTACCTTGGGCAGTATGGCCATTTTCATGATATTGATTCTTCCTACCCATGAGCATGGAATGTTCTATGTGTTTGTATCCTCTTTTATTTCATTGAGTAGTGGTTTGTAGTTCTCCTTGAAGAGGTCTTTCACATCCCTTGTAGTTGTATTCCTAGGTATTTTATTCTCTTTGAAGCAAACGTGAATGGGAGTTCACTCATGATTTGGCTCTCTGTTTGTCTGTTATTGGTGTATAAGAATGCTTGTGATTTTTGCACATTGATTTCGTATCCTGAGACTTTGCTGAAGTTGCCTATCAGCTTAAGGAGATTTTGGGCTGAGACAGTGGGGTTTTCTAGATATACAATCATGTCATCTGCAAACAAGGACAATTTGACTTCCTCTTTCCCTAATTGAATACCCTTTATTTCCTTCTCCTGCCTGATTGCCCTGGCCAGAACTTCCAACACTCTGTTGAATAGGAGTGGTGAGAGAGGGCATCCTTGTCTTGTGCCAGTTTTCAAAGGGAATGCTTCCAGTTTTTGTCCATTCACTATGATATTGGCTGTGGGTTTGTCATAGATAGCTCTTATTATTTTGAGATATGTCCCATCAATACCTAGTTTATTGAGAGCTTTTAGCACGAAGGGTTGTTGAATTTTGTCAAAGGCCTTTTCTGCATCTATTGAGATAATCATGTGGTTTTTGTCTTTGGCTCTGTTTAATATGCTGGATTACATTTATTGATTTGCGTATATTGAACCAGCCTTGCTTCCCAGGGATGAAGCCCACTTGATCATGGTGGATAAGCTTTTTGATGTGCTGCTGGATTCGGTTTGCCAGTATTTTATTGAGGATTTTTGCATCGATGTTGATCAGGGATATTGGTCTAAAATTCTCTTTTTTTGTTGTGTCTCTGCCAGGCTTTGGTATCAGGATGATGCTGGCCTCATAAAATGAGTTAGGGAGGATTCCCTCTTTTTCTATTGATTGGAATAATTTCAGAAAGATGGTACCAGCTCCTCTTTGTACTTTTGGTAGAGTTCGGCTGTGAATCCATGTGGTCCTGGACTTTTTTTAGTTGGTAGGCTATTAATTATTGCTTCAATTTCAGACCCTGTTATTGGTCTGTTCAAGGGTTCAACTTCTTCCTGGTTTAGTCTTGGGAGAGGGTATGTGTCGAGCAATTTATCCATTTCTTCTAGATTTTCTAGTTTATTTGCATAGAGGTGTTTATAGTATTCTCTGATGGTAGTTTGTATTTCTGTGGGATCGGTGGTGATATCCCGTTTATCATTTTTTATTGTGTCTATTTGATTCTTCTCTCTTTTCTTCTTTATTAGTCTTGCTAGTGGTCTATCAGTTTTGTTGATCTTTTCAAAAAAAACAGCTCCTGGATTCATTGATTTTTTTGAAGGGTTTTTTTGTGTCTCTATTTCCTTCAGTTCTGCTCTGATTTTAGTTATTTCTCGCCTTCTGCTAGCTTTTGAATGTGTTTTCTCTTGCTTCTCTAGTTCTTTTAATTGTGATGTTAGGGTGTCAATTTTAGATCTTTCCTGCTTTCTCTTGTGGGCATTTGGTGCTATAAATTTCCCTCTACACACTGTTTTGAATGTGTCCCAGAGATTCTGGTATGTTGTGTCTTTGCTCTCATTGGTTTCAAAGAACATCTTTATTTCTGCCTTCATTTCGTTATGTACTCAGTAGTCATTCAGGAGCAGGTTGTTCAGTTTCCATGTAGTTGAGCGGTTTTGAGTGAGTTTCTTAATCCTGAGTTCTAGTTTGATTGCACTGTGGTCTGAGAGACAGTTTGTTATAATTTCTGTTCTTTAACATTTGCTGAGGAGTTCTTTACTTCCAACTATGTGGTCAATTTTGGAATAGGTGTGGTGCTGAAAAGAATGTATATTCTGTTGATTTGGGGTGGAGAGTTCTGTAGATGCATCAACTAACAAGCAAAATAACCAGCTGGCATCATAATGACAGGATCAAATTCACACATAACAATATTAACCTTAAATGTAAATGGGCTAAATGCTCCAATTAAAAGACATAGACTGGCAAATTGGATAAAGAGTCAAGACCCATCAGTGTGCTGTATTAAGGAAACCCATCTCATGTGCAGAGACACACATAGGCTCAAAATAAAGGGATGGAGGAAGATCTACCAAGAAAATGGAAAACAAAAAAAGGAAGGGGTTGCAATCCTAGTCCCTGATAAAACAGACTTTAAACCAACAAAAATCAAAAGAGACAAAGAAGGCCATTACATAATGGTAAAGGGATCAATTCAACAAGAAGAGCTAACTATCCTAAATATATATGCACCCAATACGGGAGCACCCAGATTCATAAAGGAAGTCCTTAGAGACCTACAAAGAGACTTAGACTCCCACACAATAATAATGGGAGACTTTAACACCCCACTGTCAACATTAGACAGATCAATGAGACAGAAAGTTCACAAGGATATCTAGGAATTGACCTCAGCTCTGCACTAAGTGGACCTAATAGACGTCTTGTGCTGGTTTTCAAAGGGAATGCTTACAGTTTTTGGTCATTCAGTATGATATTGGCTGTGGGTTTGTCATAAAAAGCTCTTATTATTTTGAAATACATTCCATCAATACCTAGTTTATTGAGAGTTTCTAGCATGAAGCGCTGTGGAATTTTGTTGAAGGCCTTTTCTGCATCTATTGAGCTGATCATGTGTTTTTTGTCATTGTTTCTGTTTGTGATGAATTACGTTTATTGATTTGCGTTTGTTGAACCAGCCTTGCATCCCAGGGATGAAGCCGACTTGATCGTAGTGGATTAGCTTTTTAATGTGCTACTGGATTAGGTTTCACAGTATTTTATTGATGATTTTTCTATCGATGTTTATCAGGGATATTGGTCTAAAATTCTCTTTTTTTGTTGTGTCTCTGCCAGGTTTTGGTATCAGGATGATGCTGGCCTCTTAAAATGAGTTAGGGAGGATTCCCTCTTTTTCTATTGTTTTGAATAGTTTCAGAAGGAATAGTACCTGCTCCTCTTTGTACCTCTGGTAGAATTCGGCTGTGAATCTTTCTGGTCCTCGACTTCTTTTGGTTGGAAGGCTATTAATTATTGCCTCAATTTCAGAACTTGTTATTGGTCTATTCAGGGATTTGACTTCTTCCTGGTTTAGACTTGGGAGAGTGTATGTGTCCCAGAATTTATCCATTTCTTGTAGATTTTCTAGTTTATTTGCATAGAGGTGTTTATAGTATTCTCTGATGTTAGTTTGTATTTCTGTGGTATCAGTGGTGATATCCCCTTTATCATTTTTTATTCTGTCTATTTGATTCTTTTCTCTTCTTTATTAGTCTTGCTAGCAGTCTATCTATTTTGTTGATCTTTTCAAAAAACCAGCTCCTGGATTCATTTTTTTGAAGGCGTTTTCGTGTCTCTATCTCTTTCAGTTCTGCTCTGATCTTAGTTATTTCTTGTCCCTGCTAGCTTTTGAATTTGTTTGCTCTTGCTTCTCTAGTTCTTTTAATTGTGATGTTAGGGTGTCAATTTTAGATCTTTGCTGCTTTCTCTTGTGGGCATTTAGTGCTACAAATTTCCCTCTAGGCAGGGCACAGTGTCTCATGCCTGTAATCCTGGTACTTTGGGAGGCCAAAGTGGGCAGATCACGAGTTCAGGAGATTGAGACCATCCTGGCTAACATGGTGAAACCCTGTCTCTACTAAAAATACAAAAAAATTAGCTGGGCATGGTGGTAGGCGCCTGTAGTCCCAGCTACTCGGGAAGCTGAGGCAGGAAAATGGCGTGAACTTGGGAGGCAGAACTTGCAGTGTGAGCTGGGATCGTACTGCTGAACTCCTGCATGGAGGCGACAGAGCAAGACTCTGCCTCAAAAAAAAAAAAAAAAAAAAGTACCTCTAAACACTGCCTGAAATATGTCCCATAGATTCTGGTACGTTGTCTTTGTTCTCATTGGTTTCAAGGAACATCTTTATTTCTGCCTTAATTTTGTTATTTACCAAGTAGTCTTTCAGGAGCAGGTTGTCCAGTTTCCATGTAGTTGTGTGGTGCAGTTTTGAGTGAGTCCTTTTTTTTTTTTTTTTTTTTTTGAGATGGAGTTTCCCTCTTGTTGCCCAGGCTGGAGTGCAATGGCGTGATCTCAGCTCACTGCAACTTCTGCCTCCTGGGTTCCAGTGATTCTCCCACCTTGGCCTCCCGAGTAGCTGGGATTACAGGCATGTGCCACCATGTCCAGCTAAGTTTTTTTTTTTTTTTTTTTTTATTATTATTATTAGAGATGGGGTTTCTCCACATTGGTCAGGCTTGTCTCGAACTCCCGACCTCAGGTGATCTGCCTGCCCCGGACCTCCCAAAGTGCTGGGATGACAGGCGTGAGCCACTGCGCTTGGCCATTGAGTGAGTTTCTTAATCCTGAGTTCTAATTTGATTGCATTGTGGTCAGAGAGGCCGTTTGTTATGACTTCCATCCTTTTGCATTTGCTGAGGAGTGTTTTACTTCCAATTATGTGGTTAATTTTAGAATAAGCATAATGAGATGCTGACAAGAATGTGTATTCTATTGATTTGGGGTGGAGAGTTCTGTAGATGTCTATTAGGTCTGCTTGGTCCAGATCTGAGTTCAGGTCCTGAATATCCTAGTTAATTTTCCGTCTCATTGATCTGTCTGATATTGACAGTGGAGTGTTAGACTCCCACACAATAATATGGGAGATTTTAAGTCTCTTTGTAGGTCTCTAAGAACTTGCTTTATGAATCTGCGTGCTCCTGTATTGGGTGCTTATATATTTAGGATAGTTAGCTCTTGGTGAATTGATCCCTTTACCATTATGTAATACCTTTCTTTGTCTCTTTTCATCTCTGTTGGTTTAAAGTCTGTTTTATCAGAGACTAGGATTGCAACCCCTGCCTTTTTTTGCTTTCCATTTTCTTCGTTAATATTCCTCCATCTGTTTATTTTGAGCCTATGTGTGTCTTTGCACATGAGATGGGTCTCCTGAATACAGCACACTGATGGGTCTTGACTCTTTATCCAATTTGCCAGTCTGTGTCTTTTAATTGGGGCATTCAGTCCATTTACGTTTAAGGTTAATATTGTTATGTGTGAATTTGATCCTGTCATTATGATGCTAGCTGGTTATTTTGCTCATTAGTTTATGCAGTTTCTTTGTAGTGTTGATGGTCTTTACAATTTTTTTTTTTTTTTTGAGATGGAGTCTTGCTCTGTTGCCCAGGCTGGAGTGCAGTGCTGCAGTCTCGGCTCACTGAAAGCTCCACCTCCTGGGTTCACGCCATTGTCCTGCCTGACCCTACCAAGAAGCTGGGACTACAGACGCCTGCCACCATGCCCGGTTAATTTTTTTGTATTTTTAGTAGAGATGGGGTTTCACTGTGTTAGCCAGGTTGGTCTCGATCTCCTGACCTCGTGTTCTGCCTGTCTCAGCCTTCCAAAGTGCTGGCATTACAGGTGTCAGCCACTGCACCTGGCCACAATTTGGTATGTTTCTGCAATGGCTGGTACTGGTGGTTCCTTTCCATGTTTAGTGCTTCCTTCAGGAGCTCTTGTAAGGCAGGCCTGGTGATGACAATATCTCTCAGCATTTGCTTGTCTGTAAAGGATTTTATTCATCCTTTGCTTATGAAACTTAGTTTGGCTGGATATGAAATTCTGGTTGAAAATTCTTTTCTTTAAGAATGTTGAACATTGGCCCCACTCTCTTCTGGCTTGTAGGGTTTCTGCAGAGAGATCCACTGTTAATCTGATGGGCTTCCCTTTGTGGGTAGTCTGACCTTTCTCTCTGGCTGCCCTTAAGATTTTTTTCCTTCATTTCAACCTTGGTGAATCTGATGTTAATGTGTCTTGGGGTTGCTCTTCTCCAGGAGTATCTTTGTCGTGTTCTCTGTATTTCCTGAATTTGAATGTTGGCCTGTCTTGCTAGTTTGGGGAAGTTCTCCTGGATAATATCCTGAAGAGTATTTCCCAACTTGGTTCCATTCTCCCCGTCACTTTCAGGTACACTAATCGAACTTAGATTTGGTCTTTTCACGTAGTCCCATATTTCCTGGAGGCTTTGTTTGTTCCTTTTCATTCTTTTTTCTGTGATCTTGTCTTCTCACTTTATTTCATTTCGTTGATCTTTAATCTCTGATATCCTCTCTTCCATTTGATCGATTCGGCTATTGATACTTGTATATGCTTCACGAAGTTCTCATGCTGTGGTCTTCAGCTTCATCAGGTCATTTATGTTCTTCTCCACACTGGTTATTCTAGTTAGCAATTCCTCTAACCTTTTTTCCAGGTTCATAGCTTCCTTGCTTTGGGTTAGAACATGCTCCTTTAGCTCAGAGGAGTTTGTTACCCACCTTCTGAAGCCTACTTCTGTCAATTCATCAAACTTATTCTCTGTCCAGTTTTGTTCCCTTGCTGGCGAGGAGTTGTGATCCTTTGGAGAAGAAGAGGCGTTATGGCTTTTGGAATTTTCAGCCTTTTTGCGCCAGTTCCTTCCATCTTCATGGATTTCTCTACCTTTGGTCTTTGATGCTGTTGACCTTCAGATGGGGTTCTGGTGTGGATGTCCTTTTTGTTGATGTTGATGCTATTGCTTTCTGTTTGTTAGTTTTCCTTCTAACCATCAGGCCCCTCTGCTGCAGGTCTGCTGGAGTTTGCTGGAGGTCCACTCCAGACCCTGTTTGCCTGAGTATCGCCAGCGGAGGCTGCAGAACAGCAAAGATTGCTGCCTGTTCCTTCCTTTGGAATCTTCATCCCAGAGGAGCACCCACCAGATGCCAGCCAGAGCTCTCCTGTATGAGGTGTCTGTTGTCCCCTACTGGGAGGTTTCTCCCAGTCAGGATACACCAGGGTCAGGGACCCAGTTGAGGAGGCAGTCTGACCCTTAGCAGAGACTTGAGTGCTGTGCTGGGAGATCTGCTGTTGTCTTCACAGCCGTCAGGCATGAGCGTTTAATTCTGCTGAAGCTGCACCCACAGCCGCCCCTTTCCCTGGGTGCTCTGTCCCAGTTAGATGGGGGTTTTATCTACAAGCCCCTGACTGGGGCTGCTGCCTGTTTTTCAGAGATGCCCTGCCCAGAGAGGCGGAGTCTAGAGAGGCAGTCTGGCCACAGTGGCCTTGCTGAGCTGCGGTGGGATTGCCCAGTTCGAACTTCCCAGAGGCTTTGTTTACACGGTGAGGGTAAAACTGCCTACTCAAGCCTCGCAGTGGTGGGCACCCCTGCCCGCACCAAGCTTGAGCATTTCAGGTTGATTTCAGGTTGATTTCTGTGCTGGCAGCAAGAATTTCAAGCCAGTGGATCTTAGCTTGCTGGGCTCCTTGGGGGTGGGACCCACCGAGCCAGACCACTTGGCTCCCTGGCTGCAGCCCCTTTTCCAGGAGAGTGAACGGTTAGCGGCTTATCAATTTTATTGATCTTTTCAAAGCGCTGGCTTTTGATTACATTATTTTTCTCTGTTTCCTATTTTCAATTGTATTGATTTCTGCTCTAATTTTTATTATTTCATTTCCTGTGCTTACTTTGGATTTGACTGCCTCCTAAGATGGATATCTAAATGATTGCTTTTGGATCATTCTTTTCTAATACAGGCATTGAATGCTATGCATTTCTTCCAGGCACTGCTTTTGCTGCATCTCACAAATTTACATATATTGTGTTGTTATTTTCATTTAGTTTAAATATTTTTAAATTTCTTTTGAGACTTCTTTGTAGATCCATGTGGTATTAGAAGTGCATTGCTTAATCTCCATGTGTTTGGGGATTTTCCAGCTATCTTTCTGTTACTGATTTCTAGTTTAACTCCGTTGTGGAATTGAGAGTTCATACATTGTATGACTCTATTCTTTTACATCTGTTAGCGTGTGTTTCATAGCCCAGAGTGTAGCTTGGGAAGCATGTGTGTTCTGCTGTAGTTGGATGAAGTAGGGTGTTAGGTGTTCATTACAGCTAGGTAACCAGTGGTGCTTCTTTTACATCTGTTAGCGTGTGTTTCATAGCCCAGAGTGTAGCTTGGGAAGCATGTGTGTTCTGCTGTAGTTGGATGAAGTAGGGTGTTAGGTGTTCATTATAGCTAGGTAACCAGTGGTGCTTCTTTTACATTTTTAAAGTGTGTTTCATAGCCCAGAGTGTAGCTTGGGAAGCATGTGTGTTCTGCTGCAGTTGGACGAAGTAGGGTGTTAGGTGTGCATTATAGCTAGGTAACCAGTGGTGCTTCTTTTACATCTGTTAAGGTGTGTTTCATAGCCCAGAGTGTAGCTTGGGAAGCCTGTGTGTTCTGCTGCAGTTGGACGAAGTAGGGTGTTAGGTGTGCATTATAGCTAGGTAACCAGTGGTGCTTCTTTTACATTTTTAAAGTGTGTTTCATAGCCCAGAGTGTAGCTTGGGAAGCATGTGTGTTCTGCTGTAGTTGGATGAAGTAGGGTGTTAGGTGTTCATTATAGCTAGGTAACCAGTGGTGCTTCTTTTACATTTTTAAAGTGTGTTTCATAGCCCAGAGTGTAGCTTGGGAAGCATGTGTGTTCTGCTGCAGTTGGACGAAGTAGGGTGTTAGGTGTGCATTATAGCTAGGTAACCAGTGGTGCTTCTTTTACATCTGTTAAGGTGTGTTTCATAGCCCAGAGTGTAGCTTGGGAAGCCTGTGTGTTCTGCTGCAGTTGGACGAAGTAGGGTGTTAGGTGTGCATTATAGCTAGGTAACCAGTGGTGCTGTTGAGGTCAGCTATGTCCTTGCTGATTTTCTGCTGGCTGGATCTGTCAGTTACTGGTAGACAGGTGCTGAGCTCTCTAACCGCCACAGTGGATTTCTCTTTCTTTGTAGTTCTGCTGGTTTTCGTGTCACTTGACACTGTTTTTAGGCACAGGCACATTGAGCATTGTCATGCCTTTGTGGAGAACTGGCCTCTTTATCATTATGTCATGTCCTTCTGTGTCCTGGAGGAGATTTCTTGTCTGAAGGGTGCCCTGTCTGGTGTTAATGCAGTGACTGCAGCTTTCTTTGGATTAGTGTTAGCATGGTTTACACTGCTCTATGGTGTTACTTTTAATCAGTGTCTTTATATTTAAAGCGCTTTTCTGGTAACAGCATGCTGTTGGGTCTCTTTTTTAAAAAGTCCTGTGCTCAAGCGATCCTCTCACCTTGGCATCCCAAAGTGCTGGGATTACAGGTGCGAGCCACCATACCCGGCCTCCCTCTTTTTTAATACAAAAGTGCTATTGATGGAATGGTAAGGTGTAGGGGGGAGGGGAAGCTTTCTCTTATCCTATGATTGGGTCTCAGTCTTTCAGTGAGCCTGTGCCCTGAGGTCTGATCTTTGTAAATCCTTCCCAGTCCCCCCTCCCCACCCCTGCCTTAGGATGGCTACAGGGGGCTGGCATAGGGTCTTTCCCTTCCCCTAGATATGTCAGACTCTGGCAAACCCCAAGTCTGTCTGTTAGGCTTTGGTAGGATACTTTTACTTGAGGGCCTTTTTTTAAGGTGAACAGATGCTCTGGGCATATTTCAGAATGGCTACTTTCCCCCCACCTGCTGGAAACACAAGGGCATTTTTCTCTGATCTATACCCTGAGAACCTGGCGGGGGGGGCGGGGGGGTTCCTGGGGGTAAAGCTCACAAGGTGTTGGGGGCGTCCTAAGACTGGGCCCCCTAGAGTTTTCAGTCCTCAGGTTTGTCCACGTTGAGCTTCTGGGTTTGTCAGCCACGGGTCAGGCTTCCCCAGCCCAGCACAGGTCCCCACAGAGGTTTCCGTACCTGGGCATCTGCTCAGTGGGTTGTGAGTCTCTGTGTCAGCCTCTCTCATTCTGGGGGAGCTGTTTGCCCTGTGACATTCATTTTGATAAGAATCTACAAAGAATTGCTGCTTTTCAGCTTGTTCCACTTTTTCTTGTTGTGAGGACAGAATGCTGTATGAGAAACCAGAAATTCTCATGCACTGGTCTCTTGGTTTTTAATTAAAAGATTCTATAAATTATCTTGTTATAATTTAAAATGAATTCCACAGTAATTTATTTGTACTTTTACTGACTTCTGGGAAAATAATGTTTGACTACATGAGGATGAAGGTATAATGTTTCAAATGAAAGGCCAAGTAAATTAAAATATTTATTGAAGGGCTATGGGATTAAAAAAGAAAAATATATAAAGCTTTGTTTTCGCTGGTTATAAGTGTATCTTGAAAAGAAATACAGTAAAGGAAAGACATGAAAAACAATGCATGAAACACAGTCCTGATGTGTGCTGGGGGGAGGGTTGTCCTCAAGAGCTGCACTGTGCCCCTGGGGAGACTGCAGAGCAATACTCAGAGTATCCAGGCAAGGAGTGCATAGAAAGAAGGTGCAGAGACATGAGGCAGCAGGATTTCTCACTGAGAGGGGTGAGACTAGCTGGTCACAGGCAAGAGAAAGAAGGGCAGGTGCAACTGATCAAGGAGGTGGAAGGCAGGGAGCAACTGCTCAGAGTGGTGACGTGTGGTCCACCTCCCCGGACTGGTCCACCTTCTCTAACTGGTCACTTCCCCAGACTGGTCTACCTCCTGGACTGGTCCACCTTCTCTAACTGGTCACTTCCCCAGACTGGTCTACCTCCTGGACTGGTCCACCTCCCGGGACTAGTCCACCTCCTCGGACTGGTCACCTCCCCGGACTGGTCCACCTTCTCCAACTGGTCACTTCCCCAGACTGGTCTACCTCCCGGACTGGTCCCCTCCCTGGACTGGTCGCCTCCCCGGACCGGTCCACCTCCTAGACCGGTCACCTCCCTGGATGGACTGGCTTGCACTGCTTCCTGGCAGTTGCAGGCTCACTGGGGACTGGAACCCACTTGTCCTCCTGGAGTTTCATCACCAAGTCCACATCCCACCCTGTCTCACTGGAGCCAGGATCCATAAGGTCCCGTGAGCTAATGTGCGTCTCTTTTCAATGCAACTCAAAAGAGCGTAAAACAACCGTTAACTAAATACTGTAGGATTTATTAATTAAAAACTCATTTAATCTATACCATTTTGCATACATATTAAATCTGTAACCTTAATAAATGTCCATTACTTCTTAAAATATAGAGAAATTGAGGATATTTCAACAATGAAATATATAATGGAGGAAGAGTGTAATTTTTTTTCGGATAAAACTCTTTGGTCTATATAATTTTTCTGAGATTAAAATAACACGAGAATTCACTCCAATAAAAAAGTAAACATTACTTTTCTCAAAAAATTTAATTGCCAAACTATTTACAGGAGGTGAACATCAGCGATACAGAAGTCAAATGGAGGCATCGTCACAGGACGGTTATGGCGGAAACGGTGCACAGTTTCTTACAGTCAGCTGAGAGTGAAAAAAAGTCATGGGAAAAAAGAACACAAATAAAGCAATCCTTAACTGCCTTAAAGGAATGACCAACATTCTGGTAAGTTATTAAGAGGAAGTAAGAAATTGTCGTGGTGATGAATAGCATATTGCACATTCAGATTAGGTATCCTGCATGCTACTAAATAGAATTTATCAAAAGAACCATAAAAGCGTGAGAAAGAGAATGACATAAAATAGTTGAATTCCAGTGAATGACTTTGTACAGATGCTGAATATTTGGCACTCTGCTCATCCTCACACTCGATATGATTTCATATTTATATTTATATATATATTTATATACTTCTTTAAAACTTTAAACAGCTAGTTTCCTGGTTCTAACATTCCTTGAATTTCTATAGGAGGCATTTAATATAGTCCTTAGGCCACACCTGGGTATTTTGGTCTGTAGTATGGAAGGTCGGGGGATGAGTTGTCTCTCTCTGCAGGGAGGACCTGTCCTGCCCGAGAGCGAAGTGGCTTACCGTTCGGAAGGAAGCGTTCGAAAGTAGCCTAGGTCTCACTGCTCGTAAGGGGAAGCCTTGTCGAGTTCAGCAAACGAGTTAAAAAGTGGAGTGAGGGGAACATTCGTGCTGAGCCCTTTGAAAGTGATATGATTGTATTATTTAAATGAGTGGGGCTGGGGCATGGTAGTGTTTTGGGGGTAAATCAGAGAATGCGTGAGTGGCTTCCATAAGGTACCACGATCAAGCTGGGAGCGTCCTTTGTCGTACTGGCAGACACAAGCCAACACACTCTCTAGGGAGACCATGGTCTACTTGAAAGAGATAAATTTGAACTTAAATTTGTCCAAGAAACCTGGTGTCAATCTTTTCATTCATTATCACCTCTCCTCCATTGAGTAGGTGAAAGCTTGGATGCCCAAGGCTTTCAGGTTCTGAATAAGCACCAATGAAAAGAGTTACATAAAATCTAAGAAAGTAGGGAGGTAAACCTCTGTCAACTTGTGTGTGTATATACAAAATCTGTTAAAAAGTAGTTTGATAGTAGGTAACGAACATTTCTTCTGCAAAGAAGTCATCTGTTAAGTGTTTACATTGAAACTTGAAATAATTTATTTTAACACTGGATAAAAACGCCAGGGTTAGGACAGCAATTCATAAAATTGTGGACATTTTTCAATGTGGCAAGGATGAAAGACGGCTGTTTCCCGGAGCTTTCCCACGGACCACCTCTGCCTTCTCTCAAGTGCGAAGTAGAAAAATTACAAACGCCTGGAATTAGAGGGGTGGGCTTCTCAAACCCTTGCGTGGTTTGAGTCAGTGTGTCTGATTTCGTTCCTGATGTTTCCCCACCCATGCGGTTTTCGGCTTCCAAATAATTTTTTTTCCTTCATCATTTTAATGTTTAGTTTATCTCCTCATTTCATCTAAGAGGCGATTGAGCTTAAGTAATGGTGAAAACGTGGCCTAATTCTGGTTGGTGCTGGGTTCTTGTTCTTGGAAGCATCTAGAAACAGTTGAAAGCCAGAAGCTAAGGAGAATGGCCCTTGTAGTTATTTCTGCATTTCCAAACCTTTCCAAAGACAGTCTCATGGCCTCTGCCTCTGGTGGTCCCTGATTATCTCTGAGATGTTTACGACCAGCCTGGATTCTGGCAGCGTGCCCTGCAGAGCTGGGAGGGCGGCATTCTAGAAGAGGCCAGGGACTAATCCTTAGCAGTAACGCACACTTTCACCACCTGTTCCCAGGAGCTCAAAGGACTTTAGAGCCAATATGTCATTAATCCTCACAGTGTGTCCTGGAGGAAGACAGGGACAGGAACTGTAATCCCCTTTCTAGAGGAAAAAAACTGAGACATAAACTTGAGATGAGTTGCCGGCTGAGGATGAATAAAAGCCAGGTTGCCTAACAGCCTAGAGATTCCTAGCAATATCTCCTTCATTTCCAGAACATTCTGCTGCCACCCTGCACTGGGGGACATTCAGCCGAATGTGTAGAAGCAAACCCTTTCCTTTAGCACTTTGTTTATGGCCAACAATGTATTGCAACTCCCAACTAATAGCGACAAGATGGGGCTCCTGCAGGGAAGCCATGGGCTCTGAGCTGACCTTATGTGGTGTGTGTCATGGCTGCCACATGGCCCTGAATGAAGCACACTGCATTGACCCAGCCCACAGAGTTACAGATCCTAATCAGAAAGGGGTCATCTTTTTCACCTCTTAAGCTCGTGGTTTTCTATTTTAAAGTTTTGGAAACTTGTATTCAACCCACGCCTACAGAGAAGTGTAAACAGACATGCAGATCAAAACAAGAGAACCCTGGAACATTCCCAGGGGCTGTCGTCTGAAAACTGCAGTTTTAAATTAGCCTGTTAAATTTGCAGCTAAAAAAAAAAATGAAGTTCAGGCTTGAGAAGAAGAGGGCTGGGAAATGAGCAGGCAGGAACCATGTGGAGTTTAGTTATTTCGGCCCGTGTTGGAGAAGCGTGTTTCTGTGCTCACAGGTGGGGCAATTTCAGTTTTCAGTGTGGGCCAAAGGCAGTATCCAGGGGCCCTCCCCGAACCAGCGCTGTTTTGGACAATGCTTTTATGTCCGTACCAGCGCACACCCTCTCACACATTTCCCGCTGCCTTTCCCAGGTTCGTGGGGGGCCCTGTCATCAAGGGTGGCCCTGCTGGTGACTGGGGTACCCAGGCTGACTCAGCCACGGCACGGGGGCCTCCTGTCCACTGAAACACCCCGGGGAACCTGCCAGAATTCCAAGCAAGGCTGACTGATGAAACGCAGCGGAAACAAAAGCTGCATCTCCCAGGAGGTCCCCTGGCCCCTTCATGCTCAGGACCACAGGAGGCTTGGCTTGATGGAATTGCTGCCGATAGAAAAGGCCTTCCTGAGGGAGACTTGGACCCACCTCCCCCACTCCCTACTCGCCCCTCGAAGGTTTGGCACAAACCAGACAACTGTCCCTAACAGAGCTCATTCCACAGTTACCACAGGCGCTGCAAACACAGGCCTGCAGTATCCCTTCACTTTCCTGTGAAATTCCATCCTGGACTCGGGTAGCGATGCTTACAAGGATCTAACAAAAACAGAGATGCGCGAATTTACGGATGCAGGGCCTTCTAATGAAAGGGGTGGAAACGGTGGCTGCTTAATATGGCATCGAAAAGGCAAAAATCAAGACAAGGACATATGCTCCAAGAGAAATAATCAGAACCTGTGCACATGTGTGCTCTGCCACTGTGTCTTCTAATAATAAACCTGGCCACTTTCATAAGAAGCAGCAGGGAAAAATTCCCTCTGCGTAGTAGGTCACTGAGTTTGTAGGCTTTTTTTTTTTCTTTTAAAACCAGATAACCTTACAGGTAATTATATTTTTATCTGACCATTTACCTTTCCATTAAGTGCTTGAAGTTTTTAGAATTGATTTGGAGTTGAAAACATCAACATTTCCTTTTAAACAAAACTGTAATTTTTTTGGTATCATAAACAGTTCAATTTTTTTATATACCATTCTAAGATGGTGATATAAATTTGCTGAGAAAACTATGGTAAAAATTGTCATCGATAACAACTAGTTTTACTTCAAACACAACAACACGTGAAGATGCGAGAGACGCATCACAAGGAAAGCACTCTAGGTGACAAGCAGCATTCTCCTTTCCCGGGCTAAACGCTAGGTCCTGTTTATCATACTTGTGTTTTATTAACCACAGCCTTCAACACAGCAGGATCAACCTGTCGGCTCTAAGGAGAGTGTCTGGGTTTCACCTGTCATTGGCTGTATCATTAGGGAATGTAGGTATGGGGTTATAGTGAACATCACACTCTCTAGGATGATGTTCCTAGAACAGCACAATAATTTTCAGCCGTGTTCTCCAATGGATGTTTACTCTTTTCTTGAAGTTATATTTTAAATATGACGAAATGGTCACACGTCGTGAGCTCCATGGCATGATCTGCTAGAAGTGGCTGAAATAAGCTAGCTCGAGTGACTAACACAAGTATCATAAACAGTTTTATTTTTCTTTACATGTACAATACAGAAACATGGCTTATCTTCTGCGTTTCATGGTAGAATGTCACCTGCATGAGAACTGAGTATATTGCACTTGATTATGTAACACGGACAGGTAACATTCCATCAGGTCTAGCAGCAGGTATCCGTTCTACCATTAAATCATCTTCTTTGGAACATGGCGGACCAGGCAGGGCGTGTGCACATTCACCACGTCGAGTCACCAACCCTGTGCAATGTAGTGGTAGGTTAATCTGCTCCCCTAGGGATGGTTTAGGCCAAGACTTTTGGGGATTGAAAAATAACAATGAGTCTACAAAACATAAGAAATCAACCTACATGCAGTGAACATTTTCTTTTAAGCAGGGATCATAGAATCTGGGATCTGAGACAAATAATTATTGACTACTTTAACAGTTTGCTTTTCTATGTTTTGTATAAGCTCAAGGAAATGAGTTAAACGTATCAGCTGCCAGTAGATAGACCAATGTGAGGAGGTGGCGGGCCTTTATCCACATTACATTTCCTTTCACTCAGAGTGTACACTGACTTTGCTTTTCTGTGGTTACTTCTAAACAGCAGAGTTCATCTGAAATCATACAGCATTTTTAAAGTCTAAAATGCCAATACTCGCAAATACATTTGTTTTAACATAATAAGAGTGGATATAGGAAGAAGCGTCATTACCGTACACTACTCAAGATTTAGGTATTCATTTAGGTAGAAAAATGCCTTGAACACTCTGGGGAAATAGGATTCATTTATAGAAGAATATTTCAGGGATTTTTTTTTTTTTGCATTTTTCAAGGAGATACATTCGTACTGATTTTTGCTTCCAAATATATTTTAAGGCTGTTTGGTAAAATATATACCAGACATGAGGCTCAATTTACAGGGTTTTGTTTTTACAGGGAATTCTTAACTACTCAGCTTTAAAAAAGTAAAACTTCGAAGCTAAACATGCTTTAATATCAGCTCTGCTCCCAATGGTCCCATGCTCAGTGGGATGTGGGGAATGAGGCAGGGAGACACCGCAGCTCTGGAGGGCGCGCTGGGGGCCAACCGCACATCGAACGCCCTGCCAGCCACGGGCTGCAGAGGGGCTGGGGACATTGTAAAGTGCAAATCAAGGCGAAGAAACAAAGTGCTATGGGGTCATCGAAAGCTATTCTGCCTGTGGCTAAGTACATGGTACTCCTTAAGCCGGGAAGGAAGACCAGGTATTGGGGTGGAAACATCTTAAATCGCAGTCCGCTTTTACTTTGAGTAATAATGAGAACTCTGAAACTGGAACCCATGGAAAAATCGGACAGGCTTTTCCTTTGAAGACCGGTCTGAACTGTGAAACAGAAGTCGTGTCAGAACAATGGTTGCAGCAGCTAAATTTAATTATATACACAGAAAGCCTATTAATTAGAGTCGTTCCTATTTTCCTCTGGCACCGACCACAGAGTCATGAACACCAATTTTTTTTTTGAATGCTACAGCTGGAAATCACAATATGTGACCTCTTTTTCCCTTCATGTCTAACACAGGCAAGGAATATATTCTCGACTTTAGCAATACTGCATAGGACAAAAGAATTCTGGAAAAATACAAATGTAAACTACATTTCTTCTTTACCATTTAAACTGAGATATACTTACCACTCACATTCATATTTCTTAAACTTTTTACATCACAACTGTCATTTTAAACAAGCAAACTTTTGTTTTTCGTGTGTGTTTTTTTTTAAGGATACCCTGAAAAGTCAGCTGATAGAGCAATTTGAGAATATATATATATACATACATTAAAAAAATCACATGTAGCGTAAATGGTGAAACTTAAAGAAAATACTGGGTGTCGTATTTTAAGTTAGAAAGAAATAAAAAATACAATAACTGTTTACAAGTAAGGACATTGTTTTCCTTTTAAGCTCCCAGCCCTCCGTAAGACTCTCCTCTCTGCGCGTGACTTCCTGGTGGGAACACTCAGCTTATCTTTTGAATGTGTAGATGCTGCGCTGGGTATTTTCGTGGGTTCAGACTTGTCATCGCCTGGGATTCTGGAGAACTGTACGGCGGGGAGTGTGGTGGTTGGAGAGGTCGCTTTCCATCACAGGAAGCTTGACACAAGGAGCCTCGTGTTTTCTGTCCGAGACAGACAGGAGCAGGGGAGCGGAGCGGCCCGTGCTCAGGGAGTAAAAGCTCGGCTGTGCGAGGGGAATGGGCCTTTCTTTCCTGCGCTTCAGGTTGTAGCACCTTCCACTTGGGTGTCTAATGCCTCCAGGGAGTGGTGGGATGCACCCGTTTATAGTTACTTGTTATTCTTACCTCTAATTATCACACAATTTATAAAAATAGAAATAACAAAATGTAAGCTGGGTTCCAGCTCCAGAGGCATTTCTCGCCGTCCTCTGAGAACACGCAGGAGAAATCAGGTCTCGCCACACCTGTCCCTCAGAGCCAAGTGTGAGCCAGGCCACCCGTGAACAACAACAACAACAACAAAAGCAGAAGTCGTCCTCGCCGCGAGCTCCGTGGACTCTGAGGCCGCCGGCCGCGTCCCGCTGTGTCCGGGGCGCGGGGAGCGCGGGAGCGAGGACGTGTTCAGCGGGAGGAGGAGACAGAAACCACCAGGGCGGCGCCGCGCTGCACAAGCGTCCGGGAAAGCGGAAGCGACGAGGGGAAGGCGCCGGCCTCCGCCCTCAGAGCCGGGTCTGGGCCTCGGGGATGTAGATCTCGATGCTGTCCGCGCGCTCGGAGGCGGAATTCTGCCGGAAGGACGCCGCTCGCTTGGCGGCCATGAGGCGCCTCCGGGCTTCCTGGCGTTGTCTGTCGGGCAGGTCCAGGGATTTTTCTCTTGTGATGGGAAACTTCCCCTTGGGAGGCTTCTTTGGTATTGGAGGCGGGACCTTTCTTTCTTCCTGAAAAGCAGCGCAAGTCACCGTTGGCAGGTGCTCGGAGGAGGGTCCCAGCAGCTCGCGAGCTCAGCGGCCCTGGGGCCTGGCCTGACCCTTCCCGACCGCAGCCCCCAGGGCCGCATCCTTCACTCCCGTCCCCCGTCTGCCCTGGTCCCCGGCTCCCAGGCCACAGGCCTGCCTTCTGCACAGGATGGGATTTGTGGAAGCTCCCTCGCACTCTCCAAAGGGGGCAGAGGCGTCAGGGGCAGCGTGGACAAATCAGGAAAGAAATTCTGCAGATTCGCACCTTGCGTCTCTGCAGTCACTGCGCTAGTCTGACATTGTCGCCCGATTCCTGCGCTTCCCAAAGCCCTGTGTCATCTCCGAGCATCGCGAGGGTTTTGGACACCATCGCTGGACATCCCTATTCAACACTGCAGGGTTTTCTGCAGACTCTGGGATTCCAGTATGTTCATGAAAACCATCTTACGTGAATGGGTGTGCGGGGAAACACTGGCCCGATTCGCTAATTGGCCTAAAATCCCATTGACGTGGACGATATTTATAAAACCACTATTCACTTGCCTGCTTTGTAAAAAGACGCAAGTATTTCTCACCCTTAGCTCAGACTCTCAGATAAGTCACGCTAAAATACGTGTATGCCGTTTTAGATAAATCTCACAATTATGCAACACATGCAAAGGGTAATGCTTGCACTTGTTCCCACAAAAGGTCTGTGTCCCTAACTCTGCGATTCACATTGTTCCTAAAGACAGTGGGACCTGCCCCGTGATTCACATTGTTCCTAAAGACAGTGGGACCTGCCCCGTCTCCCCTTCTGGACAGAGCCATGACAGGGACTCTCCGTAGCCAGCTGTTTCCTTCCCAGGAAAGGGCACACGGCAGAAGGCGTCAGAACCACTTTCCTAAGCAGATATCTAGTTTTGGGGGAGAAAAACAGGAAAACTCCACTCATGTCTTTTTCTCTTCAGCCTCTGAAAAATTCCAAAGGGAGCCCAGAGGTGCTTGTAGATTGGGGGAAGACAGGCAGTTGTGTGAGTACGGAGGAGGCCTGTGGCAAGAAGCCTGCTTTGGTGTCTGGAACTTTGTTCCCTCGGCTTGTTTTACGTGACTAGGCCAGAAGCAATGACTCTTACCTGACTTCTTGGCATCCATCTAAAACAATGGGGGGGATCAGTTCATTGAAACCTTCAGCTACTTTAACAAGTAATTCCTTTTTTCAGCACATAACTGTCCTCATAGTTCAGGGGATGCCAAGAGAAAAGGAGAGAAGAGGATCTGTTTCCTCTTTTGGTGTCCCCTGAACTGTGAGCCTGTGAGATGTACACATCAGTATTTCCTGTGGGGGTTCCCCAATCAAAGGAGCTTCCAGGCCTGTGGGTGTGGCACTGTAGGAGTGTCCAGCAGATGCTGTGCAGGGCCCATCCCAGGGAATTTTTAAGACGCCGTGTTCAGGAGGGGCAGGGCCTCCTGTTCAGGCACGGAGCCTCTGCTGTGCTGGAGATCTGCTCGCTTTCTGGACTGGCGTGCTCTGCCCTCAGCGAGAAACCATTTCCATTTTCTTTCTTTTTTTTTTTGAGACAGAGTCTCACTCTGTTGCCTAGGCTGCAGTGCAGTGGCACGATCTTGGCTCACTACAAGCTCTGCCTTCCGGGTTCACTCCATTCTCCTGCCTCAGCCTCCTGAGTAGCTGGGACTACAGGCGCCCACCACCACGCCTGGCTAATTTTTTTTTTTTTTTGTATTTTTAATAGAGACAGGGTTTCACCGTGTTAGCCAGTATGATCTTGATCTCCTGACCTCATGATCCACCTGCCTAGGCCTCCCGAAGTGCTGGGATTACAGGCGTGATCCACTGTGCCCGGCTAATTTTGTGTATTTTTAGTAGAGATGGGGTTTCACCGTGTTAGCCAGGATGGTCTTGATATCCTGACCTCGTGATCCACCCACCTTGGCCTCCCAAAGACGTTTCCATTTTGAGAATCATACTCTATGCGCAGCTTGGGTAGATGGGCTCACGTTTGCTCTCAATGACCAAAGAATGGAGACTAGACGGAACCATCGTGTGCACCTGGGCTAACTTCAGTACGTTCCGTTTGAACAGCCTTCTCCCTCAGGAGCATCACTGATCATCTCCTTCACCTCAGATCCAAACCGTGGCTTACACGGACCTGTCTAGTCCCACACATGGGTTATGTGGACCTGCCTAGTCCCATGCATGGCTTACATGGACCTGTCCCATGCATGGCTTATGCAGACCTGCCTAGTCCCATGCATGGCTTACTGGGACCTGTCTAGTCCCATGCATGGCTTACGCAGACCTGCCTAGTCCCACACATGGCTTACATGGACCTGTCCCCTGCATGGCTTATGTGGACCTGCCTAGTCCCATGCATGGCTTACACAGACCTGTCCCAAACATGGCTTACTTGGACTTGTCTAGTCCCACACATGGCTTATGTGGACCTGTCCCATGCATGGCTTATGTGGACCTGCCTAGTCCCATGCATGGCTTACACTGACCTGTCCCACGCATGGCTTACTTGGACCTGTCTAGTCCCATGCAGGGCTTACATGGACCTGTCCCAAGCATGGCTTACTTGGACCTGTCTAGTCCCATGCATGGCTTACTTGGACCTGTCTAGTCCCATGCATGGCTTACATGGACCTGTCCCATGTGTGGCTTACGTGGACCTGCCTAGTCCCACGCATGGCTTACGTGGACCTGTCCCATGCATGGCTTACGTGGACCAGCCTACTCCCATGCATGGCTTACTTGGACCTGCCTAGTCCCACGCATGGCTTACGTGGACCTGTCCCATGCATGGCTTACGTGGACCTGCCTAGTCCCACACATGGCTTACATGGACCTGTCCCACACATGGTTTAAGTGGACCTGCCTAGTCCCATGCATGGCTTATGTGGACCTGTCCCACGCATGGCTTACGTGGACCCTGTGCACTCCCACCTCACTCCCCTGTCGTCTGGGATGAGAGGGAACCTGTGGATCCATTGCATCTGGCCTGGAACTCCACTAGTGGCCAGGGCACCTTCTGGGAGGAGCCGATGATGATGACCACTAGATCTGGCTCTCGTTCTCATGACCCAGGTGTGCATCCTTGCTGGATACCAAACACCACTTCCCCAAAGGATGCTGACTTGATTTTCTTTATCATTTTAATTAATAACATTTGTCTAGAAAAATCCATTTATGGTTCCTCAGGACGTCTTTAAAACGTGTGAGGAAATCTATGTCTTTGCTGCTAACTCAGAACTATCTACTAGTTCTTCTGATGACAGCATCACGGAAGAAGTGAAATGCCAGGGTTCAGATTTAATGGCAAATTTCAGCCTATTTTAAGGGTTGAGGCTGATGGATCTACAGGAAGATTAATTCATCAAACGGTTCAATAAGGTATAAAATGTCGCCTTGCCTATAGTGGCCATACTAGAAGGTATATTGAATAGGAGATAGTCCATAACCAGGCCTAAAACTTTCCCTGTGGGAAGCCAGCTTAATATTTACACAATGAGAACAAGTTTGATAAAGATAATTCATAGGTGAGACCCCTGTCAGGAATGAGGCTGCAGGTTTGCTTGTGATCTTGGCTAGTGTCTCTCTGAAAGGCTTATATAGAAGAGACAGAGCAGGGGAGACCCTATTATTTACCACCCATGCCCAAGGCTTCAATTCTGCCCCATTTTCGGCACATGCACACACACGCACACACATGTGCGTATACACATGTGCACACATACATAGAGGGAAATTTGCTCGTGTGTTGCCAGCAAAAGACTGAGAACCCCGTTGTCATGCTCTATCTGCAGCAGGTCGTTAGTGCAGTGAGAAAGGGGGTTTGCTGGGAGCCGGCCCTGCATGGATGCCCTTACCTTTCTTTCCGGGGACTCCATCATCTTCCAGTCGTTGAGCCGCAGCCGCTGCAGCTCGTCGAACTTCATGCTGACGTCCTCAATGGAGAGCTGCAGCATGTCCCAGTAGCCGGCCAGGTCCTGCGACGTCGGCCTCGGCATGGCGCTGGGGTCCTGGGGACACACACAGGGTGTTCAGAGCCAGGAGAGTCTCCTGCGGGCACAGGGCTGGGGAGGCCACTCCTCCCCACGCATGCCTTTCAAGAGGCGGATTAGGGAGAAGCCTGGCTAATTCCAGCCTGAGGCAGATACTTGGGAAGGCCATGCTTCCATGACAGTTTACTTTAGCACACGTATTTGCTGTCGGCCTAAAAACACGTAGCACAGCTGTTCATTGTTCCACGTTGAAAATGCTGGGAATGGGGCAGATGGGAGAGTTTCTAAATGCTTCACAGCTCATAAAAGCAGTAGGAGCCTGTGTTTTTGGTCACCTGTGGATGATTCGGAAGGGACAGGGCTCCGTGAGCCTGCCGTGGTATTGGCCTGGTGGTGGCAGTGGGGAACCAGCTTGGAGCCCATTCTATACCTGCTTGTTCTCTGACGGCTCTTAGCTCTCGTTCTTACGGTGATGACACCTTACAAATGTAATGCGCCAAGGAACAGGATGCTCTCACCAACCGGCGCCCACACTTAGGAGGCACAGGTGACGCTGCTGGGCTGCAGCCCTGGGCCGAGTGGCCCAGAGACGTGCTTGGTTTCTCTGCCCAGTGCCTGACAGATACATGATTTCCACCAGCTGCCTACATTTATGTATGTTATTTTTGAGACAGGGTCTTTCTCTGTCGCCCAGGCTGGAGCACAGGTGTGATCATGGCTCACTGCAGCCTCTACCTCCTGGGCTGAAGGGATCCTGCCTGCTCAGCCTCCCAAGTAGCTGGGACCACAGGCATAGGTCACTACACCCAGCTAATTTCTTTAATTTTGTAGCAATGGGGTCTGGCTGTGTTGCCCAGGGTGGCCTCAAACTCCTGGGCTCAAGCAACCCTCTTGCCTCAGCTTCCCAAAGTGCTGGGATTACAGGGTGAGCCACCGTGCCCGGCTTGCTCCCTACATTGAAATCTGAATGATTTTTCCAGGTGTGGCTCCCTTGATTCAGTGGGGATTTAAAAGAGTCAGAGGAGGTTCTGGTGGGTCAACATTCAACTGGATTTGCTTATGGTTTCAGCAGTGCACACTCAGCATGCTCAGTGAAGAGCATGCTGAACGGACAGCTCTGCGATTCCTCACCCAGAGCCAGGACCTGGGGCCCCCAGCTGCCCTCCGCGCGGCTGAGCCCATTCTTCTCTGCAGCCACACGAGGGCAGCCTTGGCCACTCAAAGCCCCCCCAGGCACTTGAGGAGCTCCCCAGGAGGGCGGCCCTGGCCAGCGGCTGGGAGCCCGAACTCAGCCTCTGTGGGTGGGGATAACTAAAGTGCCTGGCAAGGAGGCCACGTTCTGCACCGAAGTCAGTCGAGGGATGCCAGGAGCTGCAGCCTCAGGGCAGGCCAGGCCAGGTGACAAGCAGCAGGGGAGGCTGCTCAGAGGCTGTAGGGGTGGTTCCTACCTGGCTTCCAGAAGTCTTCGCCAACCTAAGAACATCCCCTCTTTCTGTAGGGCTGGGCACAGCTGTGCCCCTCTTTCTGTAGTGCCGGGCATGGCTGTGCCCCCTCTTTCTGTAGGGCCGGGCAAGGCTGTGCCCCCTCTTTCTGTAGGGCCGGGCATGGCTGTGCCCTCTCTTTCTGTAGGGCCGGGCATGGCTGTGCCCCCTTTCTGTAGGGCCGGGCATGGCTGTGCCCCCTCTTTCTGTAGTGCCAGGCATGGCTGTGCCCCCTCTTTCTGTAGGGCCGGACATGGCTGTGCCCCCTCTTTCTGTAGGGCCGGGTAAGGCTGTGCCCCCTCTTTCTGTAGGGCCGGGCATGGCTGTGCCCCCTCTTTCTGTAGGGCCGGGCATGGCTGTGCCCCCTTTCTGTAGGGCCGGGCATGACTGTGCCCCCTCTTTCTGTAGGGCCGGGCATGGCTGTGCCCCCTGTTTCTGTAGGGCCGGTCATGGCTGTGCCCCTCTTTCTGTAGGGCCGGGCACGGCTGTGCCTGATGGTGTGGGGGAAGCGGAGTGGCTTCTCCTCCCTCGCCCGCAGCTGGGTGGTCCTGGTCACATCTCCTGGGGGATGAAGGAGGAACATGGCCGGCCACTGTGGCAGAGGCTGCCTGAGAGCAGGCATCGCCTTCCCGTGCCCCCCTCCTCTCCTCGGCAACAACACACCCGTCCTTTGGGCTCACCCAGACCACATGCTGGGGCCGGACGGGCACAGCCTGGCATGGTCAGGGTTTGGTTTTGTCTTCTGTTCTCTTTTGGTTGGGGAGGTGGTTGCATCTGAATCCACTGAACATTCAGAGATGATAAGGTGTTTATAATAAAAAAAAAAAGTCAATGGTTGTGCCATGCCATTCCCTTTCCCCCAGCAAACTCATGCAGGGCCTCTTTCCTTGTGAAATTGCCGTCTTTTAAATTCACACAGCTCTGTGGCTCTGGCATCCGGCGTCCATTGGATAGGAACTTCGGTGCCCCGTGTGGCCTGGGGCAGCTCTCTGTGCGCCGGCACCTGCTCAGGCACACACCCCCCGGGGTTGGATGGAGTTAAAATTCAGAGGCAGGCTCAGTGGGTGTGAATGAGACTAAGTTTCTGGGGACACCAAACTGCTGGTCCCACAAGCACAGCAATCAGGCCACACGCTTTGAGGTTAAGTTATTTCCGGTATTATGTGCCTTCTGGTTGTGTCACAAGCCACCTGCACATCCCGACCCTGAGAGGCTCTGCCCCCCGCGGTCCGTCCCGAAAGGCTCCGCTCCCTGTGGTCAGTCCTCAATCTCGGGCTGGGGTTCTGACATTTTCTAGGGTCGCTCTTTGACTTAAAGCTTAGTTACCTACCAACAACTTCCAGCAGACAGCGGTGCTACTTTGCGCTGCGGACCATTTGGCTTTGATGAGCGAAGCATCTCTTAACAAGTCAACACTCCTCTCCTGCCAGGCCTGTCTCAGGCACCACCCCTCCCTGTACCACTCTTCCGCCCCAAACGTGTCAAAGTGTTTTTCTACTAATCCTGAATAGAAGTTGAAAGAAAAGGATGTAGCCAAGCCAGCTATTTTAAAACTCAAAAGGCATAACAAATATTAGGATGAACAATTTTAAGCCAAATATTAGCTATTTCTGGCAGAGCAGAAAGGAACATTTAGCAGGTCTGAATATGCACCTTGGGCTGTGTGTGGGAAGCTTTGGATGAGCATTCCTAAAGACAGTGCCTGCCTAGGCTCACCCGAGTCTGCATAATGTTACACAGAGTTCGTCAGTGGCCCGAATCAATTCCTTTAAAGGTAATAATCAAATAGATACTATGGAGGAGGCAAGAACGTTCACAGGTGACATGGCAGCTGAATGTTTACACAGTTACAGGCTTCTTTCGAGGCACTCAAAACCTTTCTATTTCCCTCTTTTAAATGATGATTATAACTTTGTCAGAGTGATGTGTTGGTGACTCTTTAAAATCGCCGTGAACTTCAGTGGGGTTGATTGGAAAGTATTAGAGAAGGCATACTTTTTAATGATCCTAAGGAAAAGACATGAGATGGCAACTCTGGCTTGCTTGTGCATCCTTTGATGTGTAAGAATATTCTTATGTCTCCTTGCACGTGAAAAAGCCAAGGAAAACATCATCAAAACACCTGGCACCATTGCTACGCGAGGCCTAGAGAAGACCTATTTGCATTTGACTGAAAATGTTTGGTCTGAAAAGAAATCGATGTATGTATTATAAAACAACTTATTAAGTAGCATAACTATTATTTACTATTTCTCAAAATAGTGAATACTTTAGTCAGCCAAGGAAAAGTATACATGTATGTGTGTAGGCAAATATATAGTATATATAAAATATATTAACATGTATATGTAAACTTAGATATACAGTATATATAGAATGTATATGTATGCATGTGTGTAGGCAAATGTATATATAAAATATATTACCATGTAAACTTACATGTTTTATATATACTGTATATTTGCCTACACACATACTATATATTTTATATATACTATATATTTGTATATATAAAATATGTAGTTAATGTTATATATTTGTTATATGTTAATGTTTAGCATGTATATATAAGGATACATAAGTAAAATTTCATATACATGTTAATATATATGTTTATATATAAATACACCTATATATGTTTATATATAGGTGTATATATAAACATATAGATGCATATGATTATAATCTTGTATACATCTAATATATATGAGATGTATATATGAGCTTTTCTGCTCTGCCAGAAATAGCAAATATATATTTATATATTAATATGTGTATATATATTTATATATAAGCATATGTAAGTATATATTAACATGTATATATGTAAGTATATGTAAATATATATGTGGTTTTTCTTTTTGTTTGCTTGTCAGGAATAACCAAGTTTAACGTCAACTGTATTAATCATCTAGTTCATGGTATATTCGTTTCACTACCGACTATAAAATACAAAGGCTAAATTATTTGCAAAATCTCTTCTTAATCTCTTCATTGTAGTTGTTTATGTATTTTTATTTCCAGGCACCTTAGATCATTTTCTTCATTTGTGACATTAGACGTAATAGAAATTTCCCTTGTTTCTCCTCTTCTAAGATGCTCTGGTGGGGCATCCAGTTGCAAAGACACAGTGTCACGCCGCGCTGCTGCAGCCCGCCTCTTCCTGTCCTCCACTCCCCCTTGCAGCCTCCCTGCCTCGGTACTGCTTAAACCAGGGCCATATCCACCTCCCTGCCTCGGTACCGCGTTTAAACCAGGGCCGTATCCGCCTCCCTGCCTCGGTACCGCGTTTAAACCAGGGCCGTATCCGCCTCCCTGCCTCGGTACCGCGTTTAAACCAGGGCCGTATCCGCCTCCCTGCCTCGGTACCGCGTTTAAACCAGGGCCGTATCCGCCTCCCTGCCTCGGTACCGCGTTTAAACCAGGGCCGTATCCGCCTCCCTGCCTCGGTACCGCGTTTAAACCAGGGCCGTATCCGCCTCCCTGCCTCGGTACCGCGTTTAAACCAGGGCCGTATCCGCCTCCCTGCCTCGGTACCGCGTTTAAACCAGGGCCGTATCCGCCTCCCTGCCTCGGTACCGCGTTTAAACCAGGGCCGTATCCGCCTCCCTGCCTCGGTACCGCGTTTAAACCAGGGCCGTATCCGCCTCCCTGCCTCGGTACCGCGTTTAAACCAGGGCCGTATCCGCCTCCCTGCCTCGGTACCGCGTTTAAACCAGGGCCGTATCCGCCTCCCTGCCTCGGTACCGCGTTTAAACCAGGGCCGTATCCGCCTCCCTGCCTCGGTACCGCGTTTAAACCAGGGCCGTATCCGCCTCCCTGCCTCGGTACCGCGTTTAAACCAGGGCCGTATCCGCCTCCCTGCCTCGGTACCGCGTTTAAACCAGGGCCGAATCGTCTCTTTCCCCAGGGCGGGAAGCCTCTTCTGTAGTAAGTGCACGTGATATTCCGCATACCGATGGGAACTCTTTGACAAGGAAGAAAACAATGAGAATCTGTGGAATGATGCCCATTAGCTTGGTTACAGGGAACAGGGGTTCACTGAGGATTCACTTACCATATTCTGTTGGCAAAGCCAATAAAACTGCTGGAATTTCTGGGACATGAGAAGCTGGGCACTCCCAACAGCACTCCTGATTTTACCGAGAACTGTTTAAAACAAAAACAAAAACAAAAAAACAACAACTTCAAAACTGGGTCAATTACACAAAAGCAGAAACATCACACCAAGGGAGCGAGTCCCACTGGAGATGAAAACTGACGACTTCATCGTGCCGAGCGTGTTCGCTGGTGACTCGTGCCTTAGTGTGCTCGTCCCCAACTCATGAAGGAAATCCAGAGATGACCAGATGTCACTGTGAGGACATTCTCCTTGGGTACTGGGAGAAACTTAGTTTAGAAAGGCGGCCTATACCTCAGGGAGTTTTCCTTATTTTGGCATCGAGATTATTTCAGTGCTGCTGTTTGGATGAGCTGGAAGACACAAGAACACGTGTGAGTGAAAGCAACATCGAGTTCTTCCTATTTTTATGGACTCTAACATGTTAGTGAACTCTTTTAGATGTGAATTCCTTCATTTTTAGAAAAAACACATCCATATGGGTTCTCTCATTGGATTCAATTAAATAATTTCTAATGAACTGTGGGCAGTTATCTCCTGGCAGTGCTGTGAGGTGTGTGTTACGTAGGAAGAGGCTGCGTGGACAGAGGCCTCACAGGAAGGTCGTAGCACGTAGGAAGATGTGGCTTCCCTCCTGGAGATGGTAAAAGGGTCACAAGTTACTGAATATGCTCACAGCTACTAAACTCACCAATCCATGTACCCAGTATATGTGTAATGCTAACGCTACATTTCTGAGTGTGCTATGAGTCAGCAGGCCACAGTTCAGTAGGAAGAATTAATCTACAAATGGTTCCTAATTGCAATGACTTTATTTGGTTAATCAAATACTAATTTTTTTTTTTTTTTTTTTTTTTTTTGAGATAGGGTCTCCCTTTATCGCCCAGGCTGGAGTGGAGTGGCGCAATCCTGGCTCACTGCAACCTCCACCTCCCAGGTTCAAGCAATTTTCTGGCCTCAGCCTCCCAAGTAGCTGGGATTACAGGTGCATGCCACCATGCCTGGCTAATTTTGTATTTTTAGTATAGATGGGGTTTTTCCATGTTGGTCAGGCTGGTCTCGAACTCCCGACCTCAGGTGATCCACCCATCTCAGCCTCCCAAAAAGCTGGGATTACAGGCGTGAGCCACCGTGCCTGGCTGTAAAGTTTTTTAAAAGAATATACTGTATGTGTGTGTGTTTATTTTGTTTTATTTATTTATTTTCTTGAGATGGAGTCTCGCTCTGTCACCTAGGCTGGACTGCAGTGGCGTCATCTTGGCTCACTGCAGCCTCCACCTCCTGAATTCAAGTGATTCTCCTGCCTCAGCCTCCCGAGTAGCTGGGATTACAGGTGCATGCCACCATGCCTGGCTAATTTTTGTATTTTTAGTAGAGACAGCGTTTCACCATGTTGGCCAGGCTGGTCTCGAACTCCTGACCTCCGGTGATCAGCCCGCCTTGGCCTCCCAAGGCCAAGGATTACAGGCGTGAGCCACCGCACCCGGCCCCACACCCTCTCTTGAGTCTGCTGTCAGCATGGTCACCACTTTGTAAACAGCTGCTTTGGTAGATCCTAGCTCACCATGATCCTCAAAACCACACAGGAATCGACTGGAACCCATTTCTTACCAGTGCACCCTGGGCCCACTGATCTCTGCTGGATATTATTTGCCAGAGCAACAATTCACCGTTCTTCCATAGAGCGTGCCCAGTACACGTATGTGGCTTTTCTGTGCCTGGGTCAGCACGTGGGGCCAGGGCTGCCCACCAGGCAGGGGGCAGATGATCTACGCATCTCATCACCTCTCAGTTCACACCACGTCTCCCCATCACTGGCTTTCAGCGTGGGCCCTTCAAGGTGGGGCCGTCTTTCCTGAGCTGGCTCACGGGGCGTCATCTGCGTCTTCTGGCCAAGCTGATGATTCCACCTGCTCTTTTTGCTCTCCCTGGAGAGTCTCTGCAGAGCACAAATCACTAACCTACACGACACACCCTAAAACTGAAAGTGCTGCGGTTTAACTAGCCCAGCCCTTTCTCCTGCTTCCGTTGGAAGGAAGCCATGGGAAGCTGACTCTCCAAGGCTGGTGGAAAATGGTGTAGGAAAAGGGGGCATTTATCCTGGAGATTTGCCCCCTTGAACGCAGAGGCGAGAGATCCATCCCCACTTAATCTGTGGCTTTACGTACTTCACAAGGGAATACCGATGTGCTGGAGGTTTTGCCTAGACACATGCAGGTGCTTGGAGCTCAAGGGGCCTTGCAGACCCACCTGTGCCTCACCTGGGGATCTTGTGCCGGGCATGGCCTGACTCACGGGGTCCGGGTCGGGCCAGAAAGTCCGTTTCTTTCTACGTTTAGGAGATGCCCCTGCTGGCTCCCAGGGCACACCTGACTGTGGAAGCCTAGACAGCCTTTCCAGAAGTCGAAACCGAGGTCCAGGGAAGTGAACCCAATCCTCGTGTAGGTTCTTCCACAACAGCTCTTCCCCCAAACATTCCTTAACAGTCAGTCCTAGAGACAGTTACTGGTGAGATTCATTGCACACGATCCAGAAACTGGCATCCTGCTGCCCAAGCCAGGGTGCTGCAGTGTCTCCTCCTTAGCCCGACTTTCGGGAAAAAGAACCGCATTTCATGGGCACAAAGGGTCTTAATGTTCATGTAATAAAATGCTATGAGCCAGTTGAAAATGACGTTGCAGAGATAACCTTGATTTGAAAGGGCTTATGGCACGCCGTGACCCAGAAGTCAACTACACAGCAGTGTGTGCGGTGCCTCCCTCATTTTTTAGAACATGAAGGTCTGGCAATCTGTACCATGTGTTCTTCAAAGTGATTTTCTCCTGGGTAGGATAATGGACTTAAAAACCTATTTTTCTGTCTTGTCTTATTTTTCTAAAATGAAGATTGTTTTGCTCCCCAAAGTTTTATTATGAAACCTTTCACACATGCAGAAAATGGGAAAGAAGAGTATAACCCACAGCTCCCTCCCCATTCCGTGGAGACGGCAGTAAGTGTTGTCCTGTGTTCTCTCTTCCTGAGGCCTTTACCTGCGACCACCTTGTAGACCCAGGGCCACTGTCACCCCCACGAAGGTGACAATAGTTCCTGAATATCACCTAATTCTCCATTGCTTCTAGGGTATGAAAAAGATGAAAAAAGCATAACTTTTAATAAAAGCAAGTAACTCGGATAACACTTTGGCATTGTTTCTGTCTTGAAAAGAAGGATGGAAGGTTGTCTGTCGGGCATCTTAACACCGGGGCCTTGTGCCGTTCACAAATCCACTTCAAGACAGGCTGCTCTTCCTTGGATCTGATTTACCAGCCAGCCTGGGAACAGAGAAGGGAGGGGAGGACTGGAGAAGGAAGCCAGGAGCCCCTGGCCACATGGCACGGGATGGAGCTGGCAGGGCTCTGAGTTGGGGTGAGTCTGGGGGTGAGGGGAGTGGAGGGGCCGCTGCAGTCGGTCGAGAAGCAGCTGGAGGCGGTGGGGTTTGAGTGGTTTCTTGACAGGGGTGACAGTGAAAGCTCCTCATCCTTCCTGTGCATTCCACTGCCCCCAAAATGAACGTGTTCTGCAGCCCTGGACTCGCTGATGACGAGGGGAGGAATCATCTTTGCTTTTGAAATGTTGAATTTCTATTTCTTTTGTATTCTAAAACCTGGGTAATTAATGAAGATATTTAAAGGGACTATTTTAAGTAAGTCGTTGCTGCAGAAATATATAGAAGTGGATGAATAAATGAATTTATTTTGCCAACTCTATGCTTCCTCAAACTGTAATTTAAAAGTCAATCAGTTTCTTAAAATTTGAAGTTTAATTCCCAATTTTCACATTCCCCTTAAAATGGAATTCAACTGAACTGTTAATACAAAGTACTTCAATTTATACTCTTTAACACAACATGAACACATGGGCAAAATCTTGGTATCGATTTAATGTAGTGGAGAGTTATTATAAAGGGAATAAATTGAATATTGCTAGGGAGAGATAATGAATGTCAAAAAGTGTAGCTAATGACATGCCTGCTAATGGTAGGAGAATTTTGCTGTTCAGTGAGTGAGAATGATCCTATCTGATGCCTATAATGTAAGTAGCTTCCTATAATTGCAAAGAAGTTGAAGTGAAAATTCAATTTATTCTCTCCCAGTATATGTCTCTAATTTTGCCATAGTTTAGACACTTGCAGGAGCTATACTAAGGACTAATTCTCATCAGAATGCAAATTCACAAAGAACCTGCTAGAACCCTTGCCTTCCATGTACAAAGAAATTTGATTAACACACTTGGCTCTTTTATTTTTTCTATAATTCCAATTCTATCTAAATTTGGTATGAAGTAACATAATTCACACTATTCTGGTGTTCTAATATTTGAGATGGATTTTTATAAAATTTGCAGAGAGTCGGAAATGATCATTTGAGTATTTGTAACCCCTGTGATCCCCTGAGATTCCCTTGTAACTAATTTTGTAGTGGGGTCTGCCTAAGCTATGGCTCCCAGAAATCTCCTTTCAAGATCTCGAGCCTCATGATTTTCATGTTTTTGAGCACGTTTCTGTGTGTTTTTAATGGATTTATCACAGTTGTACATATTATTGGGGGCACATATGATATTTGAACAGATGTCTACAGTGTGCTAAGATCAAATCAGGATGACTGGGACGTGCATCACCTCAAACATTTATGTGTGTGTGTTGGGAACATTACAATTCTTCTAGCTAGTTTGAAATACATGATACATTATTAACCATGTTTTCTTACTGTACTATTGTATACTAGAACTTATTTCTTCCACCTAACTGTATTTTTGTACCCATTAGTATGAATCAACTTCTCTTCCTCCTCTCTCCTGTTCCGGTAACCACCAATCTACTCTCCACCTTCATGAGCTCTGCTTTTTTTTTTTGGATGGGGTCTCCCTCTTGTTGCCCAGGCTGGAGTGCAGTGGCGTGATCTTGGTTCACTGCAACCTCTGCCTCCCAGGTTCAAGCGATTCTCCTGTCTCAGCCTCCTGAGTAGCTGGGATTGGGATTACAGGCGTGCGCCACCATGCCTGGCTAACTTTTGTATTTTTAGTTGAGACAGGGTTTCACCATGTTGGCCAGGCTGGTCTCAAACTCCTGACCTCAGGTGATCTGCCTGCCTTATCCTCCCAAAGTGCTGGGATTACAGGCATGAGCCACTGCGCCCGCCTGAGCTCTACATCAGAGTGAGATTACGCAGTGTTTATCTTTCTGTGCCTGGCTTATCTCACTTAACATAATAACCTCCAATTCCATCCATGTTGCTCCAAATGACAAGACTTAATTCCTTTTTTTATGGCTGAATAATATTCCACTGTGAATATTATTCACACACATTACTTTCTTACCACATTTTCTTTATCCATTTTTCTACTGATGGGAACCTAGGTCTCTTCCATATCTTGGCTAACATGAATAATGCTGCAATAAACATGTGGGTGCAGAAATCCCTTTGACATATGAATTTCCTTTTGTTTGGGTCTATGCCCAGCAGGACAATGACTGGATCACATGGTGGTTCTATTTCTAGTTTTTGAGAAATCTCTATACTGCTTTCCATAGTGGCTACTTCATATTCCAACCAGCAGTGTGCAAGCTTTCCCCTTACTCCGCACCTGTGACAGCATTTGCTGTTTTTTTGTCTTTGTGATAATAGCCATTCTAGCTGGGATGAGGTGACATCTCATCGTGGTTTTGATTTGCATTTTCCTGATGGTTAGTGGTGGTGAATCTTTTGTCACATACCTGTTGGCCCGTTGTATGTCTTCTTTTGAGAAATGCCTATTCAGGTCTTTTGCCCATTTTTGAATTTTTTTTTTTTTCTGTTATTTGAGCTCCTTGTATATTCTGGTTCTTAGTCCCTTGTCAGATGGGCAGTTTGCAGACATTTTCTCCCATTCTGTGAGTTGTCTTTTCACTCTGCTGTTTCCTTTTCCTGTGCTGACAAGCATCCATGTCTTTTTATTGTCTGATTTCCCCATGACCATTTAGTTGGGTTGTATGGCAACATCTTCATAGGTGCTTAGCAGAGGCCTGGTCAGTGGGTTGATTCTCTTAGTCTGATCCACAAAATGGACACAGTCTATGACCTGCATCTCCCAGGAGGTCTGGAAGCAGTGGACGTTCCATTAAGCTGTGTGATACATTGACCCCTAAGGCTGGTAGCTGCCAATATGTGCACAGGCATCTGCTGTGCTCAGAACGTCATCAGTATTTCTGATTCCTCAATCTTCTCTGTTGGTCTGATACCACCTGGGCCAACCATGGACACAGGCACAGTTCTCTGTGGCCATGTCATCCTCGTGCCCTGCATGGAGCATGTGTTCTGCTCATTCTCAGAGTCTCTCTGGGCTCTTTGTCAGCTGCTGACCGCTGTGTGAGTGCCAACTGCCGGGGTGCTTCTCCCCATCCAGACCATTTTGTCTCAGCATGGAAGATGGCCCAGGAGATACAAAGTCACACATCTGACCCCGGCTCTTGTGTTAATAGGACTTGTGGTCATTCTGGCTGTAAAAGGAGAACTTAGTGAGCAAATCCCTATGTTCCTCCCAGCATTAGTGTTTGCCTTGAATGTGCATCTGACCCGGTGAACATGTAGGTTATTCGTTACTTCGGGAGGAGTCATTTGGGGCAAGGAAGTTTCCGATACCGTTTGAAAGATCCTGTGTGTACATGTGCTCCCTTGGTGAGTTCTTGATGAGAGTTGCATCTCAATGGAATTATTCAATAAAGTCTTAGCTTGGGAAGGATTTCTTTTGTTTTAGAAAATATGCACATTTTTGATTTTTCCTTTATGTATTTACCCATTTGGTTTGACATAATACAAAAATCTTAAAACATTACTAATGATTTAATATCTTGAAAGTACTTTTATTAACAATAGGCAGCCTGCATTAATGTGACTTTATGCAGACCAGCATTTCTTTGGGTTCACTATAGATTTTATTAACCATAGAAGACTGACTGAATCTAGATTCATTCAATCAGTTCGGGGAACTGTGTTATGAAATTATATTTTGGGCAAAAATTACTTCATATAATGGAAATTTCAATATTCAGAGATCAGAGTTTTAGTCTCATAAGACATTTAATTTAATCTTTATTTTAAAAAGTACCATAACCAATAACCCTGTATCTGCTCCTAAAATTAGGACTGGAAATTAAGGTTATCATCTTACCTTTTAAACATTTAGGGAAATATCTGAACTTGATGAATATTGTGCTAGTTTTATGGACAAAACACACAGATGAGGGGCATAACAAGTGTTTTGACATCTGTCCACAAAAAGATGAAGGTATCTGGGCAATTTAAGAAATTAAGAAAATCACAAAAAGTATCAAGTTCATCCATTCTCTGTTCCTTGTGTTCAAAGTTTATAGCAATGCAGTTACATTTTCTGATTAAAAATTAGCCGGGTGTAGGGGCATTCAGCTGTAATCCCAGCTACTCAGGAGGCTGAAGCAGGAGCATTGCTTGAACTTGGGAGGCAGAGGTTGCAGTGAGCTGAGATCGCGCCACTGCGCTCCAGCCTTGGTGTCAGAGTGAGACTTCGTCTTAAAAAAAAAAGTATATATATATATATATATATATATATATATATACACACATATATATATACACATATATACACACATATATATATACACATATATGTGTATACACACACACACACACACACACACACACACACACACACACATATATATATATATATATATATAGTGGAGCAAAGACAAGGAAAATCAGGATCATTTCAGTGGATGTCTATAGAATGGGAAGTGTTGAAGCTACTCCCAGCCTCCATAACTGAGGATGGCGAGGTGATTCTCTGGGAGTCTAGATGTTCTGCTTTTATAAAGGTGTGAGCAGGAGTGTGGCATCCTGTTCGCTAAGACAGCCCATCCTCCTGCTTCCCTCTCTTCCTCCCCATTCCTATTGTCTGGCACTCTGTGCCAGGCGATGTGTGAGGCACTGTCTGTGGATGATAAATGTCAAATGTGGCCACTTCATTGAAGGAGCCTAAAATCTCAAATGACAGCAGAGGTGCGGAGCTTTAGGCAAGTTCCATCATCCCCCAGGGTATGGGGAATGCCCCGGCCACAGAAGGCTCTGTGAGGTCAGGTAGCACAGACCCTCCCCACAGGCAGGATGAAGGGCAGTGCTGACATGAAGATCTTCCTCCAGAGGAAGGAGACAAAGGGGCCTCTGTTCCCCAGTTCTCTGCCTCTGCGTGGACTCTTGAATCTCCTTTTCAGTCACCACCATCCACCACCTTGACCAAATCCAACCGCGTGTCAAGGCCCAGCACAGTGCCACCTTCTCCAGGAAGCCTTCTGAGAATCTTCCCAGGTGAAAGCATTGCTGAGACCTCTGAGTTTTTAAGTACTTTATCTGTACTTCTCTTATGACACTCAACAGTTTCCACTTCCTGTACCTGGTCTTCTCCCACTGTTAGGTAATCAGTTAGGTCCTTTACCATGTCTTACTCATTGTTGCATCATTTTTGTCTATCGGAGAGTGGCTTGCTTCGTCGTAAGTAATCAATAAATATCTATGGAATGTAGACATCACTGAGAGAGTCCAGAGGAGGATCCTGATGGCTCAAAAAAGGTAAAAAACAAGACAAAACAAAACAAAAATCCCACCACGAAACCAAACATATGTTTAGGGGAATATAATTTGGAGTCAGCAAAAATTAATTTTCCACCCTACCTTACTGAAGAAAAATAGTTTTTCAGATGCCTAATAATAAGGTAAGTGACACTGAAATACTAGATATCCTGGCTGGGCATGGTGGTTCATACCTGTAATCCTAGCACTTTGCAAGGGCAAGGGGGGCAGATCACTTGAGGCCAGGAGTTCACGATTATCCTGGCCAACATGGTGAAACTCCATCTCTACTAAAAATACAAAATTAGCCAGGTGCTGTGGTGCGTGTCTGTAGTCCCAGCTACTTGGGAGGCTGAGGCAGGAGAATCACTTGAACTCGGGAGGCTGAGGTTGCAGTGAGCTGAGATCGTGCCATTGCACTCCAGCCTGGGAGAAAGAGCAAGACTCCCTCTCAAAAAAAAAAAAATACTATATATCCTAAGATTTTGGAATCTTACTGTTGATTTGGGTCCCTATACGTCATCAAATTCAATTTTGTATGTAGTATTTTTATGGCATAATTTATAGAATATTCTGGAATGCCTCCAGTGACAGAAAACCAGGACTTACCATGACAGGGCCTCAGCACTAAAGCCCTTTGTAGGGACTTTCATTCTTGGTTTGAGAAATAATTTGCCTCCTTACAGCTCCTGCCACTTATTTTCCAATGGCTAACGCGGGAGAACCTTGGCCTCTGTCTTCGCAGCTGAGGGACTCTGTGGACCACACGTGGGTCACAGTCGTGGAGGACCAGAATGAGGTGAAGGGTCAGGGATGGGACACACCCTTGTCTGAAACAGCAGGTGAAAGGATGGGATGCACATCCAGCATGGAAGCAGGCAGTGGAGGGGGTGCTTCCCATAAGGGAACTTCTTGACTTGATGCCTTTGGACCGTGGGTGGAAAGGCAGAGCCTTCAATGTCAGAGGGCCGTGACTCCCAGTCCCAGATCACTGCTGGGAAGGCAGAGCGTTCAACGTCAGAGGGCCGTGACTCCCAGTCCCAGATCACTGCTGGGAAGGCAGAGCCTTCAACGTCAGAGGGCCGTGACTCCCAGTCCCGGGTCACCGCTACTATTCTGTGATTTGGGGCAAGATCTTAATCTCTCAGAGCCCCAGTTTATCTGTAGAATGCTTACAATACTACTCACCTAGTCCATTGGGATGAGCATTAATGAGGTCTGCAGTGCATTCGGCACAGGGCCTGACATATCATATGTGTTCAGGGAGAACTGGTCTAGATATTCTTTCTTTCTTTCTTTTTTGAGACAGGGTCTTGTTCTGCAGTGATGGTGAGATCTCGGCTCACTGCAGCCTCCACCTCTGGGGCTCAGGCAATCCTCCCACCTTAGCCTCCTGAGAAGCTGAGACTACAGGCATGTGCCACCACACCGGGCTACTTTTTAAAATGTTAATTATTATTATTATTATTTTTTTTGGTAGAGACAAGGTCTCACTGTGTTGTCCAGGCTGGTCTAAAACTCCTGGGCACAAGCAGTCCTCCCGCCTCAGCCTCACAAAGTGCTGGGATTACAGGTGTGAGCCACTGTGCCCAGCTGAGGATTCTATTTTTTTTTAAAAGATATCTTTTCAAAAATGATAATCCTTGAAAAAATGAAATTGAAAGTATGCACTAAACATGGAAAATGATGACAGGAGAAGTAGTCTCTGTGTTATCAACACAGTAATGGCTAATGTCTCAATGTCTTACACCTTCCAAAGAAGACTACAACTTTCTGAATGTGTCCCGAATGGGATAAACTCAAATGATAATAGGATACAATTTTATAGGCATTTTATGGGCTAAGCCCTGACAAACAAACATGACCTCTTTGTAAATTTTTTCCTCTCTCCTAAATTTTTTCCTCTCTCCTCCTCCTCAAAGGTGTTCTTTTGAGGAAACACATGGTGTAGAAAACACAGCTTGATTGAGTGACATGCAGGTCTCATCACCTGCTCTCATCCTGGAAGGAAGGCACCCCAGCCCTACGCTGCCCCTGTCAGCATGCACAAAACCAGAGCTGGCAATTTAATTTGGCGTCAACTTAGGCAATGCAGTTTTTCTGTGTTTTATCTTTGTGCTAAAGATTATAAATCCCTTTTATAATTAAGACAATTTGGCCAAGTTGAGGCATATACTAACAAGGGTGGAAGATGCTGCAGAAAATGAGTGATTTTTAGATATCAAAATTGTGAAGTTACTCTGTTAAATGTACCCTAACCATGAGAAATGCAAACGCCGTGTGAACGATCGGAACACGGCTGTGCTGACTTGCACCAGCCCCATGCAGCCGTGCTGCGGGGACTGTGGGTCACGTGGAAGGCAGCATCTCCCCAACATTCGGCGTCCATCGTCACCTCCTGTAAAGAATAGGTGGGATTTGATGATTAAGAGACAAATGTGGAAGAACAGGCTTAGTCAATTAAAGGCAATGTCTTTCTTTCTTCATAGGTTCAGACCTTAAGTTTTAACAATAAAAAATCAGCACGCCATTGATTTTCTCAGACTGCCGAGGCTCCAAGGCCGTTATTCTCTGTAAGTCATAGTCAATGTAGTTTCATTGTTGCACTTCTATTTCTAGGATTAGTGAATGCCCTATTAAAACAGCCATCTAGAAATGAAATGTCAGGGACAAATTCCCAAGGATCTCAGCTATCCTTTTGAAGTTCAGCATTTATAATGATCTTGTCAATGTACAAATAAATTCACAGAAAAAGAAAAATACTTAGACCGTAATTTGTCAAGACATTCAGAAATAGCTTTGTGAAATTGTACTGTGTTAAACATAAGCATTAGTTGTAGGTATTGTGCAATTATGTAATTGGTCTATAAACAAAGACAGGTGGTATTAGCTTAGAAGTCAATCAAATACAGCAATTTATAATGGGTGCTGCTTCTGAGCTCTTTTTTTTTTTTTTTTTTTTTTTTGAGACAGAGTCTCATTCTGTTGCCCAGGCTGGAGTGCAATGGCACGATCTTGACTCACTGCAACCTCTGCCTCCCAGGTTCAAGTGATTTTCCTGCCTCAGCCTCCCAAATAGCTAGGATTACAGGTACCCGCCACCACGCCTGGCTCATTTGAATTTTTGGCAGATATGGGGCTTTACCATGTTGGCCAGGCTGATCTGTAACTCCTGACCTCAGGCCATCCACCCGCCTCAGCCTCCTAAAGTGCTGGAATTACAGGCGTGAGCCACCGTGCCTGGCCTGAACGGTCTTGATGGTAGGTTTCTCTAGGCAGATGGGAGAAAGGCGGAGAATAAGGGGCTGTCCCCTTCCATGTGGAGAAGCAGAGGCATAGGTGAGTACCAACGGGACTGGGACAGATCTGCCCTGGTGACACTGGTAGAAGAATGACACGGCCCTCCCATTCCACCCAGGAGTGAGACCTTTGGTGGTGACTCTGGTAGAGGAATGACACGGCCTTCTCATTCCACCCAGGAGTGAGACCTTTGGTGGTGACTCCCGTAGAGGAATGACACGGCCTTCCCATTCCACCCAGGAGTGAGACCTTTGGTGGTGACTCCCGTAGAGGAATGACACGGCCTTCCCATTCCACCCAGGAGTGAGACCTTTGGTGGTGACTCCCGTAGAGGAATGACACGGCCTTCCCATTCCACCCAGGAGTGAGACCTTTGGTGGTGACTCCGGTAGAGGAATGACACGGCCTTCCCATTCCACCCAGGAGTGAGACCTTTGGTGGTGACTCCCGTAGAGGAATGACACGGCCTTCCCATTCCACCCAGGAGTGAGACCTTTGGTGGTGACTCTGGTAGAGGAATGACACGGCCTTCCCATTCCACCCAGGAGTGAGACCTTTGAGCACATCATCACACAGTTAACTAACTTAATCTTTTACTTACCATCGACTTCTCTTTGGCATAATGCCAAGGCATTTTCTTGTAAAGCATGAGCTGGTAACAATTCTAGAAAATAACATAAATGCTGCAAATTAAGTTTTTGCCAAAATTCAAGAGAACTGCTAAGTGGAATATGAGATCAACTATGCTCCCAAGAAAACTGTTAGCACAGTTGATTTTCTATTCAACTTACCTGACAAAACACACACAATTTTCCTTCGATATCGTAGTGACTGCTTCTCTTTTCATGTAATTTATATCTTTTCTTAGAATTGAGGGGGATATACTAGAAAGCACATTTATTTCCCTTCACTTGAATACCAAAGGGAGGAACTTTTCTCCACTAATGCTGTGATGTGCATATTTGCATTACTGAGAAATGATATTTAAGAGGCCCTAGGGAAGCCTGAGCTCTTACTTTCCTCCGAGAGGTCGTTCTCCTCCGCCTCTCTCTCCATCTCTTTGCACCAGCCTTCCATCCTCTTTGTCTCTGCGTGCAGCAGCTTCAAAAACCACGAGCCATCCCTGCGGCACGGAGACATCCTCCCAGTCTCTACCGTGTCGATGGCGGGCTCCAGCCAGGGGTCTGGAGGGGGCAGGGTGGAGGTGTCCACTTGGGTCCGATAGTCTTCTCTATAGCTGAAGAGCCCCTGGGTCCGTACAGTTCTCACCGCGCTGTACTGGGTGGGGGTGCTGGGCTCGGAGTGCCGCTGGAAGGATGAGCCGAACTGAAGGCCTTTGTCCTCCGTGGTGATGTGGCCTGGGAACCCCTCCAGCTCCAGGTCAGCTTGGACGGCGGCCGTGACGCTGTTAGAACGTTTAAAACGTCCGTGTCTGCAAAAGGAGGGAAGGAAGACAGATGGTAGCCCTTCTGAGAGGACTTCATGCAACAAAGTCCTACATGTCGCCTGTCAGGAGCGCACCTGAGCTCAACAGCCTGGCGGCTCAAGGGCAGGTAGTGTTTTGTTTGTGAAATATGCTGGTGTTTTGTCTGTGGAAGAACATTTGGTTTTGCAAATCATTATACTTTAACATCTGCCTAAGTCTCAGGCCTAAATAACACCCACTTGGGATTTAAGTTTATTGAATGATACAATGAGAGTTAACGTGTTTCTTGAAACCACCATTAGCAAATGGCTACCTCCCTTTCAGAAATATGCTACGAGCTTATGCAGCCAAAGCCATGGGTTGCTTCTTTTATGTAAACAATAGTAACATCATACTGAGTTGTAGTGGCTTCCAAATTGTGTTTCAGGGCCTGAGCCACTTCTGTCTGGATAATTTAATATGTCCCCATTAACCCCTGTATGCAAAATAATGACTCCAAATTCTGACTTTGGCAGGTGTTGGAAAATCATTTTCACTGTCTATATTTTAATGTCATCTTTTCCACATAGCTGATCACCAAAATAGTTGATAGGAGGGGGCTTACAGTTGGAGACCAGTATGCTGGGTGAGAACACTGTGAGCGTGTGTGTGCACGTGGGTATGCTCTGTATCGTGTGCCTGTGTGGTGTGTGTGTGTCTCTCTGTGTCTACATAGTCCCAGCTACTGCAGCCATCCCTGTGGCTCTGCAGGCTGAACCCATAGAAGCACACAGCTGTGCATGCAGCTGGTTAGTGACGTTGCCACGTGTTCCCTTTGCTGGGGGCACAGGGAGGGACACTGAGCCACAGAGCAGGATGGAAGGCAGCCTGCCCGGCTCCCAGGTGCAGAAGATGGCCAGGTTCTAGGAGGTCTCTTGGAAACTGGGGAAGCCATAAGCTGGGGTCGGAATTTCTTTGCAATCAAAATCTCCATAGGGTGGGTGCTAAAACGCTCCCTGATGAGGGAGGCCACCCAACACTGTCCCTGTCACACATTGGCTGAGCCCTCACCATGTAATATTCTCATCAAAATTTGTTTTTATGAAATAGACAATACATGCTATTTTAAATATAAACTAAAATGATCGTCCTGCCTTGTTACAAAAATAACACTAATGGATATCACTTTGTATTTTTTGTTTCTAGGTAATATTTTTGAAGTGAAACAATTTCACGGTGTATGAAGGCCTTGAACGTGCTTTGCTGTCTTTCTATCGTTTTACGTGTAACATGACAAGGCGTAAGGCCTGCATTGGCGTCACCCTCAGCCCGTCCTTCTTTCCTTTGGATCAAGGACTCTGACTTTCAGGCCGTCAGCTGCTCTGCTTTCAGAGGTGATAAATTACTTTGGAAAGAATTACTCCCTTGCCTCTTGCAAAAACAAGACATAGGCGGGTGTTAATTCATACTTGAGGGTTATCAATGGAAAAGTATAAACGTATGGCCCTGTTTCCACAAGGACAGGCATGATTGAGGGCCGGCAGGATCTAGGAGCTTCCATCAGGCCTTTGACAAAGAGCCCTCGCTCGGGGGTCACCGCGTGTCAGGAGGGGCTGAGTTACCGCTTCTCATCTTCCACTTGCACCCCGACAGAGTGGTATTCCCGCAGACCGCGGCTCTCCGTGTCAGAATCTGTGGCCGTTTCCACCTAATTCAACAGAGAACGTCTTATTTTAGAACTGAAACATGGGGCCTGGGCAAGGGACTATTTTGTTGTTGTTGTGGATTTGCTGTAATTAATTACGCATTTGTTTAATTAATGCAGCGGTGCACTTGACCCAGTAAAACCGCAGAGAGGGAAATGCATTCACACTGGAGTAATTACATCACTCCTGCGTCTCATCACATTTTACATAACTACCTGAACTCAAGGCTGCAGTTTGGTCTTCTAAATGTATGCAAATAAAACTGCTTAGTTCAGCTCAGGCAAAAAATAGGTGTTGTTGAACTGCATTATAACAGGACTTAAAAGCTCTTATCACGCCCTATGGTGAAGAAAGTACAGCATGAACCAAACACAGCTAATGACAACAAATAAGCGATTTAAAAGACTTATACTGATGGCTGCATCCACGTACAGAAAGACACAGAAAGGAATTTCAGCACTGATCAGAAACAGAGGCAAACTCTCCACCTTCATCTCCATAGAGCTGTCTCACGTCTGCTAAGAGGATGGCCAGCAGGGTGACGTCAGATCAGAACAGAAATCATGTATTCCACAGAGAATTCTGATTGTGGCTGTATTTGCCAAAAAGTCCCCACAAACCCAACAAGCCTTGCAATGATCATCAGCTATGTGAAGTTATCCCACAAGGGAATTCTAGTACAGTACGTTCTCTAAAAAAAAAAAAACAAAACCAAACCAAGTAGGAAAACTGTGAAACCAAAGGTTAGTTAAGCCATTGATATGATTCCAGGCACTCAGTCATTCCTCTTTCCAGAAAAGTATTACCTATTGTATCAAAAGGACTTTTGAGCCCTCTCTGAAGTGTCATAGCTAAGTTATAAAATCTCTCCCTTCTTAAAAATATTACTGATCACTACAAGGAAAAGGTGCAAAGCATGAAATATTTCTGACCCTGTCCCCTGTGAGGCAAGAGAGAGGAGCTGCACGTTAACATTTGAGTTGCCCTTTGTGACTATCCTAAGGTTAAGCCTGTGTCAACGAGGACTGGCTCAGATTTGTGGCTAAGAGAGGTACTGATGGTAACAGCGAAGACTTATTTGGTGCGTACCCTGCGCCAGGCACTAGGCTGAGGTTCCAGCGTTATCACGTGTACTCCACACAATAACCCCAAGGATGTTTCCAGCCCCAGGAGAGAGCTGGCGGATCAGAGGAGGGGGGTGACTTGCTCAGGAGCGCGCCCTGGTTGGGGTCAGGGCTAGGGCTCTTGCCGGGATCTCTCTGACCCCAGAGCCGGGTGCCGCACAGAAGACAGAGCGCGAGAAAACCCTGGAGCTCTCGGCCGCCGCCGTGGATCCAGGGGAACGGACAGAGACGTCCACTTTCACCGGGTGTAATTCTGAAGACAGGCGCAGAAGCGGTCCCGAGACTGGGATGCGTGTTTGCAGAAGCTGACCCTAGACTGGGATGCGTGTTCTGATAGCTGGGTGAGACGGGCTACAGGAGGAAGAACATTCTTGAGTGAAGATCCTGGCCTTCCTGTCAGAATTTACCATTCCCGTTTCTAGTGTTAAGTGGGTCACGACTTTATTAAACCTTACCTTGCTCGACATAAACATGATCAGTGTTATTTTACGCAAAGGATTGTAATACAATTAATACATTTAAAATTCCATGTCTGTACATATGGAGCTGCCTCGTGTTTTAAGTGCAAAGGATTCCATTTTATGAGTATAGCCTAGTGCATTTAATGAGCCTTCAGTGCAGGGGAAATTTGGTTATTTCTAGTTTTCTGCCATTATAAATGATGCTGCTATATAAATACATGTCTGTACTTGTGTGAAAACTTCTCTGAATATATTCACCAGACGGGAGGTCTGGGTCAGAGGTATTTGCACTTTATAATTTTGGTAGATATTGCCAAATCTGATATGAGTGAAATAAATGAATACTTTTAAAGATATTTTGTAAAAGGAACACTCGTTTTTATCATAAAAATGTGGAGAATATTTGTCTCTCTCACTTATTCTATTTCTAGGAATCCAGCCTAAACAAAGGACCTTAAATTCTGACCAGTGTGTGAGGTGTTCATTGCAGCATTATTTATAAAGTAGCACCTGGGGAGAATGAGGGTGATACAGTGGGATAGGAATGTGCAGTAAGTCATGATTTACTTGTGACACGGAATACTACACAGCAGTGAAAACAATGGAGCTGGGCATGGTGGCTCATGCCTGTAATCCCAGCACTTTGGGAGGCTGTGGCAGGAGGATCACTTGAGCCTAGGCGTTAGAGACCAGCCTAGGCAACATGGCAAGACCCCATCTCTACAAAAAAAGAAATTAGCTGAGTGGTAGCACCTGTGGGACAAGCTACTCGGGAGGCTGAGGCAGGAGGATCACTTGAGCCCAGGACACTGAGGCTGCAGTTAGCTGTGATTGCACCACTGTACTACATCCTGGGCAATAAAGTGAGAGAGACCCTGTCTCTAAAAAATAAAGATGGTTCTAAAGATAACCTCAAGAATGCTTATAATACAGACTTTAAAGAACACAGGTTGACAGGTGCCATGGACAACAATGACCAGGGGCATGCACAAGCATAGAGACACTCGCAGTCACAGGCATGTTTGTGTACCATGAAAAAGAAAAATATAACAAAAGTAAAAGGAAGTTTTCCTTCCTTCCTCTGTCTCCAAATTTCCTCTAATATATTTTTGTTATTTTTTATAGTGAATTTGAAAAATACAGTTTTTGGAGCTGGTCAGATTCTGCTACTTGCTGGCCATGCAACTCTTAGGAAACTCTTTTAAATTTTGTTGAATCTTTGCTTCCTTGTTTCAAAGAGGGGACACCCAATGCCTCAGTTAACTGATGTAAAACTCTCAGCCTGAGGCCTGACTCAAGTAGGTTCGTCCACAGCAAATGCAAATTCCCTGTTCTCTCATCCCAGCTTTAAGGACGGTCACGTGAATAGTGGTATGTATATTACATTAAAGGCACACGCATATGATGAACTGTGCAGATTTTACCCTGGCTGTCTTTTATGAAATCTTTCTAAGTAAAATGAAGTTCTCCATTGCTGGATGGTAAAGTCTGAAGGGGACATGGTAAAATCATACTTGGCCAGGAGGAGCTAAGTATTTATCAATTTCAGAAATCCTGGGCATAGAGAGGCTTCATGTGAGACAGAAAAGCAAGTCTGGGACAAAGAAAATAAATTATTTTATACAATGGAAAGGTAACTCAAGAGTCTTTTCCAAAGGAAATTCTGACTAGAATTGCAGTGGGAGCACACTGGCTCACATCTATAATCCCAGTGCTCTGCAAGGCTGAGGGGGTAGGATCACTTGAGCCCACGAGTTTGAGGCTGGAGTGAGCTGTGATTGATTGCACCACTGCACTCCAGCCTGGGCAACACAGCAAGCCCTCATCTCTTAAAGTTTTGAAAAATATATGGGTGCAAGAAAAAAAGATGAATGAGCAAAATCACTGTCCCACCTCCCATGCAGTCCCAGGCTAGCAGCGGCGTCAAAGCCAACCAGCCTCCTCTGAGCCCAGCTTCTGTAGGGCTGCTGAGAAAATGAAAGTGGGCGGGGCTGGCAGCAGGAACCGCTCACTAGTAATACTGGGCCAGGGTGCCAATCTGTAATCTTTGCTCTCCCAACAAGCTCATTTTCCGCTCTTCCTTCAACACCTCACACATAGCAGGGCAGGTGCCCTGAATCTGATGCAAACTCCTGTTTATTTCCCTCTGAGACGTGCTCTGCCTCCCAGAGCTACAGGTGAGTGGCCGGCCCTGCCTGTGAGGCTTTGAGCTCTGGGGCAGCCATGAGGAAGAGCAGCTGCCTGTGAGGCTTGGAGCTCTGGGGCAGCCATGAGGAAGAGCAGCTGCCTGTGTGCCTGGAGAATCAGGCAGACACTTTTATCACAGGCAGGACATTCAGAATGGACAGCCGCAGAGTCTTTTCCAGGCTGCCCCTGCCTTCTCACAACCTGGTGAGATCACAGAATAGAAACTGATCTCCTTGGCTGGGCATGGAGGCTCATGCCTGTAATCCCAGCACTTGGGGAGGCTGAGACAGGTGGATCACCTGAGGTCAGGAGTTTGAGAGCAGCCTGGCTAACATGGTGAAACCCCATCTCTACTAAAAATACAAAAATTAGGCGTGGTGGCACATGTCTGTAATCCCAGCTGCTCGGGAGGCTGAGGCAGGAGAATCATTTGAACTCAGGAGGTGGAGGCGGAGGCTGCAGTGACCTGAGATCGTGCCACGCACTTCAGCCTGGGCAACAGAGTGAGACTCCATCTCAAAAAAAAAAAAAAAATTAAAAATAAAAAACAACAACAAAAAAACTGATCTCATTTATAAAGGTGGGATTCACAAGGCACCAGGGACAGAAGGACCCTGAATGTTAGACCAGGCCTCCGTCCCTCCTAACCGCAGTATCTGGGAGCTGTAAACATTTCCCAGAGTTCCCCAAACACACACATGCACACAAAAGAGAATGGAAAACTTAGCAGGAGAGACAAACCGCAAAGGATAAAAACGAAAGTGAATACACAAATGGTCCAATTGGAATGAAGAAAAGCGAGGTCAGGCCAGACCGGGTCAGAGGACGTCTCCGAGGTAGCTCAGCCATGCCCACAAGCTCTCCTCCTTATCCTAGGACTGGCCTATGAGTGCCAAGGCTGGAGCCCATTCTCTCCTACGGGCATCTGGCCTGCAAATCTGGAGCTGTGATGAGACCTGTCTGTGAGTCCTGCTGTAAGGGCCAGACTCAGGTGGCCGGGGCCAGACATCTGAGGAACAGGGGACTTGCCGCTGGCTTCTGCTCTAAGCTGGGCAGGGAAGGAGGACGGGGGCCATAGGAGGTGTGAGCTGAGGACCCTCACTCATTAGGGATCACGTTAGACGTAGCCCAGTAATTATAATGAGAATCCTGAATTCAAACCCTGATAGTAAAAGGTCATGCAATGCACTGTGAACAAGGGAGTTGCATTGTGGGACAGGACCCCCCACCCCGGGACAGGACCCTCCTGGAGCTGTCTCTCCATGAGCCAGTGACTCACAGAGGGCGTGAGCTCCACAGAAGATGTGTTCAGTGACGTGGACGCTGTTCATTTGTAGGAATGACATTCGCAGAACACAGATTCTCCTGCTATCTGCACTCAGACAAAACTGTGCCCAAAGGTCCCGGAAGCCAGTCCCATTGAATGCTGGTGGAACACGGGCTAGCCAGCTTTGTCTATGAGCTGCAGAACAGCGTGACACCTGCCCTGTGTCCCAGAACAGGAACAGAACCAGGGCAGGCTCCTGAGGGCACGGAATCATTCTGGGATTTTCTCCTCTTTGAGAAGCAGAGCAGAGAGGGGTGGAGTGGAGTGCAGGCTCCAGTCTCGGCCGCTGCCTTCACTCATGGCCTTGGCCGTGAGCCCTTAGGCAAGTCACTGACCCTCCCTGAGCCTCAGTTTTCCCATCCATAGTCTGGGCACAATTAACAACCAGCACACAGGGTTATTGTAAGGATTAAATGGTGCCTGGCAGGGACGTGGCCACCTGTCCACAGCCTGCTCACTCTTGTCCCAGCCTGTCACCTCCTGCCCTGGCAAGGCTGCCGTCTGCAGCTCCCCTCCTGACGCCTCCCTGAAAGAAGGAACCCGTCTTTCATCTGCTCGATTCCTTCTTTTCCTCCCCTTTACTCCTGCAGTGGCTTCAATTCTTTGGCTGTTTTCCTTATCCTGACACTGGAGCTGCTCCAACTACATTTTCTCTGTAGCTTTTCAATTCACTTCCTTTGGATAATTGTGAGACCGCCAGCTCACAGGATGCACAGAAAACACACAGGATGTTGTGCGTTTTTTTTTCTTACTGCCATGAAAGGTGACTTCGTCATCCACCTACATTCCTGTCTTTGCATCCATCCTCACCCAGCACGCACCCAGCGACCCATCCGTCCACTCGCTTACCCAACATTTACTGAGCACTCCCTATGTGCCAGGCACAGTGCTGGGTGCAGGGTGGCAACAGGCTGGGGGTGCAGTTCCCTCTCACAGGACACAGTGTGTGGGGCTGGGGTCCAGAGAGGCCTCCGGGAAGGGGTAAAGGCACAGGCTGAGCTTTGCAGGGGAAGCTGGGGGGATGAGGAGAAGCCTGTACTCAGCAGAGGCTGCCATGCCAGGGGTGGGAGCTGGGAGCGGAAGAGGGCTGACCACGGAGGGGTGTGGGGTCCTGGCTGTGGGCGGGGCAGGAAGCGGCGGCACTGTGCCGAGCGTGCTGACTTAACTGTATGAGTTTCCAAAATTATGTCCCACTCATTTCAGATAAAGTCGGTACTGCACGTGCTTAGAAGTTGGCACTGCCTCAGTCGTGGCTGGGTGGATATCCTGGAGGGCACCTGTGGGAGGTGGCTGAGGAGAAAAGAGAGAGGGTGGGAGTGTCTGGCAATGGGAAGTCACCTGGCTAATTTGGGGGCCTCTCCAGTCTCTACTGCAGACGTGACCCTGGAGACGGAGACGGAGACGGGCGATGGCACCCTAGCTTTCCTGCTTACCGGCGCCGGAGCCCAGCGAGGCCCAGGGCTGCAGGCAGGTTAGGGACCCTGGTGAGCCCCTTGTCCTCATCTAAGGGGGACAGATGGGAGCACCCAGCATAGTGCCTGGCACATAGAATCAGGACAGAGGCGACAAGAGCGGTCGCATGAACATCCAAAAAAGGGAGAGAAAATGAAAGTCATGCGGACGCGGCTTTGGAGCACATTTCGGTACTTACATCTGACCTTGGGTATGGCTGATGCTCTGGGAATTCAGAATCCTAAACAAAACAATGAAGCCACAGTGTGGAGACCTGGTTCGGAGGCCCTGGACCAGCGGGCGGCTCCCCTGCTCTCTCCGCCCGCATGCCTAGCTACCAGCGCCGCACGGGCCCGGCTCTCAGCACGCTCCACTCACCCTCCTCCCTGGGCCGCCCCAGCGGCAATCAAGAATCTGACTGTTAAAGCTCCGAGGAACGCAGGCTGAATGAAGGGGTAAAAGGAAGCAGGAGGTGGGCCGTGTTGGCAGAGGGCTTGACGGCCAGCCCTGCTCAACCACGTCCGCCAGATCCCGGAGGGATGCGCTACCTGACCCAGATCACAGGACAATCTCCCGGCCTCCCTGGGTGCACAACACTGCACCTAAAACAGACTTGCAGAGGGAGGTGCAGCGTGGGCAGGAGCCGGCCAGAGCTCTCCATTCACGGGGAAAGGAACCGTCTGCCACGTCTATATCATGGGTAGACATCTGGGGGCCCAGATGGACGGCGGGTCAACCGTCTGTGGTCTGAAACCATGGATGCAACATCTGTGACCCCAGCTGAGGGGCCTGCCAGCACCTGAAGTTGCTGTGAGCACGTCCAATTTCTGTAGAGAGGAGAGCATGCCCTTCCTTTTACCTCTTCATTCCCAGCACCTTTTGGTTTCCCCACTCAATTCTTTGGCCACAATACCGAAAAGCTTTTGAAAAATCAGACTTCAACAGAAACCCTCCCCTTTAAAGCATCAAAACAGTGTTATCTCCATACTCTCTAGGCAGCCTTTGGCCCTTGGAAAACAAGTGGCCCGGAGTGTATTTTCAGGGTGGCAGGGGACAGGGAGCTGGAACCCCTGGGTTTCCTTCAGCCCTGCACTGGGGTCCGCATCACCTCGGGGGTCTCCCACCTACTCACTGCGCTGGCAGGTCTGCAAGGCGAACGCACAGCCCTGCTCTCAGATTCCACAGCCCTGCTGGGGTTACAGTCAGTGCTAAGGACCCAGGGCCGCTGGTTGGGTTTTGGCTTATTCTAGGCTATTGGCAGGACTGAGTGGAGCGAGGCCCTGACGGGCGGCCAAGAGCAGCTACCTGAATCCCGATGGAGGAGCAGCGGCTCTTGAGGAGCTCCTCCGCCTTGGACACCAGGATGGCCTTGTCGCTGGTCCGCACAGAGCTGCTCTGGCTCTCTGGCAGGTGGCGCTGGGCAGCGGCCGTTTCCAGCGCGAGGTTCATGGCCTTGTTGCTGTCCAGGCTGTCCGTGGAGTTGTAGAGGCCGCGGCTGTCCTGGGGCCACGGGGACATCCTCTGTGCGCGGCTGTCCTGGTAGGCGTCCTGGGTGGATTCGGTGCTGCTCTGCGCCGTCACCGAGATCAGAGGCTTGGAGGTGGTCCGAGGGGGCACCGGTGGGGGCGTTTTCTTGTAATTTGTATATGAGACAGCTGTAAGAAAAGAAAGTCCCAAGTCAACAGGCGTGTTCTTCCCCGTCAGCCTGTGGTCTACTGTTTCCCCACGCCCATGCCCTGTGGTTGACGGAGCAAGTCTGTTCCTGGACGTCTAGCCTAAAAAAATAGCGTGAAATGAGGGGACAGTGAGACAGCACACATGAATATACCTGTAACAGTGCAGGATTATAAAAATACCAGCAAACCCAGCTGCAGAGACACAGCTAAGCAAGGTGCGTCCCTGCAGGACAGCACGCAGGCGTGGCATCATTTAAAAATACCGACAAATCCAGCAGCAGAGACACAGCTAGGCAACGTGCGTCCCCTCAGGACAGTGCGCAGGTGTGGCGTCATTTAAAAATACCAACAAATCCAGCAGCGGAGACACACCTAGGCAAGGTGTGTCCCCGCAGGACAGCGCACAGGCATGGCATCATTTAAAAATACCAGCAAACCCAGCAGCAGAGACACAGCTAGGCAAGGTGTGTCCCCGCAGGACAGCGCACAGGCATGGCGTCATTTCTACGCAGGTCATGTCATCGTGGAAAATGCTGATTCTATCACACTAGGTTCAGAAGCACGCCGGATGCTAAACTATGCATAGGTCAAGATGGAATCTATTTGTACAGGAAACCTGTGTGTGAGAAGAGGTCACCAGCACCTGAAGATGTTAATCGCGGCTGTTGAGTGACAGGATGGGCACTGTCTGCTCTTGGGCTTGTGTGTTTTTCTAAAAATCATTATAACGAATAGCTACTGTTTCTGTAACGGAGAAAATATATAATAGCAGAAACTTACTTGCTTCCCTATAAGTACAGGCTCCATAGGTTTAAGTTGTAGGAAGACCACCGGAAAGGGGCCAGCTCTATGCATCTGAGCTGGGCCAGGCCACGCTCACCTGTGGCCGTCACCAGCCAGTCTCCTCCCAAACTCGAGTTGCATGGGGCATTCTGTACCACCGGCTGTACAGCTGGACAGGCCACCAAAGCAAAATAAATGCATCCGGAGATGATGACTGTATTAAATAACTCTTAGAACCTACCAAAAATGCATGAGGCACCTTGGCCTGGACTCAGGCTATAACTTATTTTTATAGAGAGGATGAACTCCCTAACACTCTCCCTCAACAGGAATTGGTTGTCCGTTACAGTCAATTATTTTCCTTTAGTGCACAGGAAGAGCTGATAAAAGTGCTTCTTGAAGGGAATCTGCTCCCCTCATCAGAGTGCAAAGCAACCACCACCCCACCCCTGCCACACACACACAGTGGGAGGCACTGCCAGGCTGCTTGTGACGTAGGTGAGTGCGCACGTGGGCGTCTCCTGGAGGGGTCTGAGCGCCGTCTGTGAGGACAGACCGAGCAGCAGTTTTCCCCAAGGATGTCCAGACACGGTGCCCGAGAGCAGCTGCCGGCTGCTGCAGGTGGAAACACATCCTTTCTGTGTCTGCAGGACACTTCCCATCCCTCACCTCCTCCAATCATTTTTAACCCATGAGTGGATTTTCCTAATCCACTCTGACCTCTAATGTCATCCCGAGTTAACAAGGACAAACGACAAAACAAGCCTGCCATTCAGGATGACCTGTGCTTTAAGGCATAATGTTACATATTAACATTTACAAAGTGGAGACTTTTTTTTTTTTTTGAGATGGAGTCTTTCTCTGTTGCCCAGGCTGGAGTGCAGTGGGGCGATCTGAGCTCACTGCAGCCTCTGCCTCCTGTGTTCAAGCGATTCTCCTGCCTCTGCCTCCCGAGTAGCTGGGATTACAGCGCTTGCCACCACACCTGGCTAAATTTTGTATTTTTAATAGAGACAGGGTTTCACCATGTGGGCCAGCCTGGTCTCAAACTCCTGACCTCAGGACCTCAGATGATCCACCCACCTCGGTCTCCCAAAGTACTGGGATTACAGGTGTGAGCCACCACATCCAGCCCAAAGTGGATACATTTGTAAAAAGCATGCATTGGAAAGAGAATCTGAAGCCTAGAAAACTGAGGAAGGATGATCAGATGTTATGAAATCAATCGGGTGCTGAGCTTCTCTTTTACCAGACAAACATTCAAAATCCTGTCTTTTTTTCTTTTGTTCCTGACTTTTCCCTCTAACGTCAATCAATGCCTTAAGCAAAATTATTGAAAACTGACAAGATTCAAGGCACTATTTAGGAGACTCAGAAAGTTCCCAAGACTTCTCCATCCCAAAGGCCAGTAGTGCCGGGGAGAGACCTGGGTTAGGAAATATTTCGTTTTTCCGGGTGGGACGCGTTGGGGACTGCACATTCATCTCACCTTGGCAGGGATGAGGTCCGTTTAAACACTTGCTTCTGATGACGCCTTTCCTGGCAGTGTTTCACAGCGCTGATTTATCAAGGGTGTTGAGTGCGACATGGACACATGGTCAGAGAGCCCGCGGGTGGAGATGTGAGGAGGGCTCATCGATAAAGGGGTTTCCACGTGACAGCCCTGGAGAGTAGGCGGCTGTTTTCATGGTAACCCATTTGTCATGGGTCATTTACAGAAAACAGAATCTTTATCATCAATGACACGTCTTCAGATTCTACGGCTCTGGCCGAAGGCAGGCCCGGTGTCCGCTGCGCGCTGGAGCGAGACTGCGGACGGGGGCTCTCAATGACCTCTCCAGTGGCAAAGCTGGCTCTGCGTTGCTTCTCTTAAGCAGAAATATTGATTCCGAAGAAGTTTTGAGTCCCAGCAATAGGGGTAGTAAAAAATCAAAGGCAACAGAGAGACGCGGGAATATAGATTAAAATGTGACATCTGCCTTATTATATTTTTCTTTGGCAAGTTTGAGATGAGCAGAAAGGTGATATTAAACACGCCAAATTGGTTGGATTTTCCCAGCGAGGTTCACCTAAGCAGTGAACGATGGCACATATCAAGCGTCATAACCATGTCACAACATGTCACAGGCAAATGCAACAGGGAGGAAGTAATCAGTTAGTGACCTGCCCAGAAAATTTGAGCAAATGCATGCAAATTCATCCCCACCTTGGCTCATTATGTGTTTCATAGTTACTCTCAAAGGTCTGTCGCCACTGTTCAAAATCACAGACCTCACTAAGTGTATTTAAGTAAAATTTAAAGAGTCTGAAAAATTTCACAAAACAAGTAAACCTTCCTTCTTGTATGGAATATCTCGTAAATTAAAAAAAATGTATGGGGCAGCTTATGACTTATCTCCATGATCACAGGAAAGTCACATACCACATCTTCTCACTTTATAATGTGTTTGCTACAGGCTGATGAAATGATTTTTTAAACTGATTTCTTTGTAAAAATGTAGTTGCATGCCACACTTTTAAAACAAACAGATTAAGAAGGAGCAGTTCACCTCCAGCGTACAAAAAGAAGAATTTACTACACTCTACCTGGCAGGGCACACACAGTGATTTTTCCTGGATGACAAAAGAAAGACATGATGCTCTTTCTAAGTGTGTGTGCACATGCCTGCCAGGTTGTTCTCAAAACCACTAAAACGAAAACGTGGTTTGAAGCAATTAGCTGTGCTGCAGTGATACAGGGATTATCACTGACTGACTTTCGTAAAAGTTGTGGTTGGAACTTTGTGAAAGAGTATTGTTTTTCACCGTTATCAGCAAGGCTGCAATATTGAACTGAATGTCCAGGTCGAACTGAATGTCCATATGGTTGCTGTTACCATATGGGTTTTCCAGAGACCATTGATAAGGGGGCTGAAGACCCTGGGCTTTCTTCCACGTTGGGCACCGACGTAAAGTGCCTGGCAAGCTTCACTGGTGGATACAACATTGTAAGATTCGCTGATTTCAGGAAGCATTTATCTAGAGCCTAAGAGCCTGGCCCCAGTGTGCTCCATAATCACACTGAAAAGGCCGTCCTGAGAACCAAGGGTGCAGCATCAGAGACTAGGGATGCCCAGAGAGAGACTGGGGTTGAAAGAAGCTTCCTGGGGGTGAGCCTGGCCGTGCCTTGAGATGGATGGAGCTGCTCCTGGGAAGCAGGAGTAGGACGGGCCAGCGGACATAGCCTGTGCCTAGATGTACCCATGCCACCACGGGAAGGGCTAGTAGACGTGGCCTGTGTTGTAGACGCACCGATGCCACCACAGGAAGGGCCAGGTGACACGGCCTGTCCTGTAGATGCACCAACGCTGCCACGGGAAGGCCAGTGGGCATGGCCTGTCCTACAGAAATGCTGATGCTGCTGTGCCCGCACCCACAGCCTCAGCTCTAGAAAGGCAGCCCTGGTGGAGGAGGGTTTGGTATCAGTGGATCAGTTGTCATCAACAAAACCACTATTCTCTGGCATAAGGATACTGCAAACTTTACTTGGATTTCCCCAGCGGTCTGCAGGCTCCTCTGGGGGCTGAACCGACTGGTCACATTAGTGCTCTGGGGATACGGCCTGACTTCTTCTTTTCTTTACAAGCGTCATGGAGTTTTCCTCAAACTATTTACCTTCTGGCAGAAACAGCAAATGACCATTCTGCCGTTCTCTCTTCCTCTAAATCAAAACATGCGCTGTGATGCTGGAACGCTTGTTTTGCTCTGCTTTCCTCTGGTGATTTAATATCTTGAGATGATTTTTACCACTCCCTGCAGTTGAGTTTCACTTACAGGATCCACAGACTCACAGGCAAGTCACAGCTGTCAGACCAAACCTCCCCTGTGAGTCGAAGTTAACCATTACGCTCAGGGCGCAAGGGAAAGGGGGGCTTCTCGGTCCTTTCCTGCAAAATCTGTGGACAGGGAAATCTCACACACTTCTTTCTGGTTCTATTAAATCAATCTTTCTTGCTTCAGACATGAAAGCATGTCATCATGTGATCTTGGAGAAACTGCCTTCCCTCTGTCTGAGGGTGCTCTGCGGTGTCCGGCGTCCCACGAAGCGGAGATAAGCATCCAGAGAAGCTGGCGAAGACGGGTGCACAGTAAGGGCGCTGTCACCACCGGGTCCCCAAACAGCACTGGCCGACTCCACCATCAAAGGAGAGAAGAAAATGCCAGCAGCAGCTGCAAACTTGCCACCACCCCTTCATTTCTTCAGTATGAGAAAGAAAAGTCACCTTGGAGTGCGCATGTGCATGTACACACACACTCACACCCCACACTCACACGTGTACACACACACAGTCATACCCCACACTCACACGTGTACACACAGGCACACATCCCCCACACTCACACATACACACACACACCCCCCACACTGTGTACACACAGGCACACATCCCCCACACACATGTACAAACGCACACACACCCCACACTATGTGTACACACAGGCACACATCCCCCACACTCACACAGGTATACACACACACACACCCCACACTCACACATGTACACACACAGTCATACCCCACACTCACACATGTGTACACACACACACCCCACACTACGTGTACACACAGACATGCATCCCCCACACTCACACATGTACACACGCGCACACACCCCACACTCACACGTGTACACACAGGCACACATTCCCCACACTCACACATGTATGCACACACTCACAGCCCACACTCACACGTGTGTACACACACACCCCACACTCACACATGTGCCAGGCACTCTGTGGAGCACGTTATACTTTGCAGTTCATTAAGCTTCAGAACAACCTTGTGGGGTAGGCGGTCTTGGCATTTGCATATCTTGGAAGAGAAGGTGGAAGTCTGAATGGGCTTAAACCTCTTCCTGACATCAGCCCACAAGAAAAATGGTAGAACTGAGATTCAGATGCTTCTCCAGTTGTTGGTTATAATGAGTCTAGTTTTCTTTTTTGTGACCATTTACATAGCAGAACCTTATTTCTCATGACCTGATCTAGTGTTTTCTCATTTAAGAGACGGGTCCAAGAGTGCACGTCAGAATCCTTGCCCACTGCAAAATTCAATGAAAGAGGCACTTATTTCAGCAAGATTTATGGCGGTTCCAGGTTTCCTAAAAACAAAAAATCAAAATGCCTTTGGTGGCAGAAGATATTTTAAAGATTATACCCTGACACTCCATGACCCAAACTGTTTAAAGGGACTATTAACTAATGGGCTTAAGCCAGAGTAAGAGGAGATTATATGAAATGGGCTTTCAATTCCTTAAATCATACCAAATCAATGAAAATTATTTTGGGAAAGAGGCCTTCGAATATTTGTTTATTGGCTTGATGATATATTTTCCTGGTTCATAGGAAAGGTGTGTGGGACCCACTGATTTCCAAAGCATCAGTTCATCCCTCATGACCTATGGGCGGAAGACCCTTTGCGGCAGCCCTGTGACTGTGACTGTGTACTTCCCCTGAGGTCTTGCTGTGGCACAGCACACAGGCTCACCATACTGTAAGGAGCGTGACCGTGTTCTTCCCCTGTGGTCTTGCTCTGGCAGAGCACCCAGGCTCACCATACTGTGAGCAGCGGGCTTTGCAGGAGATCTGGCTCTCTGTTTCAGCTGAGTGATGGTGATGACACCGGCTGAATTGTCCCATAGGGCGGATGTTTATGGGTTTCTTTAGATAAACATAGAAACTGACCCTCCTAGTCTTGAAACCTGAGAAAGTTACATCTGTCTTATCTGAGTTCCTTTCTAAGGACAGCAGCCATCAGGCCTCCCAGATAGCATCATGGAGCTCCAATTCACCAGATCACTGCATCTAGACAATGAGACCAAAGACCTCACATCCACTCTGACTGCCCAACCCATCATCTGCTTCCTGGTGGCCGCCTCTTCCTCACAGCTCCCTCATTTCTGTTTTCCCATACATGGTTACATTTCTTCCCTGCTATATAAACCTCTAATTTTAGTTTGCCAGGGAGATGGATTTGAGATGGATCTCCCATGTCCTTTCCTGCAGCATCTGATGAAAGCCTTCTTCCCTGGCAATACTCGCTGTCTCAGTGATTGGCTTTCTGTGCAGTAAGCAGCAGAACTTAGACCCAGCTTCTGGCCTTTTGTCAACAGTGATGTTACTCCCTGCCTCTTCTCAGTGCTCCTACTGGCCATGTCAACATAGTAGAGGCCATGGAGAACAGGTGGTCATGCACCACACAGGTCTGCAGCCCCCACCACCATGAGGCGCAGCACCTCAGCGGGATGAGGAGAAGCTGGGCCCAGCAGGCTGAGAATGAGAGCTCTCCTGGGGCTCCAACGTGAACAGGAAGAAAACCAGCTTGAAAGGCTTTGAAAAGGATTTCTATTTAGACAACGTTTTCTTGGAAAGAGCTAGAGCTTGAACACTTGTGAACTGCCAGTCACTGCTGTCTTTACATGGATTTGTCCCCTAGCCTCCCCCAACCCTTGCCAGCAGAAACAGGTGAAGTTTCTCCCTGTCTCGTAGACAGGAAGTGCAAGATTCCGGTTCCAGCAGCCTTGTTGCTGAAAGTTGCGGTATTAGCTACGGAATCACGGTGCCGTGTATTCTTCGGTGACACCATTCAAGGGGAAAAGCCCACTATGTTATCAGAACTTCAGGTTCTCTCAAAAACAATTGGGCCATTTAGCTAAAGGACCAAGGGAAAGTTTTGATTGATCATCTGAGGGTTTACCAACCACAGGATCTGAAACGCCATCTCTGCAGGAGGGAATATGTGTCCTGGTAGGATATTTTTAATCCCCTAAAAATATTAATCACTTGTCCATGTAAGTCCCTTTGTTAATGACCCCATGAGAAATCCAACACATAGTTTTAATAGAAATAACTGACCTGTAGCGTTTAAAGAATTGGAAACACTGTAGAAGTTAAAGAAACATTTAGCAATACACATAAAAACTTCCAGGTATGCAGATACCAGACGCATTTTTACATGTGAGTACAGAGGTCAAGGGGGATCTGTGTGTGAAGACCAGGGACAGGCACTTAAAATATATTTTAAATATAGCTTTTGTCATTCTCACTTACAGTGGGCGTATATGCATATAATATAATCCCTCATGCATTCTGAATGGATTGTTTATAGCAGAACAATAAGTTACAAATAATACAGCAGTTATTAAGAAATTATTTTTAGGCAGCTAGAAAAGGTGAAAGATCTTAGTAGAATTTTCCTTTAATGAAAAGCAGCCCTCCAGCCAGAGAGAAAGGTCAGGTTACACACAAAGGGAAGCCCATGAGACTAACAGCAGATCTCTCAGTAGAAATCCTACAAGCCAGAAGAGAGTGGGGGCCAATATTCAACATTCTTAAAGAATTTTCAACCAGAATTTCACAGGCAACCAAACTAAACAAACTAAATAAGTGAAGGAGAAATAAAATCCTTTACAGACAAGCAGATGCTGAGAGCTTTTTGTCACCACCAGGCCTGCCTTATAAGAGCTCCCGAATGAACCACTAAACATGGAAAGGAAAAACTGGTACCAGCCACTGCAAAAACATGCCAAATTGTAAAGACCATTGACACTATGAAGAAACTACATCAACTAACGGGCAAAATAACCAGCTATCATCATAATGATAGGATCTAATTCACACATAACAATATTAACTTTAAATGTAAACAGGCTAAATGCCCCAGTTAAAAGACACAGAATGGCAAACTGGATAAAGAGTCAAGACCCATCAGTGTGCTATATTCAGGAGACCCATCTCATGTGCAAAGACACACATAGGCTCAAAGTAAAGGGATGGAGGAATATTAACCAAGCAAATGGAAAGCAAAAAATAGCAGGAGTTGCACTCCTACTCTCTGATAAAACAGACTTTAAGCCAACAAAGATAAAAAAAGACAAAGAAGGGCATTGCCTAAAGGTAAAGGAATCAATGCAACAAGAAGAGCTAACTATCCTAAATATATACACACCCAATACAGGAGCACCCAGATTCATAAAGCAAGTTCTTAGAGACCTATAAAGAGACTTAGACTCCCACACAATAATAGTGGGAGACTTTAACATCCCACTGTCAATATTAGACAGATCAATGAGACAGAAAATTAACAAGGATATTCAGGACTTGAACTCAGCTCTGGACCAAGTGGACCTAATAGACATCTACAGAACTCTCTACCCCAAATCAGCAGAATATCCCATTCTTCTCAGCACCACATCACACTTACTCTAAAATCAAACACATAATTAAAAGTAAAACACACCTCAGCAAATGCAAAAGGATGGAAATCATAACAAACAGTCTCTCCGACCACAGTGCAATCAAATTAGAACTCAGGATTAAGAAACTCACTCAAAACCGCACAACTACATGGAAACTGAACAATCTGCTCCTGAATGACTACTGGGTAAATAACGAAATTAAGGCAGAAATAAATAAGTTATTTGAAACCAATGCTTTAGCTGTGTCCCACAATCTCTGGGACACAGAGTTTCTGGGACACAGCTAACACAGTGTTTAGAGGGAAATTTACAGCACAAAATTGTCACAGAAGAAAGCAGAAAAGATCTAAAATTGACACCCTAACATCACAATTAAAAGAACTAGAGTAGCAAGATCAAACAAACTCAAAAGCTAGCAGAAGACAAGAAATAACTAAGATCACAGCAGAACTGAAGGAGATAGAGACACAAAAAAACCTTCCAAACATCAATGAATCCAGGAAAAGATCAACAAAATACATGGACCGGTAGCCAGACTAATAAAGAAGCGAAGAGAGAAGAATCAAATAGACACAATAAAATATGTTAAGGGGGATATCACCACTGATCCCACAGAAATACAAACTACCATCAGAGAATACTATAAACACCGCTATGCAGATAAACTAGAAAATCTAGAAGGGAATGGATAAATTCCTGGACACATACACCCTCCCATGACTAACACAGGAATAAGTGGAATCCCTGAATAGAGCAATAACAAGTTCTGAAATAGGCAGTAATTAATAGCCTACCAACCAAAAAAAGCCCAGGACCAGACGGATCCATAGCCTACGTAACAAAACTGCACGTTCTGCACATGTATCCCAGAACTTAAAGTATATATATAAAAAAGTAGCCCCTAAACCGTTTCTTCTTTAAGGGAAAGCTGCCTAAGAAGTCAGGCATAGATATGCAGACTAGGAGCTTTCATATGTAAATGGAGCAGCTGTACCTGGAAGCCAGGTACATTCAATATGGCATCTCCTGCTCGCTTTTGCTTGTCAGTATGTGCAGGGTGTCATGGCAGCCTCCAGGTAAAGCCAGGTATACAGGTATCATGGCAACCAGCCAGGTGGAGGGTGGAGCCCTCATTTGCATAATAAAAGACGAGGGTGGGAGGGCCAGTCTTTTTGCGAACTATGTAAATGTCACATCTGGTCTAACCAATCCCCTGGGCCCTATGTAAGCCAATCACCACCTCCTCAAGCCTCTGTACAGAACCGATTGCATTCTGCTGCAAACGGGAGACTTTCTTTTGGGCGATCTGCTCCCTCAGCATAAGGAAGTCTTTTCTCTCTCACTTCTTTTTCTATTAAACTTTTCGCCCCCTAAAACCATGTGTCCATGTCGTAAATTCTTTCTCGGCTGTGACAAAAGGACCAGGGTTTATACCCCAGACAACGAAGCTGTTTCACTTATATTTTCCTTATATTGGCAATATTTGATTTCTATATTTTAAAAATTATCAGTTGTCCTGGTTAAATAAAAATTGCAGTACATAAAATGATTTTGATATAGAGATTAACATTAAGAAATGATTTCTGAAACATGGAAGTATATCACTGCATCCATTCATTCATTAATCCATTCTTTTGACAAACATTTGTTGTGCCTGTACAGCCCTGTGTGATAGAATTGTAAATCTCTACATGGCTCATTAAAGTTAAAATTGGAGGCTGGGAAACAATAGTAAAGAAAGAATTCAAAATGATCATTTGACCACATTAATTTGCTGCCACAGATTAAAATCAATGAATGAAAGCATTTTACACATTAGAGAAAAATATCCAGCCATTCAGTTGGATGGTGTGGGTGATAATAATCGTCTTCATTCTGTTTCTGTGAGTGCACGCCTAGCATGCGTTTATCACAACTAATCCTTATGAGCTATAGGCTGTGTTATCTATCACTTTCTATATGTATGTCAAACATTAAATGTATTTGAAAATTCAAAATTTAATTTAGCAATGTAATTCTAGTCTACGTCCTTAAAAAGAAGATGAATCAAGACAGAGACAGAGATTACTAAACAACCACATGGGATTATATAAGTGATCAAATATGTATTTTGAAATTAGAAGAAGAAATGATTGTTTAATAACTGAAAGTTTCTGAAGACCTGACCTGACTACTTTCTTTAAAAAAAAAATACCTATTCCAAGCATGAGTATCTGTTTGGTTTTTAAAGCCTAGCATTGGTTTCTTTTACCATGTAAACAACACTATAAAATCCCTGATGATTTTTTTTAAGTGTCTTCCAAATTACAGGGAAATAGATGAAAACATACCTGGGCTTTGTAATTCAATTACTGAATTGGTTTGGATTTTGTTTGTTTCACAGGGATCGCATAAGTTGGTGTCACTCTGAGAATAATGGGGTTGTGATCAGAAGGAACTGTGTAACATGCTTTGCCTCTTGAGTACTCTGAGGCCAATGGAATGACTTGGGGCACGAAGAAAAGGTTAATCACACTACTTAGGATGGAGAGAGCCACACATATAGTAAGTTTTAGGAAGAATTCCATAAAAATTGCATGAAATGAAGAGTGTTGATGCTTAAAGGAAATGTATTCAGGTGGATGGGTCCCTCCCTGTTAGAGCTGAATAAATGGGGCAGGGAAGAGGTGTGTAAAAACTGACTTTCCTCAGATGTATCTGGAATTGAGCCCACCTCATTTGCAAACCCCTTCTGAAAAAATTGCCCAAATATCTGGAGTCAAAAGGACTGTCAGAAGGGGAGATGGCACAATTGACAAATACGCAGTGGTGGCTGCAGTGTTGGCAGAGTGAAGGGGTGGGAGACTGCTACCCATTGAAAATGCCTACATTCTTAGGTTTACCACAGTTGTGTCAGAAAGGCTCCTTTCTAGACTGCCCTGACCAATAACTTAGCTACTGGCCACAACAAATGGCTCAAACTTTTTTTTTTTTTTGAGACAGAGTCTTGCCCTGTCACCCAGGCTGGAATGCAGTGGCACGATCTCAGCTCACTGCAATCTCCGCCTCCCGGGTTCAAGCAATTCTCCAGCCTCAGCCTCCCAAGTAGCACGCGGTACCACGCCTGGCTAATTTTATATTTTTAGTAAAGATGGGGTTTCACCATGTTGGACAGGCTGGTCTCAAACTCCCAACCTCAGGTGATCTGCCCGCCTTGGCCTCCCAAAGTGCTGGGATTACAGCTGTGAGATGCCACACCTGGCCTCCAATATTCTAAAATATCTGAACACCTAAAATACCATTACACTTGGGTTCCTCTGCGGCACACGCTGTGTGTCCACTGGTCATGGTCAGGTGCGGCCAGCAGCTACCACGCTGGCCTGCCTAAGCGTGGAACGTCTTCCTCATCATGACGGCTGTGCTGGCAGCGCTGTCTAGGACATGTCCTGCATGAAGAGGCCATGTCTGGACATAGTTCCCTGAGTGTTCTAACACAGCACATGAAGCAGAGGACTCTGATCATGAAGGTCCTTCAGGTCTTCAAGGTGTTGGGTTAGCCAACCTCGTGGAGGAGATTTTGGACCAAAGCATTTTACTGGAAAGAAGCTCGTGTGAATGAGATGAAAGAAACTGCTCCACAATCTACACTTCACATGGCTTTGAGGAATCGCAAATGTGAATCCATCATCGCTTTAAACACATGTTTAATTATCCTTCTACACCTGGAATTCTGGACACCACTTCTGAATTCAATGCTTGAAAGTCATTTGCAAACCAAACGGGAATTTGAAAATTAGCATTCCATCGTATAAGGCACAAATACGTAATCAAGATAAAATATCCCTTGAATGGCAAGCATTGCCATTCTATTTGAATGTAACAGCCACACTTGCATTCATTGCACTCTCTTAATTAGAACTTCAAGGATGATAGCATAAAAGGAATTACAGTCATCAAGCCCATGACTGTCTGAATGAGAGAATGAATATTGGACAAACTAAACTTTCAAGGCAAAAGATTCAACATAGAGGATCAAAGCCATTTTGACACTTTAATTAATGCTAGTCACAAAACAGAAGAATAAATCAGACAGGACACAGAAGTCACATCCCACAAGCATACACACAATGGTTTTCCTGAAGTTACAAGAAATTATGTGGGTCCCACAAGTTCTGGGGCAACGTTGATAGGCTAGCAGCAAAGATGTCTATTTTGAATGTGTTAATTAGCAAGAAATTATAGTCTCACCAGCATTTAACATGTAGACAGTAAAATGAAGTGATGTCAGCTGCTCTGCTGTTCGAGACACTTCCTGTTTCCATTGAAAAGGTTTGAACATCACATCACACGGCGAGAACTTGTATTTTCTGAAGAACACTGAGAATGCATCAACGTTTAGTGAACGGAAGAGTCACATGTTTCTAAGTACAGAATTTTGAATGTTCAAAGGGCCAGGTAACAAAACTAAAGGATAACCCAGAAAAGGAATGCATCATCAGTGATGGCGCACACTGACTTTTAGGATGATTTGACATCAACACACACAAAAAACAGAAACATATCAGCAACATAGTTTGGCTCCTTCCCAATCCAATTGATAAGTAGGACACAATTATGTTCCAATTCTTTTTTTTTTTTTTTTTTGAGACGGAGTTTCACTCTTGTCACCCAGGCTGGAGTGCAATGGCGTGATCGCAGCTCACTGCAACCTCCGCCTCCCGGGTTCAAGTAATTCTCCTGCCTCAGTCTCCCGAGTAGCTGGGAGTACAGGCGCTTGCCACCATGCCTGGCTAATTTTGTATCTTTAGTAGAGATGGGGTTTCACCATGTTGGCCAGGGTGGTCTCGAACTCCCAACCTCAGGTGATCCACCCGCCTCTGCCTCCCAAAGTGCTGAGATTACAGGCGTGAGCCACCATGCCCGGCCATGTTCCAATTCTTTAAGAATGCAAAGCTTCTTAGATGAAAACATGTTTGAAAGGAATAATTTTTCCAGTGGAAAAATGAAGAGACCAAGAACTGGAGGATGCTGGTGGGCCTGTTTTTTGAGATGCTGTGAACTGTACAGGAGGTAGCATTTGTTACACATCTTCACAGTCAGTGTGTCTCTCCATATGTGCATGTGCGTACACGGGACACCTAATTGTGAATGACATCTATACTGAAGTTGTATCAGAATGAAATCTTTACTACCAAGATTTCAAGGGAGGGCTAATTCTGTAGGTGGTATTTTATTTGATGATGAGAGTTTATTTTTACCATGCACATGGCAAATAGTGAGTGCGCAGACATTGATCCGTCAACTAACATACCTGAAGTTACTAATGTCTCTCTTTCTAAGGATAAGGAAGTGACCTTCAATTAAAAAATTAATAAAACAATAAAGCAAAGGCAACTGACAAGAGTTAAGACCGTGTTACCTCTGACTTACACCTCAGAGTCAAATGAATATATCCTAAATCATGTCAACGTCTCCCATAAAGCTTGATCAGAAGGTTGGAAGGTCCCAAACCCACACTATGGATGTCATAATCTCAATCTTAAGGTGACCCTAATGGAAAAGGAAATACAGGAGTCCGCCCCTGCAGTTCACAGCCCAAGCAAATACAGGAGTCCGCCCCTGCAGTTCACAGCCCAAGCAAATACAGGAATCCACCCCTGCAATTTACAGCCCAAACATCCTGACTTGCCCTCTGCCCACGGATCTGAGAGACGGACCCATCAGAGGGCTGCCGTTGGTCCTGCCAATAAATCAGGGCTCCTTGCACTGAAGTTGCTCTGTGAACCTCCAGAGCCTATGTGGATCAGTAAGCATCAGTTTGAGCTAGCTGAGCATGAACGACACCTGTGGGGCCAGGAAGCCGGCAGCCTTGAGAGCAGTGAGGGTGTGGGATGGCCACGGGATACCCGGGCTCGGTTCTGGCCCCGCCACAGGAAGCCCTATGACCCCAGGCACCTGCAGCCTCCCCGTGAGCGGGGTGAGGATTGTCGGCTCCCTACCCCACCCGCAGGGCCAGCACCAAGAACCAATGCAATGCCAGTGTCTCCAGGCACCAAGAACCAACGTGCTGCCCGTGTCTCCAGGCCTGGCAGCATCTGCGTGGTGAGGATTGTCGGCTCCCTACCCCACCCACAGGGCCAGCACTAAGAACCAACGCGATGCCACAGTATCTCCAGGCCTGGCAGCAACTGGGCACTCCTTCTTCATCCTAATCGTCGAAATAGATGTGTTTCAAATCCCCCATTTACAGTGGTACCCTGAAAATGAAGAGCTTCTAACAAAATAGAGAAAGGCCCATGACAGTCCTCTGGGTCACCAGGAAATTGCGACTCTCATGGGCCCAAGGCAAAGGGCATATGGACCGGAGAGGCTGGCAAGATAATTGCACAATGAGTCATCTGTGGCACAGCCTTGAGATACGAACGCTGATGGGATGATACATAGACCAAGGAGGCAATTTACTTTGCTTTTCAGAAACTGCTCATAACATTTTGGTTCGCCAGCTGGTCTCATTACTGTCTGTCTCGCATGTTATTCTTTATTTTAAAATAAAGATCTGACCCTGACTTCAAGAATGACAGAAACAGACGATGCAAATTCCATAAGGAATGAAAATAAGTTTTACATAAGTGCACAGAAAGGACTGATTCATCCATGTACATGTCCCCAAAAATCTACGGACCGCCTACCACTTCCTAGGTGTCGTTGACCTGACAGAGGGTTTTATTCTCTACCTTGTCTCTGCTCTCCTGGAAACTCAGAAATATCACGCACAAGACCAGGGTTAGTTGCAAGTGGGCAGCAGTGCTAAGGTAGTAGTTCACACAGAGAGAGAATCCTTCTTATTCATTCATTTATTCCTTTTTTTCACTAAATAAATCAACAAACATTTCTATCTACTATGTGCCAAGCACTGTTCTAGGCACGGGAATTCAGCAGCGAGGAAAACCCGGCCCCTGTGGAACTTATATTCTAGCCAGGGGAGAGACTCACAATGAATGGAATGGATTACTAAAATATACATAACAGGATGAGGAACGTGGTGGGCTCACACACACTCCAGGAGGAATGTCATTAGCATCTTCACGTAAGAACCTCGGTGTGCGTAAAGCCCAATCTCCTTTGCTGCCTACACCAAGGGTCTAATGTAATAGTTCCTTAGCACCAGGTTTATGGAATCATTTAGGAAAGAAACACAAATATCTCTTAATTCTACACCTGCATGTTAAAGAGTGTATGACCAGAAAAAAACCAACTTAATTCTCAAGGAAAAAGAGAAAGCCTCACTGGGCAAGTGGGGCTTGCAGAAACGAGCTGTGTAGGTGCCTGGGGCAGGCTGCCTGCCCAGCCCGGCTCTGACGAGGCTCTGAGTGCTGCCTCATGCAAAGGCTGGCTGGCGCTGAGGAATGTCTGACCAGAGGTGCAGGCGGGGCTTGCCTCGGGTGGTCACACACAAGACTGTGTCCCTCCATCACTTCGTTTTTTTTTAACTTTTCAAATTTACTTCTGATGAGCACATACCCAGATGGAAAATACGATCAGAAGGATTTTTGCTGCCTGGCAGTTGCCTTGTAAGTCAGACATCTTCCCCTGTTATTTCACATGGGGAGGGCTACACAGCCTGTGGTGGTTTTGTGAACGCAGAGAACGGAGCTAGGGGCTTAAGCCATTGGAGCTGTGGGCCAGGCAGGAGCCCGGCAGGAGTGGGGTGGTCATGGCAGGGCATATTCCAGAAGGGATGGACGCCCCAGCCGCCATGTGCTGGAGCTATGCCCGCTGCCCCTGCTTTAGAGAAGCAGCTCAGTTGAGGATCTCAGCCTATGTTGTATGCCAGGAACTTCCAGTCTCTTGGTGATGGGGGAGGTAACTAGGGGAGCTGGATCCCTCACCAGCAGCTGGTGCCACAGCAGAGAGCTGCTCTCTGCAGGAACCTCGGGATTTGGAACTTCCAAGTGGACGTGACCATGGCTGCTGACGGGGCCAGCGCTTCATTCGGTTGGGCTCAGGGCACCCTGTGAAGAAGGGCCACACAGAACACACAGAATCTGGTGGGTCAACATTTCCAGCCACATATGTGTGTGGCTCTTGCTTCAGTCCTGGCCCTTCTGCTGTGAGGCAGAGGTGGGGAGGAAGAAATACGGTGTCTGAGTGTTTGCAAAGAATTGGTAAACCTGTTTATCTTCAGAATGTGGACGCTGGATGGTACGTTTGAGAAAGTGCATACACGTATCTGTTAGCACAGTTCCCCATATTATTCCCCATGTAATCCCAAAATTCCGCTGAGCAGGGGTTTTCTTGGTGGTAGATGCTGGAGGCAGACATGAGAAGCAGCAGCAATGGCAGGAATGTCCGTACCGTCCTCCCATCTCTGCTCCAGCAACTGTCACCCAAGCTTCTGTCTCTACTCTCCTCCCATCTCTGCTCCAGCAACTGTCACCCAAGCTTCTGTGTCTACTCTCCTCCCATCTCTGCTCCAGCAACTGTCACCCAAGCTTCTGTGTCTACTCTCCTCCCACCTCTGCTCCAGCAACTGCCACCCAAGCTTCTGTGTCTACTCTCCTCCCACCTCTGCTCCAGCAACTGTCACCCAAGCTTCTGTGTCTACTCTCCTCCCATCTCTGCTCCAGCAACTGTCACCCAAGCTTCTGTCTTCTTGGTCAAGAAATGCAGATGCAGATTCTGAGGATCTTTTGAAAAGCACCCAGTATCTTTTTCTGGAATAGCCGAAGAGGACAAATAATTCATTTCTGTTAAGCGCCATCTGCCAGATAACACGGGTGTTTTAGAATACCCTCACAGATAAAACCTCCGTTTTATCGCACACACAGAATAAGCGTGTGAGAGACCACTCCTGTGCCTTATAATTACATCAAGATCTAAGCTTATGCTGTCAATATTTAGAAGAGACAGCAATTTTGACTATTTTATGAATCATAGGACAGTTTATAATCATCCAACACTGATAAGAAGAAGGGACAAAAGTTTTTGAACATGATTATCTCTTCATGTATATGGAGCTTCTAAATCTATTTCCAATTCTGTTTCCTTTCCTTTTATAAAGTACCTCTCCATTATCTTATACACATCAGGTACCAAATACATATTTGTGAGTTTGTTCAATTGATTGTGTAATTGATCGAAATGGTTATAAAGTAATGACCTGCTGTAAACCAATAAATGGATACAAGAAATACTCGTTTTTATTACAGAAAGAGAGTAGGAGCATATCCTGCCACTGAAAGACTTGGAAATGTAACCTGCCCGCATATTTAAGGTGTGGGGCTTTTTCTCCAGAAATTCCATGAATCTGCAGTTGCCTATGTCAACCATGATCTTTCAGCTGCCTTAGCTAATGAATCTTTTTCTTTTTCTTTATCTTCCTTGTACTCATGGTAACATTTGATATGATCCATCATTCCATTCTTTATTTCTTTCCTTCCTGGCTTCCAAAACCAAATAAATAAATAAATAGAGATACAAATATTCCCCATGATGAATCCACTGGGATTTTCAAAGCTTTCCCATGACTTACGTTTAAAAAGCACAGCACGATCCTCTATCTTAATACCTATGTTAGGATGAAATAAATCCAATATAATTAAATATTTTAGAAAGGAGTATTTTTCCTACCTTCATAGATATTTCCTTCCTATATAACTATTTCCTTACTATATTTTGTTGCCACCTTCTATGTCATTGGAAAATATCAGTAGTGATACAGATCTCACCATCCAAGTACCTAAAACCATAGACCAAACTTGCCAGTTAAATTTCTAGCACTCTGCATTTTTGGTGTTTGAAAAAGGGTTCAAAGATTAATTCAGAGTAATCATTCTCATTTAATCTCTTGCTTTAATTTTGGGAACATTAAAATGGCCTAAATAAATTCTGTTTACCCCAACACCACTGCTGACAATATAAATAGCAATGACTAGACACTGGGTGTTGAGTGTTCTGGTAGCTTTGAAGAAGCAAAAAGAATTTACACACTGGGTATTGAGTATTCTGGTAGCTTTGAAGAAGCAAAAAGAATTTAGACACTGGGTATTGAGTGTTCTGGTAGCTTTGAAGAAACAAAAAGAATTTACTGGTTGGGTTTTTGCTTCAGTTTAAAAATATTTTTGATATATAGCATTGGCTTTTGGACATCTTAAGCTTTAGGTAAAGGCAGTTATTCAAATTCAATGTATACACCTGGATAATTTTTACTTTTCTGGAGAATAAAGTTAAATTTTGAAGCGTCACAGGCAATGATTTTTTGGGCCCCTCCGGACCTCTCCCCAGACATGTGTTCAGACGCCATCCAAGGATGACCTCGTGGTGGCTGCCGATCTGGGAAACGCCTGCACTCCACTCACGTTGCAGAATAAACCTTTGTGATAGGATTTGTAGGTTTTCCCCACAATTCTTCCCATTTCAAGTGAGATCAGCGGTTCTTCTTTTCAGAGATTTCTATGGGAGGAAGCCAACCCCACGATATCCTCTCCATTGGCAAAGATCACCATGACTTTCACAAAAGCCTGTACTCAGTAGAGACATGACTGAGGGGACCAGGGGCTCAGGGAGAGGAGGAAAGAGGCCGGAAGCTGGGAATGATGACAGCCAGAGAAGGGGACCTGCGGGTCTCTGAGCAGCTGCAGAACACGGCCCCTGTCCTGATCATGCCCCAGGGAAGGTCTGCAGACTTGAGCGAATCCTGCATGCAGAAGGGGACCTGGGGATCTCATAACAGCCGGAGGGGACCAATGAGGGGACCAATGGCCTATGACCAGGAGGCTTCCCAGATGCCTCCAAACCTCCTGGGAGTCCTGGTTTTGGTATTGCCTTGGGTTTAACCTGAAATGACAGAGGCTGAATTTCACAGTACACCACGCAGGAGGGGTGGGAACTTAGAATGGAAGTTGATTTAAAAAAAAATGTTATTTCTTGCACATGTCGGTTATAGATAATTGAATCATGTCCACATAGAACATCTGATAAGGATGCATGGGTGCCCCTGAGTAAGTATTGTCCTCAGAAAGGAACTCTACAGAAAAAGGCTCAAGTCGATGCCAAGGCTAACAGCCGAGCACAGTGGAGTTTATAACTTAAACGTCAGAGTCCTCTAAGTTAGGACAAACTCTCAATAGAAAAGGAATTAAAGAGCTTATCAACTGTAAATTTTCAAATCACTCACTCATACGTTGAACCAATATTTATTGAGCCTGGTGTGGCACGGTACACGCACGGGTTAATTTAAACTCATCTGGCTTATCGCCACAGGCCTTGGGCATGGCAGTGACATGAAATGTGGAAGAGATGACCGACGTCTGTGACCGTGGGTTTGTGGATTGTCTGGGGGCAGGATGAGGGATTCGTGCCTTTATAAAGGGATCCTAGGGAACTTCCTTACGCTTTTTCCACCATGTGAGGACGCAGGGAAAAGCTGCTGCCTATGAACAAGGAGGCTGCCCACACTGGACACCCTGACCCCAGACTTCCAGCCTCCATAACTGTGAGAGATAAATCTCTGGGGTTCATAAGCCAGGCAGGCTATGACGCTTCCTTATAGCAGCCGGCATGCAATGAGAGAGAGACCCGGCAGGGGACTGGCAGCTCCTGCAGCCTCAAGCGTGGGGAGGGTGGTGTTTCCAGACCATTGCAAGAACTCTTCAGTGATGATAAGCTATCTTGATATTGTTAGCATGAATCTCATAGGAATGTGTTCTGCTGTCTGCATTCATAATGGAAGGAAATTGTAAATTCAAGTTAGTGAAAGTTAGTGAAGATAAAGATGCACTTTTTTTTTTTTTTTTTTTTTTTTTTTTTTTTTTTTTTGAGACAGAGTCTCTCTCTGTCTCCCAGGCTGGAGTGCAGTGGCGCGATCTCGGCTCACTGCAAGCTCTGCCTCCCGGGTTCACTCCATTCTCCTGCCTCAGCCTCCTGAGTAGCTGGGACTACAGGCACCCACCACGACGCCTGGCTAATTTTTTGTGTTTTGTTTAGTAGAGATGGGGTTTCACCGTGTTAGCCAGGATAAAGACACACTTTTTATCCCATCTAACTGTGAGCAGCCCTGAATTCATGAATACCTTACGCTAGGGTTCCCCTGGGGTCATGGACTCTAGCTTGGAGACTTCAGTTCCAGATCCAGCAACCAGCTGGGGGACTGTCTGCACTAGTCTCACTGCAGTGTCCTGCTGGAAATTCACAGAGGACTCTGTCCCTGGAACCATCAGTCCACAGGCCTTCAATGGTGGTGGCCTCCATGCCCCGGCACCGCTGTCAGATGAGCCAAAGCCTGAGCCCTGTGTCTGCTGAAGTCCTGGATCCTCCTCCACTGTCCGCTCACCTCTGCCTCTGCCCTGTGCCCTGGCCTTTCCGACGCTTCTCTGGCCTTTCCATCACTTCTCTGTGGTGACAGACGCTGATTAGAAGAAGGGACAAAAGTTTTCGACGCTGGCTTTCCAAGCCCACCTGGGTTCTCCTTTCCAGAAGGGGATTTTGATCCGTTTGCCCTCTGGCCCCCTTCACTCCTGACACACCAGCCTAACTAGTGACCTGTCCCAGCAGTGCCAGCCTCGACCTGTCAGCAGAGACTGTGCCTCTGACACCTGTTTTCAAACAGCACATTGACACTGAGACAGCGGCCTTTATTTTAATGAACATTCCCCCAACACAGCTACAAGGACTGAAGTTTCTGACCTAGCTTTTTAATTTTCAAATTGTTTTCCAGTGTGAAGAGCTGATGGTGAGAATTCTCTTAGTAAATTCTCTGATCATTTTAAATACAGAACCTGAAAAAATACCCTTTAAGGGTATGATATTAGTTGGGGCTTTTCAGAGAAACAGAATTAATGGAACATGGGTGGGATGGATGGACAGACGATAGAGATATAGATGAACACATATAGAGAGAGATGGTAAGGAAGAGACAGACAATAGAGACACAGGTGAATACATACAGAGAAAGAGGATAAGGAATTGGCTCCTGTCGTCAATGAGGCTGACGAGTTCCGAGATCTGCAGGGAGAGTGGCAAGCTGGAGATCTGGGCGGGCTCATGGTGCAAGTCGCAGTTCAAAGGCAGGAGGAATTCCCTCTCTCTATGGAAGAGTCAGCTGTTTTGTTTCTTCCACTAGATAGGACGTGGCCCACCCACACTGGGGAAAGCATCTGCTTCACCTCGTCCACCCCTCCAAATGCTAACCTCATCCAGAGTCACCCTCTCAGACACACCCACAATAATGTTTAACCAGATATCTGGGCACTCCATGGCCCAGTCAAGTTGCCACATGAACTCCACCATCACACTATCATACAGAGAACTGTGCGGCATTATTCGGCCTCCACCACCAATGGCAAACATCACCTAACCATTCGCAAACTGAACGGGAAAGACAAGGCTGGAATATGACGTGTTGGGAGCAAGACGTCCACTCCCCTTTCATTTCCATGTGATGCTTCACAGGAAAAAGATCTTTTTAAGGTTAACTCTCTGGGATCTAGGAATACCTATCAGGAAGCAATTTTGTTTAAGTCCAAAAATATCCTATTAAATCATGTCAATGACTCTTGAAACCCATGAAGCAAAGGAAGAAAATTTCAAGTTATAAAAGTAGCAAATAAATTACAACCTTTTAAGGTAATACATAGTACCTGTAAGATTATTGTCTGGATAATCAACCAACACAAATGTATCTATAGGACTTCATGATCACATTTTAAATATTTCAAATGTGACTCCATATAGTCCATATTTTGCATCATTACAGGGAAAAAATAAATATACAGATGCTCCTCAACTTGCAATGGGATTATGTCCCCACAAACCCATCATACACTAAAAACATCGTAAGTGGGAAACACGTTTAATACATTTAACCCACCAAACATCGTAACTTAGCCCAGCCTACTCCTAATAAGCTCATAACACTGACACTGGCCTGCAGTTGGCCAACATCGTCTCACTTAATGCCTGTTTTATAATGTGTTGACTATCTCCTCGAATTCATGGAACACTGTACTGAAGGTGAAAAACAGAATGGTTGTGTGGGCACTCAGAGTATGGTTTCTACAGAATGTGGATGATTTTCACGCTATTATAAGGTTAAAAAATTGTAAGTCCAACCATCTTTAAGTCAAAGGTGGTCTGTACTGATGTTGAATGATTCTGTTTCATTCATTCATTCATCTGATTCATTCATTTGATTCATTCATTTGATTCATTCATTAGAGACATGGTCTTGCTGTCACCCAGGCTAGAGTGCTGTGGTGCCATCAGAGCTCTCTCTAACCTTGAATGCCTGGCCTTAAGTGACCCTTCCAAAGTGCTGGCACTACAGGCGTGAGCCACTGTGCCCAGCAAGTAATTTCATTTAAAAGCATCACTCTAGTTTTTTTTCCCTAAGAGAGCAAAAGTATTTTTTTCTCAATGTTTTCAGAATATTTTTAATTTTATGAATCTAAATAATTTGTTTTTAATGTAATGCTTTTTAGACGAACATCCTGTTAGAGTAAAAGCCATGGTGTCAATACATTTTAAATATATTCCTGAGACAATGTAATGGCATACAAATAATAAACATAATTCTCTGCCATGGCCTAGATATTTTGGCATCTAATGTTTTTATGTCTTTAAAAGATAAGTACATTTTAAATGTACATCGAGATTCTGTTTGTTTCAGTAAATGTGCTATGTGGCTGGAGCTCCTGGTCAGGGAGTGGGAAGGAGCAGAAGCCGTGCTTCGTGCAGACGCTGATCAGATCAGGAGCGCGTCTCTGCCGCTTCCTTGAAGAAATGATTCCTGAGCTGGGGCTTAAAGCACAGCTAGGACTCAGGCAGAAACTCAAGGAAGAAACTGCGGGCCGACGAGCAGCAGCCGTAGAGGCATGGAGGTGCGAGAATTTCAGGAAGACTGGCTGGGAGCGGGTGGGAGCGAGAGGGCAGCTGGGCCGTCTGGTGGGGCCGGGTCACTGGGGTTTGCAACCCCACAGAGGACGGCAGTCTTCACTCCTCTGGCTCTTGCACAGAGCCGAGACGAGGCTCTTGGTCGGGCGGGCTTAGGGTCAGGCTGCCTTTTTAGCAAGAATGTCCTGCAGGCAGGATGGAGAGTGGGTGGGAAGTCCTGCCAGGCCCCTGGAGGCTGAGGAGGCACCCAGGTGAGCACTTAAAATGGTTTCAGCCCCGAGGGGTGACACAGGTGAGGGCCGGCGGGGTCGAGGGTGACACAGGTGAGGACCGGCGGGGTCGAGGGTGACACAGGTGAGGACCGGCGGGTTCGAGGGTGACACAGGTGAGGGCCGGCGGGGTCGAGGGTGACACAGGTGAGGACCGGCGGGGTCGAGGGTGACACAGGTGAGGGCCGGCGGGGTCGAGGGTGACACAGGTGAGGGCCGGCGGGGTCGAGGGTGACACAGGTGAGGACCGGCGGGTTGGAGGGTGACACAGGTGAGGGCCGGCGGGGTCGAGGGTGACACAGGTGAGGGCCGGCGGGGTCGAGGGTGACACAGGTGAGGGCCGGCGGGGTCGAGGGTGACACAGGTGAGGACCGGCGGGTTGGAGGGTGACACAGGTGAGGGCCGGCGGGGTCGAGGGTGACACAGGTGAGGGCCGGCGGGGTCGAGGGTGACACAGGTGAGGACCGGCGGGTTGGAGGGTGACACAGGTGAGGACCGGCGGGGTCGAGGGTGACACAGGTGAGGGCCGGCGGGGTCGAGGGTGACACAGGTGAGGACCGGCGGGTTGGAGGGTGACACAGGTGAGGGCCGGCGGGGTCGAGGGTGACACAGGTGAGGACCGGCGGGTTCGAGGGTGACACAGGTGAGGACCGGCGGGTTCGAGGGTGACACAGGTGAGGACCGGCGGGTTCCAGGGTGACACAGGTGAGGGCCGGCGGGTTCCAGGGTGACACAGGTGAGGGCCGGCGGGGTCGAGGGTGACACAGGTGAGGGCCGGCGGGTTCCAGGGTGACACAGGTGAGGGCCGGCGGGTTCCAGGGTGACACAGGTGAGGGCCGGCGGGGTCGAGGGTGACACAGGTGAGGACCGGCGGGGTCGAGGGTGACACAGGTGAGGGCTGGCGGGTTCCAGGGTGACACAGGTGAGGGCCGGCGGGTTCCAGGGTGACACAGGTGAGGGCCGGCGGGGTCGAGGGTGACACAGGTGAGGGCCGGCGGGGTCGAGGGTGACACAGGTGAGGGCCGGCGGGTTGGAGGGTGACACAGGTGAGGGCCGGCGGGGTCGAGGGTGACACAGGTGAGGGCCGGCGGGGTCGAGGGTGACACAGGTGAGGACCGGCGGGTTCGAGGGTGACACAGGTGAGGGCCGGCGGGGTCGAGGGTGACACAGGTGAGGACCGGCGGGGTCGAGGGTGACACAGGTGAGGACCGGGGGGGTCGAGGGTGACACAGGTGAGGACCGGGGGGGTCGAGGGTGACACAGGTGAGGACCGGCGGGGTCGAGGGTGACACAGGTGAGGACCGGCGGGTTCGAGGGTGACACAGGTGAGGGCCGGCGGGGTCGAGGGTGACACAGGTGAGGGCTGGCGGGTTCGAGGGGTGACACAGGTGAGGGCCGGCGGGTTCGAGGGTGACACAGGTGAGGGCCGGCGGGTTCGAGGGTGACACAGGTGAGGGCCGGCGGGGTCGAGGGTGACACAGGTGAGGACCGGCGGGGTCGAGGGTGACACAGGTGAGGGCCGGCGGGGTCGAGGGTGACACAGGTGAGGACCGGGGGGGTCGAGGGTGACACAGGTGAGGACCGGCGGGGTCGAGGGTGACACAGGTGAGGGCCGGCGGGGTCGAGGGTGACACAGGTGAGGGCTGGCGGGTTCGAGGGTGACACAGGTGAGGACCGGGGGGGTCGAGGGTGACACAGGTGAGGACCGGGGGGGTCGAGGGTGACACAGGTGAGGACCGGCGGGGTCGAGGGTGACACAGGTGAGGGCCGGCGGGGTCGAGGGTGACACAGGTGAGGACCGGCGGGGTCGAGGGTGACACAGGTGAGGGCCGGCGGGGTCGAGGGTGACACAGGTGAGGGCCGGCGGGTTGGAGGGTGACACAGGTGAGGGCCGGCGGGGTCGAGGGTGACACAGGTGAGGGCCGGCGGGGTCGAGGGTGACACAGGTGAGGACCGGCGGGTTGGAGGGTGACACAGGTGGGGACCGGCGGGGTCGAGGGTGACACAGGTGAGGACCGGCAGGGTCGAGGGTGACACAGGTGAGGGCCGGCGGGTTCGAGGGTGACACAGGTGAGGGCCGGCGGGGTCGAGGGTGACACAGGTGGGGGCCGGCAGGGTCGAGGGTGACACAGGTGAGGACCAGCGGGGTCGAGGGTGACACAGGTGGGGACCGGCGGGGTCGAGGGTGACACAGGTGAGGACCGGCGGGGTCGAGGGTGACACAGGTGAGGGCCGGCGGGGTCGAGGGTGACACAGGTGAGGACCGGCGGGTTCGAGGGGTATGGGAGGCAGATTCAACAGTACTTCCATCTCCACAATATCTGAAAACCTGAAATGACTAATTTATTCACCTACTGACTTATGCAAGCATCAATTATTTATTTCAGCCATTACTTTTCTGGGTGATAAGATGTTAAATGACCAATTAGGAATCCTTTCTTACAGTAACTGTTACTCTTAGGACAACAATGTGGAAGTCCTCACTGGACTTCTGACTCCATCCCCATACACATGTCCCTCCAAATGTACCCCTACTTCAGGGAAGAGACAGAGCCATAGGACAGACGCAGATCGTTGTCAACTGCAAGAGCCCTGGACTATGAGTCAGGAACCCGTGGCTCTAGTTTCATTCGTATTATGATTAATTCGTCTAGACAAGTTCACTTGTTCAATGACAGCTTCATCTTGAAATCTCATTACCTGGGAGATCATCCCAGCATTCATGTTGTAATTCCAGTCTAAGTACGCAGACAGGAGGATTTTATAAGAGAAGGACACAAATTACTTGAAAACGGTGGTTTTGAAGGGAAGAGCAGGCTACACACTTGGGGAAAATCTTTATGAACACATTTGTTCTCACCCGAGCAATTCTGGCTTACATATGCAGTTCCTGATACAGATGCACGATTTATCTGCATCACGCTCGCCTTCTGCAAACCGGGAGGCACGTGATTCGTCTGTCATGTCTGTTCTAGACAGAGGTGTCAAGTATTTAACCTTTGGAAACCCTTACTGGGAGCTGGTTCCACTCCTTCTCTACAGCACAGACCAGGGGCTCCTGTCCTAACTCCGACACCCGACCCTTACCCGTGTCTCCCAGGGCTTCTCCTTCCCCACAGCCAGGAGAGCTTGGGTCTCCCTCCTCTCCGCAGAGACTGTGCTCTGCCACGGCTTCTCCCTACCGGTCCCCAGGGCCAACCGGCTTTCATCCACTCATCCTATAGGCTTAGCGCACAACGGATAAAGTACATAAGGCTTTGGCTGTAGTTCAAATAAATCAAAGACAATGAAAATCACAAAGATTAGTTTTCATCTTTTAGGTATCTGGACTGCATTTCGTCATTTACTGTAAAACACAAGTCTAGATGCGGGGGGGCGGGCCACGTGAGACTTCCACCTGTGCCTGTTTTTAGCGTTTGACGGTCTTGGTGCTGTGCTCAGGCCCGTAATGGGGTCTCATGCCCGAGTCCCGGGTACAAGCCTCTGAACCCGGGACACAGGGATGGCGTCTTCATGATGCACACCCTGGGCTTTAGTTTGCAACATGGAGCTTTGCTGAAGGATTCTTGGGGCTTCATGGAAGCCATGGTGGTTGGCAGTTTCTGAGACGTTCTAATGGGGATCATGACAATCAGAGACATCCTGAGCGGCTGGGAAGACGTTCAGATTCCCTGGGACATCTCGGACCGACTCCCGCACGATATCGTTGTTGCCAGGTTTCTGGCATTTGGACTACGCTGTGCTGCGGGGTTGGAGACGTGATGTCAGCAGCAGGTCTGACACTGAGGACCCATGGGACAGCACGCCTGGGCTTCCCTTCAGCAGCAGGTCTGACACTGAGGACCCACGGGGCAGCACACCTGGGCTTCCCAGGGTGAACTCTGAGCCTGCACACAGCGTCCATCAGCCCGAGCCAGATTTGGCTCCTCTTCATCAGGATCAACCTGGATTTACGACAAGGATTTGTGTAATACTCCTAGAAGAGAAATGGGTTCCCCTTGGGTCAGTGCCTGAAGGATGTCACCATTTATACTGGGCTCGGTTTCAGAGAAGACCTCATTCATTCATGCACTCTACCAGTATTTACCAAAACCTACTATGGTAAACAGAATAACGCCCCTCCAAAAATGTCCGCATCCTAGTCCCCAGAACCTGTGACCATGGTACTTTATGTGGCAAAAGGGACTTTGCAGATGTGAGTAAATTCAGGATTTTGAGATGGGGAGATGATCCTGGATCATCCCAGTGGGCCCAGTGTTATCCCCAGGGTCCTTACATGAGGAAGGGAGGGGGTCAGAGTCAGACGAGGAGGCTTGGACAATGGAGGCCCAGGCTGGAGCCATGTGGCCCGCAGCCAAGGACGGCAGAGAACTCCAGAAGCTTGAGGAGGCAAGGAGCGGGCTCCCCGGAAGCCTCCAGAACGACCTGATGTTTGACGCTAGCCCCACAGAACCTACTTTAGACTTCTAACCTCTGTGACTGTGAGACGGCACATCTGTGCTGCTGGAGACCATAGGGCTTGTGACCATTTTTACAGCTGCAAATATGAGACAAACACACCTGCTTTGTAGGGGTTCCTCAGTCCAGGCCCGTCTCTGGGAGGACCCACAGGGGTCTCCGCTGTGCTGAATTTGTGCAGGGCTTATGGACACCAGGAACCTGGGCTTACCCTGGGTCGGGGGTGGCACAGGACCCCTGCTGCTCCGCATAGAGGGGCTGCACAATTCAGGCCTCGCAGCAGCCTTCCAGGACTCTGCCCACACTGCCAAGACCCAGGGACAGCCTCTGTTCCCACTGTGGTGAACTGGGGCAGTGTTGAACTCCCCTCCGTGGCCCCTCCCCATCCCTCCTGGCTCCCACCTTTCCACTGCTCCTTCTGGAGGCCCCTTCTCCCCACGATGCTGACGCTGTGGGCTCTGGTCTCAGGCCTCTTCTCTTTCTATACCCTCCTGTTCGGGGGTGGCTCCATGGCTCTGGACCGCACCTCCAGCCTCGACCTCCACACCTCTTCTTGAAGTTGGGTTAGCAAGTCATGGGACCCTCAGCTCAACACATCTGAACTACTCGGCACCTGTGGGCTGGGCCCTGTTGGCTTCGGCTGCTGAGAGGCAGCAGCTGGAGAGGGCTGTTGGGCACTTCATCCCAATCCATCCCGGCTCCCCGGTTGTACTGGCCATCCCTTCTTTTACCTGCACTCCATGACCCAGCTCTCTGGGCTGCAACAGCATCACCTCCATCCTGTTGCTTCAGCAGGAGGAGACAACGGCACAGCCCCATCGCTGGGATCTGCATGCATCCGCTGCCTTCTCTGCGTCTGTCCCTAAATGGAGCCATCATTACGGCCTCTCCTCCTGGACTCCCCGGGAGACCCAGCTTCCTGGATGAAGTCCTGGAGACTCCCTGCCTGCATGCTGGCTTTCTGGGCCTCATCCACGGCTGGGGCAGGAGGCCTCTTAAAAGCCTCTTCACGGCTCCCCAGAGCTCAGCCGGGAGCCCCTGGAGCTCCCTCTGAAAGCCATTCCTGCACCTGTGCCTGGCACAGCCCGGCCTCATCCCTTCTCACCTGTGCTATTTGAGGAGCTGTCTTCTCCGTGCTCTTCTGCAGTACGGCCGGGCCGCGGGTCTTCATTATAACATGACTCTGGCCCCCGTGTTAGTCCTCCCGTGCTGCCGTAACAGAGCAACATTGATTCATGTCATGGAGGCTGTGAGTCCCAGACCAAGGCGCTGGGAAAACTGAGGCCTCTCCTGGGTGTGCACATGCCGTCTTCTCCCCGGGTCCTCACAAGCTGGTCCCTTCCTGCATGTCTGTGTCCTCATCTCCTCTTCTTATAAGGACACCGGACAGATTGGATTTGGGCCCCCTGTGACCTCATTCTACCTGGTCACCTCTTCGAAGGGTCTGTCTGAAACGCAGTCACATTCTCAGGTCCTGGGATTAGGGTTCAGCACCAAGTCCGGGGAACACAACTCAGCCACAGATCCCTCTCCTGCTTAGAGTCCTCCAGTGACCTCCGAATTCTGCAGGTGCAAGTACTACAGGTGCAGCATGGATGTCCCTCTCAGCTCATGTCCCCCATCCGTCCTGCCTTCCAGCCTCTCCCTCCAGGCCGGGTGCCCTGCGAATCCCAGAGCTGAGGTGCCCAGCGGTTTTCGGGACGTTTGTCATTACTTCAGGCTGGCACCTCCCTCTCCCTGGGTTTCTGCTGCCCAGCCCTGAAGCCTCTCAACTCTTCCTGCAGGCGGAAGGCCTCCCGGACGCTGCTGCAGTGCTGGCTTTCCCCTGGGTTTCCAGAGCCATCCACACACATCTCACAGCACCCAGCAGGTGTGCCATGGCTGACGAGCTCTTCAACTGCAACTGTTTCCAGACTTTAGGCCTTCGGGGCCAATGCTCAGGACTTCAGTGCTTCTGGATTCAGAGCACTTAGCGCAGCGGCCGGCACACAGCAAACACTTAATAAATGCTTACGACATAAATGTAATTTGATCTTTTCTTTAGAATCTTCAATTGGCATATAAGATGATTGTTCTTTATTCTAGTTCATTTTTTACATTTCTAAAACGGAAAGTGATCATGTGTGACTTTTTTCATTCATTTCCTCTGGTCATTTGTTTACTGAAACGCAGCTTTTTGTTGCCTTTGTGGGGTGTGCAGGCTGGTCCTCGCAGTGCATAGCTGTTGACTTATGGAAAGCTATGACCTGAGGCTATGCATCTGAGAGCCCCGCGCAACAGTTTCTGAGCCTATTTGTAAAGCCCTTGTGTCAGAGTGACAGATCCAAGGAGAAGACGTGTTTGGAGGAATCTTCTGGTTTTCAGATTTTGTGGCTCACAGAACCTCCAGCTGCTCATTTTTCCAGTAAAGAGCTAAATGTCCTTCCCAAAGCCTTTCCCCATATAGCGTGTTTTATTTTAACTCCGCAGGGAAGCTGGCTGCAGGGCCTCCTTGCCAGCCCTCTGGGAAAGGAGGATAGGAGGGTGAAGGGCCCGGTCAGAGGTATGTGGACCTGGAAAGGCTGCACACTGCACACCTGGTCCCCGAGCAAGCACGTCTGCAGAGACATCCTGCCTGCGGAGCCAGCCGGCGGCCAGACGGGTATTCCTCCTCTGGGGTGCACCTCCTCCCTCCAACCTGGGGTGCTGCGCACTCGGCAGCCATCGGCCGGGTTTACCAAGTGGTGCCTGTGTGTCCCAACACACCTGAATATGCCCTGCGGTATTTTGTGATTTCAAATCACCTTTACTCTATTGGCCAAAACGTTTTATGATCAGCCCAGCTGACATCCATTTTCAGTTTCTTTTCCTTTAAATTCTCTACTTTTTCAAATTCAAGTTTTAAAATATGTTCTCACCATCTTGTCAGGCAAACTTGCATATCAGTTACACAGTAACTCGACGGTACCAGGTCCTGGTATCAGAAGAAGGTTGAGGCAACAAGTTTAGTCCACGATGAAAATTTCCCCAGGCTCACACGCCTGAAAATCCACTCTTTGTGACAAGATAAAATTAAGTAAAACACTGTCTTTTATTGTAAAAGACTAAAAATGGGAGAATCAAATACATAGTCATATTTATTCAAACTGAGGAAGGTCAGCAAAGAAGTAAAATTTTAAAAAAGCAACAAAAATCATAGTATTGAAAAACAGTTATTCTACCTCTTATATTCAAGGTACTGAAATATAGAGATAATTTTTCTCCTCTATGTTGGCAAGTATGTATCTTGGAAATGGAATTACTATGTACCCTTGAGAGACAAGTTGCTATAGAAATATAAATAATAAAATAAGTCTGTGGCTGTTTCCTCTGCCATGCTTTCTATAGGTTTTCCCTTTGTTTTAATGACTTCTAGAATCAGTTGTATCATATGTTGAGAAAATTTCCGGCCCAGAGAAAAATCATTATAATCTAATTTTACACCATTTTCCTTCACAATATCAATAATATTCCCTCCCTAGAAAAATCGGGTGAGATGCATATTTGGACAAGTAAAGCAATCCGATAAATAATTTCCCAGATGAGAAAGAAACCATGTGTGAAATGAGTTAGATGTTTTCAAAACCACTTCATTTAAGGGGAGGACACTAATCAATATGCAGTGTTTTTCATAATGAGAGAAACGGTGGGACGAAGGAACGTTTATATGCGTGGCTCACACCGCCTCACAGGGTATTCTGTTCTTACTGGAGTTCCCTGGTGATTAGATTAAAAGGGTCTGTCTCAGCTCGATCACCAGCTGCCTTTAAAGGTTGAGTGAAAAAGCAGGTGAACTGGGGTGTCCCCAAACCAACAGACGTCCTCTGGGAACCTCAACCTGTCCATGTTTAAAACAGATGGTCTAAGATGTATTTTTAAGTTCTCAATACATCTTTCATGCATATATTCAATATTTATTATTATATGAATATTATACATTTGTAGTTATACAAGGTGAAATAATCTAATAATAACATCAACTTTTACCTTTTGAGCCTGCATAAAGTAATGTGTTTAAATAAATCTCGTTCTTCAAGGTACTCACTTTGGAATGTTTTCAAAAATAACTCTTTGGAATTATTTTCATGAGCTAGTTTTAGACAGAAAATCATAAAAGAAAATCAATCTGTCAAAATAACCTCTCTCCCCATACACCACACACGCACACATACACACATGTATACATGGATCAGTAAATGACAGCTATTGAACGTAGTGCTAGGATATCAATTTCCAAGTATTTAAATACAAAAGTCAGAAGTATTTAAGTAGAAAATTTTTGAAATCCGCCTGACTCACGGACAGGAAACTTTGGATGAAATTTGAAGTTCAGCTATCACAATTATCGAGGCACCTACATCCCGTACATGTTGATAGTTTTCCTCCATAATTTTGTTTTCCCAGACTGGGAGTTTTCATTTCTTTGGTATTTTTCCATAATCTTGCTAAATAGACTATATTGCATGTCATCTAAATTTTATTTAGTAAATAAAGATTTAAATAACTAATATACAATACTTAGAGTAAAATGGGAAACAGCAGAGGTTAATGATTAATCTGTACTTTTATTTCTTCACAAGGGTAACTTGTAATCCTACAGTGCTAAGTATTTCCCCTAGTGCTTTTCATTTCTTTTCTCATTTGATTCTCAGATGTCACATAACTTGGACAGTCCCCTGCATCACCTAGAGGAAATTCTGACTCAAAACTGGGCCAAGATCCGGTAGAAACTCTGAATGGAATCTTTTTTTTGTAATTTATTTGGTAGGTGTATTTTTGGAATACAAAATATACATGGTAAACATTGTATATATATAAATTAAAATTTTAGTCTGAGCTCAGAACTGGTTCTTATCTCTGTGAAATCTGTTTTATTTTTATTCTCTCTATAATGACAGTCCTAAAAACAATAAAGTCCTTTTCTACGAGGTAATGATTGTTTCAAAGCATTTCTGAAGACTATGAAAGTTCTTAATTGTTTACTTGCTCCTAAGAGACAGTAAACAAATACTGCTGAAAGTATGAGTAATGATCTCTTGGACCGCTGTTTTTCAATGCAATCATTGTAAATCTCATTACTTCCCTGATTCTAATTTGTTCAATGTTCACATCAGGACAGAGCATGAGAACTGGCCCAGGACTTCACCAAGGGGCAGGAGTGAGCAGAACCGGCCAAACCAGAGGAAAACAGGAGGCTACGCAGGGTGCCCACAGCTGCCCGGTGGCTGCACCTGGGGGATGTGTTGTCAGCCTGTGGATTTCCCTTGGGTGGGTCCTGGGCACCACCCTCCCTCGTACAGAAAGCCCTGCTGGGAGCCAGAGAGCCAGGATCTGTTGCCTTTCTCCCGAAGCCCCCGGCTCAGTGGTGCCAGCATTGAAGAAATATCTACCACATAAAAAGCACACCGAGGATCCACAGCTTTCTTTGAAAAATAATCTTTAAATTTATGCAAATAAATTATCTATGGCTACAGCTTCTCTTGAATACCGCAGAAACCAAGAGTCAGAAACGTTAACAAGCCTAAGTTCTTGCAGCGAGGACATGATGGAACACGGTTTGAACACAGTTCCTTCCCTTCCATCCACAGACTCTACTATGAAATACTTTCTACACAAAGTGCAATGATAGTGCCGACTGCAATTTCTAATTCTGCAAAGTGCAATCTCCTGGATTTCTTGTTCACTTTAGCATTGAAACAAACCAAGACCTATTCACAGGTATGATGACACACTCCTGCCTGAATTTCTCTTTGCTTCTCTCCTGTTATGTGTCTGCTGTTCCTAATGCTATTCATCATGAACATAGCTTTGTTCTATTTCCCCTCGGAGCTGTCCTTTAAATTTCTAAGATACAGCTGCAGCATTCCAAGCCCTCTGGTATTCAGAACACCTCAGTCCCCAACACTATGTTTTTTTATAGCTCCTTTCCTTAACCTCTATGTGCGGCGCCTCGAGCTTTTATTGCTTGCTGTGTTTTATGGGTTTCTCTAGGCCATGTGTATTCATCGTGTTATAGAAATAATAACATATTAGGCAGTAAAATATTAGGCAGTGATATTTAGGTTGGGCGGTAAATTTTCAAAGGGGTGGGTATGGTTTTCCATGAGAACTAAAGGAAATTGCGAGACTGAGTCTTCGGAGCTCTAAGATAGTTAGTGCATCTGCATTAATGATGGACCTGCTTAGCGGCGGTGAGTCATGTTTACAGATCTGCTTACTGAGCAAGAGACCGGCTGGACGTCACTACAGGGCAGCCTGAGAGTCACTGCGCATCAGCAGAAATCTCACTGCAATCCATTAAACTTTGGTATTTAAAACTTAATCACCTTCCAAATGCTAGCACTTCCATTTCTTTCTCCTCTCTAAAACTTTACACAAGTTACACTTGATTATTTTAAGGAAACTTGCTAATGAGTAGATTTCATTCTAAGAAAAAGAAAGGTTATCTACAAGAGACAAAACACCCTTGCGAATGTGACAGTGTAACACATGCAATTAGGAAACGTTACTAGATGTCAGGAGAGTACATTGTACTGTGGTGCTGTGTGCTGCTCGCTCCTTCTAGGATGAAGACAGGTATGCCTCTAGAGTCCCCGCTGGAAGGCTGAAAATGGCGTCCCCTTACCTGCTGTTGACCTGATGGTGGAGGTGATGTCAGAGGGTGTCATCATGGGAATACATTCGTCATCTTGGGAGTAGCCGGCTTGAATGGCTCGAAGGTAGCTGTGACTCCTTGTTCGGAAACATCCCGGGAGGTCGAGGGCATCCATGGCCTGAGATTCAACTTCACTGAAGACGGACTCGCACACGGACTCGAATTGCCCATTGATCTCCGCCTCGCTCACCTGCAATCATCAACAGCACACGTGATGCCCCGGCCCTCCAGGGTCACCATCACGTTACAGAAAAGCCAGGAGAGCGCGCTCATTCCCAGGCTGCCTTTCACTGCCTCATAGTTCAGCACAGTTAACCTGAAGTCAGCATGGGCATCGGCTGAGCTTGGGAAATACAGCATTGGGTTTTCCCTTACGAAACACTTAGGCAAACAGCCAATTCCAAGTGTTGATGAAATTCTGGGGGACCGCAAGGCAAACCTTCAAGGTAAGGCTGACAGTTATTACAAAGTGTAAGAGAGATAGAACTTTTAAAAGATTAGCAAAGTACCTGGTACAAAGGAAGGGTTCAGAATCCATTTCTTCCTTCCCTTTCCCACATGACGGCCCCCCCTTTCCAAGCTACTAATGGCACGATGGCTCCAGGCACTGAGGCCGTATAAGGGAAAGCACATTCAGTGCATACACTACTCAGTTCTTTTTCAGAATATGGAGTCTGCTTCTACCCATTGCCATGGCAACTCATCACAAATTTGGCTTCTAAACTCATCTCCTTATCCCCATTACGGCAGCATATATCTGAGTCCAGATGAGAAAGAAATGGCTGTACTGGTGTTTTCGTCCACATGAAATGTGCTACTTTACCTAAATTCCAGGCTTTTTTTATTCTTCCTTAGCTTAGGATATTAGTATACTCACTTCATTTTCCCCTCCCTCCCATCCTCCCTCCCTTCCATCCTTCCTCCCCTGTCTCTCTTTCTCCCCTCACCCCCTCCCATTCAGATTATTTCTCTTCTTGTTTCTCCTGGGGATGTGTGACAGCTCAAAGCACCAACAGCTTTCTGAACCCCCTGGATTATGTTGGCAGATACATTGTAAAAATACACTGTTTTAAACACCAGATTAGTTCTTTTCCTTTAGTTGTCAGCAGAGTAAAAGGCAAGGTCAAAGAATCAGGTTCTCCCTCTAGCAGTTGTGTTGTTGACACAACACGACACTGGTTGCCTGTCTCCAAGTTCAGACCTGTGGACTTCTCTGGTTTCACCTGAGGTGACCTACGTGCTGGAAGGACGGCCTCTTTCCTCGTGAGCCTAACTCAGCATGGACCCTGGAGAGGCAGGGGGTGAGCAAAGGGCAGCAAAGCCTGAAGCCACCCTGCAGGGAAGACAGACCCATGCCAGGCTGCAGAAAGAGTTGGCACAATGCCGGCGGGGTGGCCTTTTTCAGAAAGGTCTGAGGATTCCTGACACTGGACAGAGACAGACAAACCCAGGCAGGCACAACCAGGACACAGCCGGCAGGATGGCCTCAGGAACCCAGCAAAGGGCTCAGAAGCATGCACACTGGCTTGGAAACAGGATGTTTTTCTGGACCATAAATTTCTTCCAATGTAAGTTTTCACTTATGTAGAATTTTATGGAAAAGTCTTAGATTGTGTCATTCCTGTCAAAGATGTATCGTAGACAGCGTGAGAAGGTCAGAACCTGTGTGAGGCCCTAGTACACCTCAGTGGACACCCTTCTGTAAGCCCGACCCAGGGCCCAGCTGCCCTCGCTCCTAAAGAAGAGACACCATTAACCTGGTATGTGCATTTCACAAACAGAAGCTGGCATCTCAGCAAGGACCCTCGGCTATGCTTCCAGCTACAAGCCTTTCAGTGAGGTTCTAGACATGAAGGTGACTCCTCCTCCCCAAAACAAATAAAAAGTGGTTGAGCAGCATCTCAAGATGGTCCAGCAGGGAATTAAAATGATCTGTTCACCCGGACCTCCCGCCCAGACCCTTGGGGCACCCGGACCTCCCGCCCAGACCCTCGGGACACCCGGACCTCCCGCCGAGACCCTCGGGACACCCGGACCTCCCGCCGAGACCCTCGGGACACTGGGACCTCCCGCCGAGACCCTCGGGACACCCGGACCTCCCGCCCAGACCCTCGGGACACCCGGACCTCCCGCCGAGACCCTCGGGACATGAGCTGCAGGAAACCCAAGCAGAGTGCAGCTACTGAGGTTCCAAGGAGGAAACGGCATGGACATAAGCACCTCTCACAAGACTTCAGTTAGATTTTTAATTCCCTTCCTGTGCTTGAGAAAAAATTGAATGTTAAACATGAAGGGCAAACTTTTTTTTTTTTTTCGAGATGGAGTCTCGCTCTGTCGCCCAGGCTGGAGTGCAGTGGCGTGATCTCGGCTCACTGCAAGCTCCACCTCCCGGATTCACGCCATTCTCCTGCCTCGGCCTCCCGAGTAGCTGGGACCACAGGTGCCCGCTACCATGCCCAGCTAATTTTTTGTATTTTTAGTAGAGACGAGGTTTCACCATGTTAGCCAGGATGGTCTCGATCTCCTGACCTCGTGATCCACCCACCTCGGCCTCCCAAAGTGCTGGGATTACAGGCGTGAGCCACCGCGACTGGCCAAGGGCAAACTTTCAACAAACTTTGGTTTGTCACCAAATTCACATCTCTCCAGAGCCCCTAAGTGTTAGTAATTCCAGATGTCCCACCCTCAACCATGGGCACTGTCCCCTTCCTTCCAGAATTGTCAGGTCTCGTGGCCTAGGGCTGGACAATCAATTAGTGGAAGTTTGTTTCTGGGTGTGACACAGTCTTCTCACCTACTACGTTTGTTTCTGGGTGTGATACAGTCTCACTTACTACCAGCATTCCAGGATTATTTTGAATAACACTTTTTTTTTTCCTGAGAATTCAAAACTGAGTTCAATTTAAAGTAATGCCATAGAACTCTGCATAGGAATGACTTAGAATTCTAAATTTCAAGGTCGTTAAATAAACCCCCAAGCACCCAACTTGTCTGCTTAACCATTGTTTCCAATGATGAATCCTTTCAGATAGACAAAGATGTGAGAAAATGTTATTTTCACTGACTTATTTTGGTAGATACCATCTTGGGTTCATCAAAAGCAAGATGACGAGAGAACTAGTATATTTAGCTTACATTTACCCCCAAACAGGACGACGAGTCGCAAAGAGCCTCTGAATGTTTCATAAGAGCATTTAAAGAGGTGTGAGATCCATTTAATTGAAAGTTGTTTGTGGAAAAGTATTAGAGATGAACGTTCACACCTCGGATGAGATAACTTTGCACTTCTGTTTAAACCTTTTGTTGGGTTACATCGGATTTTTAAAGCTGTATTTTGGTAAACTAGGTTATATCCACTGAAAGGGAAGGTGATAGCTTTAAAAGAAGAAAGTCTGCTGTATCCTCATCTCTGTGTATGGAGCAAGTTGTTAAAATGTATCACTGACTTTCAGTTACTCTGTTTAGTTAATTAGTGTCTCCCCATATCATCTTGGACTTTATGCTGAAATAGAATGTTTCCTCAGTTATTAAAATAATTACAATTATCTAGTTGGGGAGGATCAGTTGATGTTATTGTTTGCAGGGGGCTGGCTGGGAGCAGGGGGCTGGAGGACCCACCATTCCCATTTGCCCAGGACTTGAGCGCAGGGCTAGGGACGGTCTTTCCTTGTCATTGGGAAAAAGAGTCAATGCAATTCCTGATGCAGATGAGAACTTAATTCCATTTCTGGAAGGAAAGAAGTAACCGAGTAGATAAAAGAGGTGGTATCCTTCTTGAGTTGTGCAATAGGAAAAGCCTCAATAGTTCAGTGGAAAAAGTCCTGGGTACAACCTTCCGATGAGGAAAAAACCTGCAAAATGAATAGACTCTACCTCATGAGGAATTTAAAGTCTGCGGCAAAAGAAAGACTTGTGCTTACTGAGCCCCAGGCAAGCTACCAAGAGCTCACAGCATGATCTGCAGCCAGGAGGGCTTTAGTGCCCAGAATTATATAGTATTACTTATTGTTATCATGGTAATAATAAGGGCTATCATTTTTGAGTGCTCAGTATATGCTGGACTCTTTGCCTAATAGCATCTAAAATTGACTGTGTACTTCCATTGTCACGCCGATAACTGCATAATGGGAGGGCACAGAAAGCCCAGGCCTTGGCCCAGAAGCCCAGAATAATCCCTACTCCACAGTAAGTCAGAGAGAATGTGAGGTCGGCTCAGGCTCTTAATCCCTGCGCTCAGGCTCTTAATCCCTGCTCCACAGTAAGTCAGAGAGAATGTGAGGTCAGCTCAGGCTCTTAATTCCTGCTCCACAGTAAGTCAGAGAGAATGTGAGGTCAGCTCAGGCTCTTAATTCCTGCTCCACAGTAAGTCAGACAGAATGTGAGGTCGGCTCAAGCTCTTAATTCCTGCTCCACAGTAAGTCAGAGAGAATGTGAGGTCGGCTCAAGCTCTTAATCCCTGCTCCACAGTAAGTCAGACAGAATGTGAGGTCAGCTCAGGCTCTTAATTCCTGCTCCACAGTAAGTCAGAGAGAATGTGAGGTCAGCTCAGGCTCTTAATTCCTGCTCCACAGTAAGTCAGACAGAATGTGAGGTCGGCTCAAGCTCTTAATTCCTGCTCCACAGTAAGTCAGAGAGAATGTGAGGTTGGCTCAAGCTCTTAATCCCTGCTCCACAGTAAGTCAGAGAGAATGTGAGCTCGGCTCAAGCTCTTAATTCCTGCTCCACAGTAAGTCAGAGAGAATGTGAGGTCAGCTCAGGCTCTTAATCCCTGCTCCACAGTAAGTCAGAAAGAATGTGAGGTCAGCTCAGGCTCTTAATTCCTGCTCCACAGTAAGTCAGAGAGAATGTGAGGTCAGCTCAGGCTCTTAATTCCTGCTCCACAGTAAGTCAGACAGAATGTGAGGTCGGCTCAAGCTCTTAATTCCTGCTCCACAGTAAGTCAGAGAGAATGTGAGGTTGGCTCAAGCTCTTAATCCCTGCTCCACAGTAAGTCAGACAGAATGTGAGGTCGGCTCAAGCTCTTAATCCCTGCTCCACAGTAAGTCAGAGAGAATGTGAGGTCAGCTCAGGCTCTTAATCCCTGCTCCACAGTAAGTCAGAAAGAATGTGAGGTCGGCTCAAGCTCTTAATTCCTGCTCCACAGTAAGTCAGACAGAATGTGAGGTCGGCTCAGGCTCTTAATCCCTGCTCCACAGTAAGTCAGAGAGAATGTGAGGTCGGCTCAGGCTCTTAATCCCTGCTCCACAGTAAGTCAGAGAGAATGTGAGGTCGGCTCAAGATCTTAATCCCTACTCCACAGTAAGTCAGAGAGAATGTGAGGTCGGCTCAGGCTCTTAATCCCTACTCCACACTAAGAGAAAATGTTTGTTAGGTATACAAACTCAAGGTCAGCTCAAGCACTGTTTTCAAAGGCATTTAAGTGAGTAAGCAACGTGCTTAATTAAAATGATAAACTTTCGATTCTTCTTTGCCATGTAATATAGGATGATTAGACTGAAGGACACTTGCCGATTTTTTCACTGTGCGTTCTCAGGCCCGTCCACCACAGGTGGGGAGCAGGGGGGCCTCCCTTTCACAGCCCCCGTGTCTCAGGCACCTGATTTTAATACCACCCCTCCCGTGGTGCCCAGGGACCCTTCTCCTGGCCACTGTGCCTGTCCCGAAATCAGTCCTGCCCTGGGAGTGGGGCCGACCGGCAGGACTCTGTGAGCGACACCAGGCTATCCTCTCACAGGACTTTCTGAGGCACAATTCAGAGGACAGAGCTGAGAGCCATGCTGCCAGAGCCTTTCCCTGGCCCCCTTTTACTGGAAAAATAGCCTGGGAAGAAGGAAGACAGCCTGTGCTTTATCAACAAGAGAGGCCAGGATGACCACCCTTTTGGTCATTGCTTCCTCAGAAAAAAATCAACGCAAAAATGATATGGAGTTATACACGTCAAAAATATAACAGTAAGTCCACGAGTCTAATCAGCCAGAGCTAATTCCAGGGGAACCCCCTTTGGTGTAGCCTTGCCCAAGTGCTGCTGACCAGGAGGGCAGCGCCATCGCCACCTATGCGGCCGGGGCCTCCGTGCCAGCCTGGCTGGGGAGACTGGACCCCAGGGAGAAAGGGCGAAGGGACCCTGACCTGGCTCACGCAGCTGGCCTGGCTCAGGGTGCTGACGGCCCTCATGTAGCTCTGGTTCCGGGAGCGGAATTTCGGGGAGTTGTAGTTCGCAGCGGGGTCCAGGCTGTGTCCCACAGGCACATCGCTTGCAGCTTGCAGGTAGGTCTGGCTACAGGAAAGAAGAAAGGAGAAAAGGCATTCTGTGAGCACCCGCTGCAGGGCAGAGGTGGGAATGACCATCCAACCCACACCCAGAGGCTGAGCACCCACCACAGGGCAGAGGTGGGAACGACCGTCCAACCCACACCCAGAGGCTGAGCACCTGCTGCAGGGTAGAGATGGGAACAGCCGTCCAACCCACACCCAGAGGCTGAGCACCTGCTGCAGGGTAGAGATGGGAACGACCGTCCAACCCACACCCAGAGGCTGAGCACCCACCACAGGGTACAGATGGGAACAGCCGTCCAACCCACACCCAGAGGGTGAGCACCCGCTGCAGGGTAGAGATGGGAACAGCCGTCCAACCCACACCCAGAGGCTGAGCACCTGCTGCAGGGTAGAGATGGGAACAGCCGTCCAACCCACACCCAGAGGCTGAGCACCCACCACAGGGCAGAGATGGGAACAGCCGTCCAACCCACACCCAGAGGGTGAGCACCCGCTGCAGGGTAGAGATGGGAACAGCCGTCCAACCCACACCCAGAGGCTGAGCACCCGCCACAGGGTAGAGATGGGAACAGCCGTCCAACCCACACCCAGAGGCTGAGCACCCGCCACAGGGCAGAGGTGGGAACAGCCGTCCAACCCACACCCAGAGGCTGAGCACCCGCCACAGGCCAGAGATGGGAAAGCCATCCAACCCACACCCAGAGGCTGAGCACCCGCCACAGGGTAGAGATGGGAACAGCCGTCCAACCCACACCCAGAGGCTGAGCACCCGCCACAGGCCAGAGATGGGAACGACCGTCCAATCCACACCCAGAGGCTAGCATCACATTTCCAACTGAATGTCTGTGTCTTGATGAGTAACTTTGCCATATGCAAATATTCTGAGATTCATATTTATGAATGTGAATTTCATCAAAAGTAATAGGGGAGGCTATTTACAAAATTGCCTTTGAAACCTGAGATTTTATGGCCAGGTAGTGAAATTTGGGTCATTCCATATTTTTAAAAAAGTGCTGTAAGCACTAGTAACTCACACAGCATAATAGCAAACTCAGCTCCTGAATTTAAGCCAAAAAACTGAGAGTCTCATAAAAATTATTGGCTCTCTGGCAACTTTACATATTTAAAAAATAACAGAAAAAATACAAGGCTCACTTTCAGTTTTAACTTATGCAAAGTTGTCCAGGTTATGCAATATCAGCAAATATAATAGGAGGAGTAGGCTAAATGAAAACCATTTTATAAGCACAACGGTCGTTTTCTTCCAAACTCCCTTAAAATAAATCAATGTTCTCTGGTCTTCCTTCTCGCCGTTTTGTGAAATGTTAAAAGCATGGAAGAACCCTGTGAGTGTTTGGCCGATGAAAGGTCTGGCTTAGCTTAAACTTCTGGCTAACTGGACCACTTTCCAGTTTTATTGACAATCTTTCCACAGTGCAGTAAAATTCATTTTATTTTATCAAAAGCTGTAGAAATGTGGACAGAAATGATTAATTATTCTTCTTGCCTGTTTTGGATGATAATAGGAACATTAAATATCAGTGCACAAGCAGGTACATAAAAATGTCTATAGATGTTAGGTGGACGATTCTGACTCCAGAGTTGGGCATTAAAGCACACACTTTCTTTTCAAAGTAAACCCTTGGTGTGGTTTTTCTCTGATTTACTTCAGTCTTTAAAAATGGAATATCAGAGAAAAAAAACTGGACTCAATGAATTCTTATTAAGTGAAGCTTATTCATTATAGATTTAAAGTCATTCTTTCTGCTAAATATTTTTGCTTTAAAAGAAAATGTATAACATATAGCAGCTCCTACCTACCTTCCCCTCCCTGACTTAGACCAAAAAAAGGAAAGAGAGAGAGAGAGAGACAGAGAGAGAGAGAGAGAGAGAGAAAGCAAAGGGAGGAAATTAGTTTTGAGCTGATTCTAATTTTACTGGGTATGAAGCACACAGTCTTCACATCGATGCCCGCCGACTCCCGCTGCACCTGGGCAGTGGGACGGGCAGCTCTGCTGCAGATGTGGGGACCGGCACCAGCACCAGCAGGGGCCCTGTCCCCTCCCCTCCTCTGTGGATCCCCCAGGTCGACTGCCAGTGAACAGAAGGCGAGCTAACACGGATCCCTGACCTTGGCTGTCACCACCCTGAAAGCATGGGTTCAACAGAGCGGCAAAATGTCAACAGCATCCTGAGACACGGTCACAAGTTTCAGGCTCAGGTTGATGGATGCGTGGACTCATTCTGTAAGAGACCACTGCTGGCTTCCTTTGAATGTGTCCACGTGCCTGTGCGTGTTTAATACAGAGTCATGTGCAGCGGACGAAGCCCCGAGCTATGGAGCCCGAGCAGTGTGGCCTCAGGTGGATGCCAAGAGCCCTGACTGAGGCTCTTAACTTGACTCACCTTTGTCTTTGCAGAAATGTAAACTTCCCGCACTTCTGCTCTCCTTCCATGCTTCCTTGAGATTGCTGGTTTCATACCCTCCATTTCTACCAATCGGCACTTTCTACCAATTACCAATTTTCTTCCAATACAACAGCCGTTCCTTCTGATTAACACCACCGTTTTGCATTTTAACATTCTCAAATTGAAGCTGCCTTCTAGACTGAGAAAACATAAAAGAAGGATTCTCGTCCTCTGGATCTGGTGTCCACAGTTTCTAACCAGTGCCTGCTACGTGAACGAAGGGATCACCTCTGAGCCATGGCTCATCACTCTGGCAGTGGCTGCTGGACAGCCCTCACAGGTGGATCCATGTATTTTGTGAGTCTATGTTTCAAATACATATTCTCTCAATGATTCTCTTTATTTCAAAATGGAGTGTGACACATAAATGTTGCCGCTGAAGAAAGCTAATAATTTTTTTTAAAACATAGACTCACAATAGCTAACATTTTCTATGCAAGATTACGCCAGAAATGCTAATAAGTGTTTTGCATTGTCCTAACACATTTAATGTTTACATTAGTCCTATAAACCAGGCCTCTTCCCAACCTTCCTCCTATGAATGCAGCATCAGACGCACATTGCTGCAAGGTCATTGTGCACTGGTGCCAGGTCATCACACACTGGTGTCAGGTCATCACACACTGGTGCCAGGTCATGGCACACTGGGGCCACGTCATCGCACACTGGTGCCAGGTCATCACACACTGGTGTCAGGTCATCACGCACTGGTGCCAGGTTATCACGCACTGGTGTCAGGTCATGACGCACTGGTGTCAGGTCATCACGCACTGGTGCCAGGTCATCGTGCACTGGTGTCAGGTCATTGCGCGCTGGTGTCAGGTCATGATGCACTGGTGTCAGGTCATCAAGCACTGGTGCCAGGTCATCACACACTGGTGTCAGGTCATCACGCACTGGTTCCAGGTCATCACGCACAGGTCTTCACACACTGGTGCCAGGTCATCACACACTGGTGCCAGGTCATGCACTCAGGCTTGGGCGGGATGGGGGCAGCACTCCCTTCTGAGTCCAGGTGGCCTGGCTCTGGAATTCATGCTTTAAAATCCCAAGGTCACTGGGATTTTAAGCACTCAAGATGCTGAGTCATAGGACCACAGAGCCAAAGATCCCATCCTCTGATACCACAGACTTTTTAAATAGTTAAAAAATAACAAATAAAACCTCAGCCTCATTTGGCTTAAGAGGCTTTTTAAAAAATATTATAATGGCTTAGCATTTTATCATATAGAGTCCCAGAAGGCCAGGTTCCTCACAGTCACAGATCAAAACTCAAGAACTAGGACTAGGGGGAGCCAATCAAGATGGGGGGATGCACCCTCCGGTGGCCCCGCCAGGTGACACAGGGTGAAGTCCCCAGCACGGCTCACTCCACAAAATCCACCTGACTCTTCCCCCTGAAAATCCCCCTCCTACATCCCGGGGCATTTTGAAGTTGACTTTCAGCCCCTTTGGTTATCTCTCTAAGTGGTAATTCCTGCGGCATCCCAGGTGTCAGAAATGGAAACATATTTTGCTATATGGACTTAGTAGCTCAGAATTTTTTTTTAAATAGTGAAAAGTTTTCTAGAATAACACAGAAATGTTTTTGTTCTAGTTTTGCCTTTCAGATGTTGCTCCCCTTAGATTGTCATCCACAAACAGGCGAGACGGAAAGCTGTGCAAGTGAATCCATAACCCCAAGACAGAACTGCAGGATTCCTGGTGTTCAACCTTGTTCTCGCCCTTTGCGAATGGTTCCAGAGCTGCTTGCTGAATCCTGGGCTCAGAACCTCCTCTGTGACTTAGGTCATTATGAGAACGAATATACATAACAAAGGGTACCCCTGAAAGGGCCTCTGACCCCAGCTGTTTAGATCCATCTAAACATGCTTGAAAATACACAACGTAAACCATCTCCCTTGTTACCTTGGAAAGCAGTAAGGATTCTATGCAGGTTGTGCTAAGGAGATATTTAAGAAAATTTTTTTCCATACTAAATGTGTTCATTTGAAATACAGAGATCATCTTCTCATTTCTATAAATGGGATCTGACAGGAGAAGCTCCCAAATATAAGAAGTGTTTCTTCCACTGCATTCAATGGAAAATGGAGCACGCTAAACAGTGCTAGTGAAACAGACATTCGTGTGCACACGCGTGCGTGTGCTGTGCGTGCACATGTGTGTATTATTCCACCTGCAAAATGGAAATTCTTAGAACACCTTTCAGTATACATTTCAAATAATATCACAATTAATGACTGGATTTCAGAAAATGGCTTCTTTCCAGATCATTTCCACATTCAGGGTAAAAAGTGTTCTTGAGCTTTCTGTGCCCTTGCAGGAGATGAAGGCATGCTTGTTCCCTAACAGCACATTTTTGAGGGAAATCCACATTTGCATCTCACTGTTGGCACCCACATCTGGGATGCCCCCACAGCTGCCCCGACAACCCATCTCTGGGCTCTTGACTGCAGAGGCTCGGAAACGCCATACCCTTGACCGCAGAGGCTCGGAAACGCCATACCCTTGACCGCAGAGGCTCGGAAATGCGATACCCTTGACCGCAGAGGCTCGGAAATGCCATACCCTTGCTTGGCTGCCCTCCTGGTGCTGACGGTGCCTCCGAGATGTGACCCCGCTCCAGCTGGTGAGTCTATGGAGCACCTGCTCAGTGGCTTCTGAGCAGAGTCCGGCCTTCTCCATACTGATGACTGCTCTTCCTGGAGCCCGTGGCAGGTGGGGCTGCAATGGCTGACCCACGGCCAGCTGAGAGTGAGAGCCAGCATGCTCAGATGCATGACGCTGGCTTGGGTCCCAACGGGGCTGACCCCAACCCGGTGTGGACAACCTCTTCTGGCTCTCCTCTGCCCTGGTCCCAGTGCAGCTAACAGTGACCCAGCCATGACAACCTCCTTTGCCCTGGTCCTCGTGTAGCTGACCCCAACCCAGTGTGGACAACCTCCTCTGGCTCTCCTCTGCCCTGGTCCCAGTGCAGCTGACCCTGACCCAGCCGGACCAACCACCTCCGGCTCTCGTCCACTTGGCTCTACCCGTCCTTTGCTATAACCAGGACTGGGCAGGTTTGAAGGATGTGCCACCAAAGGCTTCCCAAACAGAACACGAGGAGAAGGCATCTTAATAAGGCACCTCCCACGTAAGTCTGGGTGCTTGGAAGTGCAAGAAAGGCCTTCTGCAAGATGGCAAGCGTAGCACTCGTGTAGTTGACAGTGTGTTGGGGACAAAGACTGGAACATAGATTTCTTAATGCAAAATGCTAAAAGGAAATGTAGAGTGTGTGCCAGCTGGGAGGCGGGGAGTGAGCATTGTTTGTCTGGAGAGCAGAGGGTAAAGGGGGAAAGGCATTCTGGGAGAGAAGTTTGGGGAAGCAGAGTGGGAAACTGTGAGGGACACCCCAGACAGCTTGATGTTTATGCCACAGGCAAAAGAAAAGTACTGCAAGTTCTTAATCAGGGACTTGTGAGCTGGGAGCTCAGGACGGTCCCTGTGCGTGGGGCCTGGAGGACGAGGTGCCTGAATGCAGGAAGTGGTGTCCTGGACACAGACCCCGAGAGGCTCCTGCAGACTTGAGCTGGTTTCTCATGAGACACCAAAGGGCTTGGATTTTAGGGACAGAGCCCACAGGAATGAGGAATGTGTTAGAGGTGAGATGATTCCAAGGCGCCTAGACTTCTCCCAACAAAGGCAAGATCTATGATAGGAAGAAAAACAGGTTTTGGAGGTTGGACCTGAGTTTGATTTGGACCTGCTGATTCTAGGGCACTTCCAAGAAGTCTGTGAAAGAACAGAGCAAGTGTGACGGGCAGGGCTGTGAACCTCTGAGTGCTTCAGATGTAAAAGTGTGGAAGACGTCGGGCTGTGAGTGTCACGCAGCAGAAAGGTGGAGGAGGCCTCTCAGGTGAGGCGGGGCCACGAAGGGAATCCAGGAGGAAAGTGAGAGGGGCGTGGGGCGGGGGACGCTCCTGGGCACCCGAGGGACAGGAGGAGCCCGGCCCCGGAGCAGATGCTGAGAAATCAAGTGGAATGAGATGGGGAAAGACCGTCAGATGCAGCAAGCTGGGGTCATTTTTAAAAAGGACAGTTTCAGTGGATATGGGTGCAGAAATGAGATCGCAGACGTTAAGGTAAGAAAATGGAAGTATGAGTGGAACTTTTGAACAACTTGTCAGGAACAGCAGAGAGGACAGGCGATTTGAGAAAGGCTGTGAGTTTTCTTGGATGGGGGGATGAAGCAACGTGAACATTTATTTTTAGAAGGTGAAAATAAGACACCATGGGAAAGACACTCAAAGAGGCGGGCCTGGGATCATTTTTCCTGTCTACAGGAAACGCTATGCTGAGGCCAACAGTGTGCTTGGCCGTGAAATGTGCTTTACAGGTCGGAAGTAACATGGTGCGCAGAAGGCAGTTTGTATGCACAGTGGAGCACATGTGTTGATGCCTGAAAGCCCACATTGAGATCCTGGCTCAACCTCTCGCCAACGGTGTCATTTGGACAAATCTCTTAATCTATGCAACGTACAATGAGGACAGTAGTCACAGGACATAACTTATGGAGTTCTGTGAATATAAGGTAAGAATGTTACATGCAATACAAGTATAATACATGGTGAGCACTTACTTAATGTTAACACATACTATGTTTAACTTGTCCTTGCAAGACCTGTATTGTGACTCGAGATTTTAGCATTTGGTAGATGTCTCAGAAACAACTGGTCTGAAGAAAATATTTCAACTGTTTAAATTTTTCTTAAAAGAACAAGGTAAACTTACCAAAAAATTTATTTTTCTTTCTTACATAGAAATGAAACAGAAAAATATATACCCATTAAATTGTATTAATTGAGAGAAAATTGATAGACAGTGAAAGGCACAGGTCTCACTTGTAGGACTCAGTGAGTTTTGACAGATGTTGACTGTGGCCTCCACCCGTATCCTCTTGGGCATGTTGTATTGTCATTCTTTTTAACTTAGGCCATTCTAGTGAAATTGAAGTGTATCCCAATAAAGTTTTCACTTTCACCTCCTGGATGACTAATTCTTATTGGACATTTGTGTATCTTCTTTTGCAAAGTAACCTTTTGGCTTTTATGCCCATTTTTCTGGGGTTGTCTTTACGTTCTTGTTTTGTAGGAGTTCTTGACATATTCTGCATTCAAGCCCTTTGTCAGACAGACATTTCCCTTATTCTATGGCTTGCCTTTCCATTTTCTTAGTTGTGTCTTTTAATGAACAGAATTTAAAGATTTTGACGGCTGGAGTCTCTATTCTGTCACACGGATCTATTTTGTCTATTTGAGTAGTTCTTAATCTGGGGCGATTAGGCCCTCAAGGGACATCTGGTGATGTATGGAGATATTTTGAGTTTGCCACAATTTAGAGGAGGGTGCTACTCGTGTCTACTGGACAGGTGCCAGAGATGCCATGAAAAGATCCTACAGTGCACAGAGGGCCCCCAACAAGAGAGAATCGTCTGGCCCCAAATATCAAGAATGCTGAAGGTGCACGGAGATCCCCCCAATGAGAGACAATTGTCTGGCCCCAAATATCAAGAGTGCTGAGGCTGAGAGACCCTTTTCTATTCTTATATGAATATCACACTGTCCCGATTAGATTTAACGCAAGTCTTGAAATCAGATAGCGTGAGTCCTCCAACTGTGTTCTTTTTTATCAAGACTGTCTTGGCACTTCTAGGTTCTTCACATTTTCACACATTTTAGAATCTTCTTGTCAGTTTCTCTAAAAACTGAGGTTGCTTTGAATGACATTGATTCTACTGAGGTTGCACTGAATCCATACCTCAGTCTGGGGAGATTTCACATCTTCACATTACTGAGACTTCCAATGCATCACAGTCTAGCTCTCGATTTATTTAGATGGTCTATCTTAGAGCACCACAATTCTACAATGCTGTTGAGATGTTTAAAACTAACTGCATTTTCCAATTATTCATTATGGGTCTACAGAAATGCAATTGATTTCTACCTATTTCATTCATGTCCTAGCCTTGATGAATGGCATGATCTGTTCCAGGATTTGATTTGTAGTTTCCTTAGGTTTTCTATGTAAACAATCATGTGATATAAGAATAAACCTGGAACCTAAACATGGAAGGAGCTCCTTCCTTTTAAATTTCGTGCTTTTTCTCTTCTTGTTTGCCTTCTGTGTCTGGCGAGGACCTCCATTAGAATGTTAAGTAGAGGAGCTGAGAGTCGGCATCCTCGTGTTTTATCTCATCTTACGGAGGGAGTTAAATGTTGCACCCTTAATGTTGACATTTTTTCCCCAGGGTTAGAACTGTAGCCTTTTACTTACTTATTCCACTTACTTTAGTACACGTATTATTATGACTGGGTTGAAGCCTACCATTTTACTGTTGTTTTCCATATGTCCTATTCATATACTTGTTCCTCTGATTTCTTTTTGCTTTCTTTTGGGTTAATCAAATATTTTTAACATTGAGCTTTAGCTCGTATTGGCTGTAATGCATAGCGTTAATATTTGAGTGGTTGCTCTAGAGGTGCGCTGTCCATTATGGTAGATAATGGGATCTAATTAAACTTAAGAGCTTCTGCACAGCAAAAGAAACTATCGACAGAGTAAACAGAAAACGTACAAAATGGGAGAAAATATTTCCAAACTATGCATCCAACAAAGGTCTAATACCCAGCATCTATAAGGAACTTAAACAAATTTGCAAGCAAAAAACAATGTGGGCAAAGAACATGAACAGACACTTTTCAAACGAAGACATACATGTGGCCAACAAGCACATGAAAAAATGCTCAACATCATGGATCATTAAAGAAATGCAAATCAAAACCCCAATAAGATAGTATCTCACACCCATCAGAATGGCTATTACTAAAAAGTGGACAAACAACAGATGCTGTGAGGCTGTGAAGAAAAGGGAATGCTCATACACTGCTGGTGGGAGCATAAATTAGTTCAACCATTGGGGAAAGCAGAGTGGCAAATCCTCAAAGAACTAAAAACAGAACTACCATCTGACCCAGCAATCCCATTATTGTGTATACACACAAAGGAAGAGAACTCATTCTACCATTAAAACACATGCACATTCATTGCAGCACTATTCACTATAGCAAAAACATGGAATCAACCTAAATGCCCATCAATGGTAGACAGATAAAGAAAATGTGGTGCATGTACACCGTGGAATACTATGCAGCCATAAAAAAGAATGAGATCATGTCCTTTGCAGCAACATGGATGGAGCTGGAGGCCATTATCCTTAGCAAACTAACACAGGGACAGAAAACCAAATACTGCATGTTCTCCCTTATAAGTGGGAGCTAAGTGATGAGAACACATGGACACAGAGAGGAAAACTACACATACTGGGGCCTCCTGGAGGTTAGAAGGAGGGAGAGGATCAGAAAAAAATACCTATTAGGTGCAATGCTTATTACCTGGATGACGAAATAATCTGTACACCAAACCCCACATGACGTGAGTTTACCTAAATCACAAATCTGTGCATGTACCCCTGAAACTAAATGAAAGATAAAAAAGTAGCCACATGTGGATACATGTATTTAAGTTAAAAATAGATTCCTTAGCTTCTGTTTGAAAAGTCTTTATTTTGCTCTCATTTTTTAAAAGATATTTTTGCTGGGTATAGTATTCTGAATCAATAGATGTTTTTGATCACTTTAAAGGTATGATTCCATTGTCTTCTGGCTCCCATTGCTTCTGACAATAAGGCAGTCATAATTTTCTAATTATTCCTCTGGTTTCTGTTTGACCCCTTCCTTGGTTGCTTTACAGACTTGTCTCTCTCTGGTTTTCCACAGTTTAACTATTTTGTGGCTAGGTATGATTTTTTTCTATTTATCTTCTTAGAGTTCACTGAGCATTTTGGGTCTGTGGATTCTTTCAAACCAAATTTGTAAAATATTTGGCCATTTTTTCTTCAAAACCTTCTGCCAAATTCTCTCAGTTTTCTCCCTGGTTCTCTAATTATATGTGTGTCCCTTCACTTCTTCTTACTACACATATTACTGAGGCTCTATTCTTTTTTTTAATATCTTACCTCTACTTTTTCATATTTGAGAATATCTACTGTTTCATTTTCAAATTACTAAGCTTTTTTCCTGCTCTCTCAATTCGCTCTTAAACACATCCCATAAATTTTTCATTTCAGATATTGTGGTTTTCTGTTCTTGAAAATTCAATTTGTCTCTTTCTCATGGATTTCATTTCTCCATCTAGTCAGGCATTAAGACCTTCTTCTCCTTTAACATCTTTAACCTTGTAACAGACATTTTTATATCATTCATAAGACCTTACAACGGCTGCTTTAAAGATCTTTGTGGTGAGTTCTAACATTTTTATATCATTCATAAGACCTTACAATGGCTGTTTAAAGATCTTTCTGGTGAGTTCTAACATTTTTATATCATTCATAAGACCTTACAATGGCTGCTTTAAAGATCTTTCTGGTGAATTCTAATATTTTTATGTCATTCATAAGACCTTACAATGGCTGCTTTAAAGATCTTTCCGGTGAGTTCTAACATTTTTATATCATTCATAAGACCTTACAATGGCTGTTTAAAGATCTTTCCGGTGAGTTCTAACATTTTTATATCATTCATAAGACTACAATGGCTGTTTAAAGATCTTTCCGGTGAATTCTAACATTTTTGTATCATTCATAAGACCTTACAATGGCTGCTTTAAAGATCTTTCCGGTGAGTTCTAACATTTTTATATCATTCATAAGACCTTACAATGGCTGTTTAAAGATCTTTCTGGTGAGTTCTACCATCGGGGTCTTCTCAGGCTTCGTTTTGAGCACATCAGTTTTTTCCTTGCAGGTGGGTTTCATGTTGCTACAACTTCAGCCTCTTTTCGGCATAAAGGACACGACTGGCAGAGACCCCGGCACCTGCTCCCTCCTCCAATGTGTGCTAATTTTGGTTGTGGCCGATCCTCCTTAGCTTTGGGTGTTTGGCTCGTGCGTTGCTGGGGTGGGCCTGGGGAGGCTGCAGATGGTTTACCTGGCCTGTGCACTTGGTGGGGTTCAGCCTCCAGACTGATCTTCACCATCGGTGGTCAGCAGCTGGAAACTAAACTTTTTCAGGGGTCCGCAAATGTTAATAGACTTTGGGGTCTCCCTCCATGGCTCCATCCCTTCTGTTCTGACCCCCACCTCTTCTGGCAACCCCAAATTCCATCCTGTAACAGACACATCCAAGGAGACTGCAGCTGTCTGCTTCAGTTCCTACCGCCCTCCTGCAGCAGGTAGCGAGGGTGCTCAGAGGGAACTCACAGGACCATGGGCAGCCGCGAGTGAGCGCGGCGCCTTTCCTTTAAAATGTGAATAGTCTCTACTTCCTGCCCAACTCTGCTTTCAAACAGGAGGGCATGCGTGTGTGTGTGTGCGTGTGCACGTGTGTGCACGTGCAATGCATGTGTGTGTGGGCTCCACAGTTCATGGCTGTCATCTGTATGAGTGTTTCTTCAATATAAGTTATTATCCCAGAGCCAGAACTCCCCATTATTACATTTTAAAAAATCGTGTCGCCAGGGTGAGCAACTGTCCTTGGCTTGGCCAACCTGCATATCAGTTCTGCTGCTGTAGTTGTTGGTTTGGGGAGCCCAGCACTGCAGAGGCAGAGGCTGTGCCACAGGGGGCTCCGCCTGGGAGGTCTCCTTTCCCAGAGTCCCCGGAGCTCGTGTGGGCACAAGGTCGTCCGGTAAGTCATGTTTTCTGCACACCTGGAGGTGATGCTGGCAACACAAAGCGGGGTCCAAGCCGTCAATGGCAGCTGCGGCAGAGGCCACCTCCAGTCCGCCGGGTGTCTGTGGTCATATTCCAACCTCGGCACCCCTTGTCCTGCCTGTGGTACCAGCAGCACTGACTGTGAGGTCTCTGCCAATGTGGCTGGTAATTCCGTGTTCACTGAGTCAGTTCTGAGGTGAGATTCACCCTCTGGCTGCAGAGGCCCCACGGCTGTTCTCTTGCCTGACTGCAAATGCTCAGGAGACCCCAGGTCTGTGCCATCCGTTTTTTTTCTGCCTGTGAAGAGTTGATTTCTCCATCTGCTGAAGGTGCTGGTGGGGTTTGTGAAGGATCCCATGAGAAGTATGTGATGATCCACCATGTCCCCTGGGCTACGAGGGCTCAGTCACCGCTGAAGCCAGGGCATACACTTGCAGTGAACCAGCCTCCCCCACCTGGCTCTTCCAAAGGCCTCCTGAGGCCCATTTTCGCTGAAAACCCCGCCGAGTCTGAGACCTGTCAGGTCACGCATTGCAAAGCCTGGCCTTACTGTTCATATTTGTACCGGGAATAGTTGATAGAGCTAGAATGGAAGGTAGCAATTTAGTCCTTTGGCATTCAACATTTTTGAGGCTTATTTTTAAAAAATTCAATTTGCTAATCTTTCTCTATGATTTTTCCAAAAAGAATACAGAGGAGGCCAGTGTGAGTGAACTGAACATGCAGGGTGGACATGAATTCAGAATGGAGACCTACATCTGTCCGAAGCAGTACAGAACAGGTTCTCGAAAAAGGGCTTTACTGCTGCTGTTAAACTACTCTCCCAAAATATGTTAATTTAGAAAATGAGTTACTCATCTATCAAATACTTTCTGGGCATCATTTATGAAGGCATCGCCCTTGTCCTCATGGAGCTGGGTGCGCAGTGCATAAATTTCAGTTGAAGTCAATTTTCTTTTCTTTTCTTTTTTTTTTTTTATTATACTTTAAGTTTTAGGGTACATGTGCACATTGTGCAGGTTAGTTACATATGTATACATGTGCCATGCTGGTGCGCTGCACCCACTAACTCGTCATCTAGCCTTAGGTATATCTCCCAATTCTATCCCTCCCCGCTCCCCCCACCCCACCACAGTCCCCAGAGTGTGATGTTCCCCTTCCTGTGTCCACGTGTTCTAATTGTTCAGTTCCCACCTATGAGTGAGAATATGCGGTGTTTGGTTTTTTGTTCTTGCAATAGTTTACTGAGAATGATGATTTCCAATTTCATCCATGTCCCTACAAAGGACATGAACTCATCATTTTTTATGGCTGCATAGTATTCCATGGTGTATATGTGCCACATTTTCTTAATCCAGTCTATCATTGTTGGACATTTGGCTTGGTTCCAAGTCTTTGCTATTGTGAATAATGCCGCAATAAACATACGTGTGCATGTGTCTTTATAGCAGCATGATTTATAGTCCTTTGGGTATATACCCAGTAATGGGATGGCTGGGTCAAATGGTATTTCTAGTTCTAGATCCCTGAGGAATCGCCACACTGACTTCCACAATGGTTGAACTAGTTTACAGTCCCACCAATAGTGTAAAAGTGTTCCTATTTCTCCACATCCTCTCCAGCACCTGTTGTTTCCTGACTTTTTAATGATTGCCATTCTAACTGGTGTGAGATGATATCTCATAGTGGTTTTGATTTGCATTTCTCTGATGGCCAGTGATGATGAGCATTTTTTCATGTGTTTTTTGGCTGCATAAATGTCTTCTTTTGAGAAGTGTCTGTTCATGTCCTTCTCCCACTTTTTGATGGGGTTGTTTGTTTTTTTCTTGTAAATTTGTTTGAGTTCATTGTAGATTCTGGATATTAGCCCTTTGTCAGATGAGTAGGTTGCGAAAATTTTCTCCCATGTTGTAGGTTGCCTGTTCACTCTGATGGTAGTTTCTTTTGCTGTTCAGAAGCTCTTTAGTTTAATTAGATCCCATTTGTCAATTTTGGCTTTGGTTGCCATTGCTTTTGGTGTTCTGGACATGAAGTCCTTGCCCATGCCTATGTCCTGAATGGTAATGCCTAGGTTTTCTTCTAGGGTTTTTATGGTTTTAGGTCTAACGTTTAAATCTTTAATCCATCTTGAATTGATTTTTGTATAAGGTGTAAGGAAGGGATCCAGTTTCAGCTTTCTCCATATGGCTAGCCAGTTTTCCCAGCACCATTTATTAAATAGGGAATCCTTTCCCCATTGCTTGTTTTTCTCAGGTTTGTCAAAGATCAGATAGTTGTAGGTATGCGGTGTTATTTCTGAGGGCTCTGTTCTGTTCCATTGATCTATATCTCTGTTTTGGTACCAGTACCATGCTGTTTTGGTTACTGTAGCCTTGTAGTATAGTTTGAAGTCAGGTAGTGTGATGCCTCCAGCTTTGTTCTTTTGGCTTAGGATTGACTTGGTGATGCGGGCTCTTTTTTGGTTCCATATGAACTTTAAAGTAGTTTTTTCCAATTCTGTGAAGAAAGTCATTGGTAGCTTGATGGGGATGGCATTGAATCTGTAAATTACCTTGGGCAGTATGGCCATTTTCACGATATTGATTCTTCCTACCCATGAGCATGGAATGTTCTTCCATTTGTTTGTATCCTCTTTTATTTCCTTGAGCAGTGGTTTGTAGTTCTCCTTGAAGAGGTCCTTCACATCCCTTGTAAGTTGGATTCCTAGGTATTTTATTCTCTTTGAAGCAATTGTGAATGGGAGTTCACTCATGATTTGGCTCTCTGTTTGTCTGTTGCTGGTGTATAAGAATGCTTGTGATTTTTGTACATTGATTTTGTATCCTGAGACTTTGCTGAAGTTGCTTATCAGCTTAAGGAGATTTTGGGCTGAGACGATGGGGTTTTCTAGATAAACAATCATGTCATCTGCAAACAGGGACAATTTGACTTCCTCTTTTCCTAATTGAATACCCTTTATTTCCTTCTCCTGCCTGATTGTCCTGGCCAGAACTTCCAACACTATGTTGAATAGGAGCGGTGAGAGAGGGCATCCCTGTCTTGTGCCAGTTTTCAAAGGGAATGCTTCCAGTTTTTGCCCATTCAGTATGATATTGGCTGTGGGTTTGTCATAGATAGCTCTTATTATTTTGAAATACGTCCCATCAATACCTAATTTATTGAGAGTTTTTAGCATGAAGGGTTGTTGAATTTTGTCAAAGGCTTTTTCTGCATCTATTGAGATAATCATGTGGTTTTTGTCTTTGGCTCTGTTTATATGCTGGATTACATTTATTGATTTGCGTATATTGAACCAGCCTTGCATCCCAGGGAAGAAGCCCACTTGATCATGGTGGATAAGCTTTTTGATGTGCTGCTGGATTCGGTTTGCCAGTATTTTATTGAGGATTTTTGCATCGATGTTCATCAAGGATATTGGTCTAAAATTCTCTTTTTTGGTTGTGTCTCTGCCCGGCTTTGGTATCAGAATGATGCTGGCCTCATAAAATGAGTTAGGGAGGATTTCCTCTTTTTCTATTGATTGGAATAGTTTCAGAAGGAATGGTACCAGTTCCTCCTTGTACCTCTGGTAGAATTCGGCTGTGAATCCATCTTGTCCTGGACTCTTTTTGGTTGGTAAACTATTGATTATTGCCACAATTTCAGCTCCTGTTATTGGTCTATTCAGAGATTCAACTTCTTCCTGGTTTAGTCTTGGGACAGTGTATGTGTCGAGCAATTTATTAATTTCTTCTAGATTTTCTAGTTTATTTGCGTAGAGGTGTTTGTAGTATTCTCTGATGGTAGTTTGTATTTCTGTGGGATCGGTGGTGATATCCCCTTTATCATTTTTTATTGTGTCTATTTGATTCTTCTCTCTTTTTTTCTTTATTAGTCTTGCTAGCGGTCTATCAATTTTGTTGATCCTTTCAAAAAACCAGCTCCTGGATTCATTGATTTTTTGAAGGGTTTTTTGTGTCTCTATTTCCTTCAGTTCTGCTCTGATTTTAGTTATTTCTTGCCTTCTGCTAGCTTTTGAATGTGTTTGCTCTTGCTTTTCTAGTTCTTTTAATTGTGATGTTAGGGTGTCAATTTTGGATCTTTCCTGCTTTCTCTTGTGGGCATTCAGTGCTATAAATTTCCCTCTACACACTGCTTTGAATGCGTCCCAGAGATTCTGGTTTGTTGTGTCTTTGTTCTCGTTGGTTTCAAAGAACATCTTTATTTCTGCCTTCATTTCGTTATGTACCCAGTAGTCATTCAGGAGCAGGTTGTTTAGTTTCCATGTAGTTGAGCAGTTTTGAGTGAGATTCTTAATCCTGAGTTCTAGTTTCATTGCACTGTGGTCTGAGAGATAGTTTGTTATAATTTCTGTTCTTTCACATTTGCTGAGGAGAGCTTTACTTCCAACTATGTGGTCAATTTTGGAATAGGTGTGGTGTGGTGCTGAAAAAAATGTATATTCTGTTGATTTGGGGTGGAGAGTTCTGTAGATGTCTATTAGGTCCGCTTGGTACAGAGCTGAGTTCAATTCCTGGGTATCCTTGTTAACTTTCTGTCTCGTTGATCTGTCTAATGTTGACAGTGGGGTGTTAAAGTCTCCCATTATTAATGTGTGGGAGTCTAAGTCTCTTTGTAGGTCACTCAGGACTTGCTTTATGAATCTGGGTGCTCCCGTATTGGGTGCATATATATTTAGGATAGTTAGCTCCTCTTGTTGAATTGATCCCTTTACCATTATGTAATGGCCTTCTTTGTCTCTTTTGATCTTTGTTGGTTTAAAGTCTGTTTTATCAGAGACTAGGATTGCAACCCCTGCCTTTTTTTGTTTTCCATTTGCTTGGTAGATCTTCCTCCATCCTTTTATTTTGAGCCTATGTGTGTCTCTGCACGTGAGATGGGTTTCCTGAATACAGCACACTGATGGGTCTTGACTCTTTATCCAACTTGCCAGTCTGTGTCTTTTAATTGGAGCATTTAGTCCATTTACATTTAAAGTTAATATTATGTGTGAATTTGATCCTGTCATTATGTTGTTAGCTGGTGATTTTGCTCGTTAGTTGATGCAGTTTCTTCCTAGTCTCGATGGTCTTTACATTTTGGCATGATTTTGCAGCAGCTGGTACCGGTCGTTCCTTTCCATGTTTAGCGCTTCCTTCAGGAGCTCTTTTAGGGCAGGCCTGGTGGTGACAAAATCTCTCAGCATTTGCTTGTCTGTAAAGTATTTTATTTCTCCTTCACTTATGAAGCTTAGTTTGGCTGGATATGAAATTCTGGGTTGAAAATTCTTTTCTTCAAGAATGTTGAATATTGGCCCCCACTCTCTTCTGGCTTGTAGGGTTTCTGCCGAGAGATCCGCTGTTAGTCTGATGGGCTTCCCTTTGAGGGTAACCCGACCTTTCTCTCTGGCTGCCCTTAACATTTTTTCCTTCATTTCCATTTTGGTGAATCTGACAATTATGTGTCTTGGAGTTGCTCTTCTCGAGGAGTATCTTTGTGGCGTTCTCTGTATTTCCTGAATCTGAATGTTGGCCTGCCTTGCTAGATTGGGGAAGTTCTCCTGGATAATATCCTGTAGAGTGTTTTCCAACTTGGTTCCATTCGCCCCATCACTTTCAGGTACACCAATCAGACGTAGATTTGGTCTTTTCACATAGTCCCATATTTCTTGGAGGCTTTGCTCATTTCTTTTTATTCTTTTTTCTCTAACCTTCCCTTCTCGCTTCATTTCATTCATTTCATCTTCCACTGCTGATACCCTTTCTTCCAGTTGATCGCATCGGCTCCTGAGGCTTCTGCATTCTTCACGTAGTTCTCGAGCCTTGGTTTTCAGCTCCATCAGCTCCTTTAAGCACTTCTCTGTATTGGTTATTCTAGTTATACATTCTTCTAAATTTTTTTCAAAGTTTTCCACTTCTTTGCCTTTGGTTTGAATGTCCTCCCGTAGCTCAGAGTAATTTGATCGTCTGAAGCCTTCTTCTCTCAGCTCGTCAAAGTCATTCTCCATCCAGCTTTGTTCCGTTGCTGGTGAGGAACTGCGTTCCTTTGGAGGAGGAGAGGCGCTCTGCGTTTTAGAGTTTCCAGTTTTTCTGTTCTGTTTTTTCCCCATCTTTGTGGTTTTATCTACTTTTGGTCTTTGATGATGGTGATGTACAGATGGGTTTTCGGTGTGGATGTCCTTTCTGTTTGTTAGTTTTCCTTCTAACAGACAGCACCCTCAGCTGCAGGTCTGTTGGAATACCCTGCCGTGTGAGGTGTCAGTGTGCCCCTGCTGGGGGGTGCCTCCCAGTTAGGCTGCTCGGGGGTCAGGGGTCAGGGACCCACTTGAGGAGGCAGTCCGCCCGTTCTCAGATCTCCAGCTGCGTGCTGGGAGAACCACTGCTCTCTTCAAAGCTGTCAGACAGGGACATTTAAGTCTGCAGAGGTTACTGCTGTCTTTTTGTTTGTCTGTGCCCTGCCCCCAGAGGTGGAGCCTACAGAGGCAGGCAGGCCTCCTTGAGCTGTGGTGGGCTCCACCCAGTTCGAGCTTCCCGGCTGCTTTGTTTACCTAAGCAAGCCTGGGCAATGGCGGGCGCCCCTCCCCCAGCCTCGCTGCCGCCTTGCAGTTTGATCTCAGACTGCTGTGCTAGCAATCAGCGAGATTCCGTGGGCGTAGGACCCTCCGAGCCAGGTGTGGGATATAGTCTCGTGGTGCGCCGTTTTTTAAGCCGGTCTGAAAAGCGCAATATTCGGGTGGGAGTGACCCGATTTTCCAGGTGCGTCCGTCACCCCTTTCTTTGACTCAGAAAGGGAACTCCCTGACCCCTTGCGCTTCCCAGGTGAGGCAATGCCTCGCCCTGCTTCGGCTCGCGCCCGGTGCGCGCACCCACTGGCCTGCGCCCACTGTCTGGCACTCCCTAGTGAGATGAACCCGGTACCTCAGATGGAAATGCAGAAATCACCCGTCTTCTGCGTCGCTCACGCTCTGAAGTCAATTTTCTAAAGGATATATTTACACAGGCCCGATGTCTTTCTAAAAATCTTATTTTCCTCAAATTGCTTTATATTTCAACTGTGAAATGTATTTCTAAGAAAAGATAGCAATATTGTGCTAAGGAGTATAAATTAGATTTCCTTTGAGAAAGGACAGTGACTTAAACGTCAGAACAGATGTGATGAGCATTATGGAAATCCTCCAATCATTTGTCCTCCAGGATATGGGTGTCAGTATATCCATACTGATGAACATACACATTTTAAGATAGATGAAAAATCTGCTCTTGCTATAAAACTGTGTCTCTGTAAATCTTTAGAGATTAAAGAATATAAGTCAGATTTTAAAGAATGATGGATAATTTTTATATAAACATATGTATATGAAAACAATACAATAATATAATGTTACATATGCAACTAATTTATGTTATTTAATATTATATGTAGTACAGCCACTTTGAAAAACAGTCTGGGAGTTCCTCAAAAGGTCAAACATTGAGTTATCAAGGACCCAGCATCTCCACTCCTTGGTATATGCCCAGGAGAAATGAAAATGTGTGTCCACATAAAACTCATACAGGAGGCCGGGTGCTGTGGCTCACGCCTGTAATCCCAGCACTTTGGGAGGCTGCGGTAGGTGGATCTCTCGAGCTTAGGAGTTTGAGACTAGCCTGGGCAACATGATGAAATCTCGTCTCTACCAAAAATACAAAAACTTAGCTGGGTGTGGTGGTGTACATCTGTGGACCCAGCTACTTGGGGTCACTGAGGAGGGAGGATTCCTTGAGCTCAGGGGGCGGAGGTTGTAGTGAGCCGAGATTGTGCCACTGCACTCCAGCCTGGGCAACAGAGTGAGACCTCATCTCAGAAAACAAACAGAATAATGGTCATAGCAGAATTATTCATAATAGCCTCCAAAAGGAAACAACCTAAGTATACATCCATGATGGATGGGTAAATAAACTGTGGTCTATCCATACAATGGAATATGCTTCCATCATAAAAAGAATTGCAGTTCTGACACATGCTGCAATGTGGATCAATGTTGAAAACGTTATGCTAGAAGCCAGACACAAAGATACAGTATTGTGGGGTTCCATGGCCACGACAGGGAGAATGCAGGTTCGTGGTTGCCAGGGGTTGGAGGAGTTAGGGGAAGTGGGGAGTGACGGTACAGGGTTTCTTTTTGGTGTAAAGTTTATGTTCTAAAATGGATTGCACTGATGTTCGCGCAAGTCCATAAATAAACTAAGAACCACTGAATTGTACTTCAAGTGGATGAATTGTATGGTTCTTAAATCATAACTCAATAAAGGAGGAAAATAAGATACGAAGAGCACTCTATTTAGCTTTATGTCATCTGAAAGTTGAAATGAACCGTACGTTCAGAATGTAGACTTGAAGCAAATTTTCAAAAAAAACCCACTGGTACCTTCAGTTCGTCTTTTCTCTTGGGCCTCAAGGAAGGACAGTGAGGGAGCTCTGGGGCAGCAGAGTTAACGATAATTCATTTTCCACAAATACTTTCATTCTTCGCCTCTGATTTGGTGCTGGTTATGATTCTCTGCGGAAGGTATTATAATTAACCTTGCTTTAACAAGAAGAGAAAGTCTTCACTCAGAGGTGACACGTTCTACAGCACGAGCTCGAGCTGAGATTTGAGCCTGAAGACCTTCTGATTCCAAATTTGGCATGTGTTGCTTTTGTGGCATATTTTAAACATTTGCCATGGATTATTACAACTATATGATAAACTAATAATTCAGACAAACACGGAAATGAGTCAACAGTTTACTTCCAGAGTGGGGAGCTGCTGGCTTCGGTTCTCACCCCATCATGGACGCTGTGGGCTCGGACAGTTAGCAAACGCTGCATTCTCTGTTTTCTTCCTTATAACAGGGAAGGTAACATCAGCGGGATCACAGATTTGCTGGAGGGGACAACCATGGAAAGGGGCAGGGTATAAAAGTCTTTGATTGCTAATTGAAAAGATTTCATCCTAAAGAGGCACTTAGGCCCACAAGAATGTAGCACGTTTCTAAAGCTCATGCACAAAGGACAGGCCGCACTCACTAGAGCCCTGGATTCACGCATTCACCAGAGACTCTTGTGATCATCTGCTTCCTTCAAGTCACGAACAGAAGACGTCAGGGGAATATGGAGACCACTTTGCTTCTCAAGCATCTCAGAGGCACGCACTCTGAGAGCCCTGCTGTATCACTTGTGTGGCGACGGAAGTGCGAATCAAGTAGGTAACCATCTTCGGCTCAAATTGGTCCACTCCCCTGAGTAGTAGGGAGCTGTGTCCAGAACACAGGAGTGGAGGTCAGGAGGTCCGGATCTGGGGCTTGCATTCGGTTCTGTGCATCCTCACCGTATGAACCTGGGTAAGTCACGGATGTTGCTCACCCACTGTTTCCTCTTTCGGCAGTGGAAGCAATGATGGTGCCTGGCCTGCATCCTCAGGGGCCGATGAGGTCAGGTGAGCCGATGGCACCGAGGTTGGCTGCAGGGTGGTGTGCCCCGCCTGGCTTCTGGTGCTGTTGCTTCTAACAACAAAGCGACTGCACTATCTTTATCCTGTTACACCACAAGTACTCCACACACGACACAAGACATCAGACCTTTTCTGCAGCAGCTCCTGGTAGATGCTAAGCTCAGCGATTCTAACGGCTGGCCTATCACAGAGAAGCTATGATTCTGCCTGTGGTATCTTCATTATTATTTACATCTAAGCCATTTATGTTTGAGTTTTTTTTTTAACAAGTACATTGCTTTTTTCTTTATAAATATTTTTGACTGTTGTCACTTTACATTTAAAGGCTGGTGTCGGAGCAACAAGAAGACATTCATTGGATGGTTTTGCAAATCCCAATCTGGATCACAGTCTCCTGCGTGCTTGCATGTAATGTAGATTCCTGGATCACGGTCTTCCGCATGCTAGTATGTAATATAGATTCCAGGATCACGGTCTCCTGTGTGCTTGCATGTAATATAGATTCCTGTATCACGATCTCCTGAGTGCTTGCATGTAATGTTGATTCCTGGATCGCATCCCCGGAGATGGAATTTAGAAGGGTGAGGTCAGCCCCAAATCCAAATTTTAAATAAACATTCTAGGTGATTCCATTCCTGGTGGTCTATGGGCCAGACCACACTTTGAGAAACATGGATCTATTTGGATGGAGGGATAGGATGCCCCACTGAGGTACTGTTTAGAGAATCTGAATTTTGTCCATTTCATTTGCAAATCATAATGAACACCCTAGTGAAACATCTCTCCCTGGTGTTAGGAGATAAAATTCGTATTTACATTTTCAGCAAACTCCAGTGCATTTATAGCAAGGTCCCTTCTCCCGCAGTTACCTAGCAATGTTTCCAGGAAAATGATTTCTGAATCCATGTCGATAACGGCCATATGTGAACAGTGTCTGCAGTGTCCACAAAATGAAGAAGGGTCATTCATCTTTGTGCCTGTTCACTTAAGTGTCTTTAAGAATGTGTTCTGTCCCAGCTGTGTCTTGGGCATCAGAATGGAAATGTGTGGCCGCAGCTGGCTTGACTTGAGGAGAGGTGCCGACGCGGTGGCTGGGGTATGTGGGGAGGTGGGGGTTGGAGCTGCAGGACTCAGAAAACTCCTCATACGGAGGCAACTTGAGTTTAGTAATTTGCATGGAATCTCACCAAATATTAAGTGGTCAAATATTGAACGGTGGTCTCCTGCCAGCAGGACGCATGGGGAGGATGATGTGGTCAGGTTTAGAAGCCTGCAGATCCCTCCTCAGCCCCAGTCCCTTAGATAAATAATCCCTGAGACAGAAATACTGACTGTTCCAACTACTATGAGCTGGATGCTGAGCCCATCACAGTGTGGAGGAGATGTCATGGCCTTGCTGGCACAACCCAAAAGAATGAAGACCCAGCCTCCACTCTAACCAGCCTCTACAGAACTGAGACCCAGCCTCCACTCTAACCAGCCTCTGCAGAACTGAGACCCACCTTCCACCCTAACCAAGCTCTGCAGAACTGAGACCCAGACTCCACTCTAACCAGCCTCTATGGAACTGAGACCCATCCTCCACTCTAACCAGCCTCTACAGAACTGAGACCCAGCCTCCACTCTAACCAGCCTCTGTAGAACTGAGACCCAGCCTCCACTCTAACCAGCCTCTACAGAACTGAGACCCAGCCTCCATTCTAACCAGCCTCTATGGAACTGAGACCCAGCCTCCACTCTAACCAGCCTCTGTAGAACTGAGACCCATCCTCCACTCTAACCAGCCTCTACAGAACTGAGACCCAGCCTCCACTCTAACCAGCCTCTGTAGAACTGAGACCCAGCCTCCACTCTAACCAGCTCTGCAGAACTGAGACCCAGCCTCCACTCTAACCAGCCTCTGTAGAACTGAGACCCAGCCTCCACTCTAACCAGCCTGTGGAGAACTGAGACCCAGCCTCCACTCTAACCAGCCTCTGCAGAACTGAGACCCAGCTTCCACCCTAACCAAGCTCTGCAGAACTCAGACCCAGCCTCCGCTCTAACCAGCCTCTGCAGAACTGAGACCCAGCCTCCACTCTATCCAGCCTCTGCAGAACTGAGAGCCAGCCTTCCACCCTTACAGACCCCCTCATTCTGTTGAATTTTCCCTCGCGGCACTCGACACCTTTAGGGTGCTACACACTTCACTTTTTATTACTGATCACCTGTCATGTTTACTGCTTATTATCTGTCCTCCTCTGTGACAGCATGGGAAGCATGAGAGCTGTCACTGCCTGCCATGCCCACGACATTGGGGAGCATCTGGAGCAGTGCCTGACACATGGAGGAGCTCAAGAGACACTTGTGGGATGAATAAATGAATGAATGAATAAACTGCTGTCACTCCTGGGAAGGAGGGGCTTCCTTGCTGCCTTGGTGGTCTCTGAGCTGGTAGAGGGTCAGCCTGGAGTAGCTGGTGCCATCTCATCATTGCCTGGGACGGTCTGAATGAAGCCAGTGCAGGTGGGCAGGCCTGAGGCCTGATGCTGGGGTGGCCTGGCCCGGCCTCCGTGGATTCGGGCCTCCAGCCCTGGCTAGCTCTGGGCAACATGGCTGCATGAATCAGTATATTCCCTGTGTGGAATAGGCCTTTCACTGTTAAAGCTGGAGATTCTTAATAATGCCCAACTTTGAAGCAGCCAGGCTGTAAAGCATGTCTGCATTTTTAAAGAAAGACCCCATTTCAGTGACATCGATTCATCAGAGCACACCATTAATTAGAAACAGCAACACTGTCTTACACTTTCTACTAGAATGTCATTAATTAGAAATAACAACATTATCTTACACTGTTTACTAGAAACACTTTTACTCCTCTTGTCATATTGGGCCATTCAACAAACATTAATATCGAATATGTGTTGTGAATGATGCTGGGCATTAAGAACATATACATTCACTCACTCTCTCATTCACATATTTGACAAGTGTGGGCTGAGTGCTTCAATGCAGCTTGCATGGCCCAAGTCTGGGATGCAGCAGGCAGCAGGACTGACAGCTCGTGAGGGATAGAGGCCCCCACAAGCAAGAAGGTAGCACGGGCTGATCACACACACACACACACACACACACACACACACACCCTGTTAAATTAAGGTTTTAGGATCAAAAGTGACTACATAGCTACCTCAGATTGCCTGGTGAAAAAAATGTCTCACTGAACAGGTGCTATTTAAGCTGATATCTCAATGACTAATTATGCAAGGATTGAGAGGAACCATTTAGGGAGAGGAAACAGCAACTCCAAAGACCCTAAGCTACGAGAGAGCTCTGAGCATTTGAGGAAATTAAAGACCAGAGTGGTGAACGAGCAGACCAGGCTTGGTCTCATAATGGAGACGTTTGTGGGCCGAGGCGGAGAGGCTCCATTTTACTTTCAATGTGACAAACATCTGTCACGGAGTTTTCAGGGACTCGGTCTGATCTGTCTGTAAAAAGCCTGTAAAACTGCTCTCTGGGCAGGGCATCTCTGAAAGAAAGGCAGCAGCCCCAGTCAGGGCTTATAGATAAAACTCCCATCTCTCTGGGACAGAGCACCCGGGGGAAGGGGCGGCTGTGGGTGCAGCTTCAGCAGACGTAAACGTTTCTGCCTCTCGGCTCTGAAGAGAGCAGCAGCTCTCCCAGCACAGCGCTCGAGCTCTGCTAAGGCACAGAGTGCCTCCTCAAGTGGGCCCCTGACCCTCTTGTCTCCTGATGGGGAGACATCTCCCAGCAGGGATCAACAGACACATCACACAGGAGAGCTCCGGCTGGCATCTGGCAGGAGTCCCTCTGGGACGAAGCTTCCAGAGGAAGGAACAGGCAGCAATCTTTGCTGTTCGGCAACCTCCACTGGTGATACCCAGGCAAACAGGGTCTGGAGTGGACCTCTAGCAAACTCCAGCAGACCTGAGAAGAGGGGCCTGATGGTTAGAAAGAAAACTATCAAACAGAAAGTAATAGCATCAACATCAATAAAAAGGACGTCTACACCAAAACCCTATCCGAAAGTCACCAGCATCAAAGAACAAAGATAGATAAATCCATGAAGATGAGGAAAAACCAGCACAACAAGGTTGAAAATTCCAAAAACCAGAAAGCCTCTTCTCCTCCAAACGATCACAACTCCTCACCAGCAAGGGAACAGAACCGGACAGAGAATGAGTTTGGCAAATTATAGAAGTAGGTTTCAGAAAGTGGGTAATAAACTCCTCCAAGCTAAAGGAGTATGTTCTAACCCAACACAAGGAAGCTAAGAACCTTGAAAAAAGGTTACAGGAATTGCTAACTAGAATAACCAGTTTAGAGAAGAACATAAATTACCTGATGGAGCTGAAAAACGCAGCATGAGAACTTCGTGAAGCATACACAAGTATCAATAGCTGAATCAATCAAATGAAGAAAGGATATCAGAAATTGAAGCATCACCTTATTAAAATAAAGTGTGAAGACAAGATTGGAGAAAAAAGAACAAAAAGGAACAAACAAAGCCTCCAAGAAATATGGGACAATGTGAAAAGACCAATCCTACATTAGATTAATGTACCTGAAAGTGACGGGGAGAATGGAACCAAGCTGGAAAACACTCTTCAGGATATAATCCAGGAGAACTTCTCCAACCTAGCAAGAAAGGCCAACAATCAAATTCAGGAAATACAGAGAACACCACAAAGTTACTCCTTGAGAAGAGCAACCCCAAGACACATAATCGTCGGATTCACCAAGGTTGAAATGAAGGAAAAAATGATAAGGGCAGCCAGAGAGAAAGGTCAGGTTACCCACAAAGGGAAGCCCATTAGACTAACAGTGGATATCTCTGCAGACACGCTAAAAGCTAGAAGAGGGTGGGTGCCAATATTCAACATTCTTAAAAAAAAGAATTTTCAACCCAGATTTTCATATCCAGCCAAACTAAGCTTCATAAGTGAAGGAGAAATAAAATCCTTTACACACAAGCAAATGCTGGGAGATATTATCACCACCAGGCCTGCCTTACAAGAGCTCCTGAAGGAACCACTAAACATGGAAAGCAAAAACCGGTACCAGCCACTGCAAAAACATACCAAATTGTAAAGACCATCGACACTATGAAGAAATTGCATCAATTAATGGGCAAAATAACCGGCTAGCATCATAATGACAGGATCAAATTCATATATAACAATATTAATGTTAAATGTAAACAGGCTAAATGTCCCAGTTAAAAGACACAAACTGGCAAATTGGATACAGTCAAGGCCCATTAGTATGCTGTATTCAGGAGACCCATCTCATGTACAAAGACACACATAGGCTCAAAATAAAGGGATGGAGGAATATTTACCAAGCAAACGGAAAGCAAAAAAAGCAGGAGTTGCAATCCTAGTCTCTGATAAGACAAATTTTAAGTCAACAACGATCTAAAAAGACAAAGAAGAGCATCACATAATCGTAAAGGGATCAACGCAACAAGAAGAGCTAACTATCCTAAATATATATGCACTCAATACAGGAGCACCCAATACAGGAGGACCCAGATTCATAAATCAAGTTCTTAGAGACCTACAAAGAGACTTAGACTCCCATACAATAATAATGGGAGACTTTCACACCTCACTGTCAATATTAGATCAATGAGACAGAAAATTAACAATGATATTCAGGACTTCAATTCAGCTCTGGACCAAGCAGACCCAATTGACATCTACATAACTCTCCACCCTAAATCAACAGAATATACATTCTTCTCAGCACCATATCACACTTATTCCAAAACTGACCACATAATTGGGAGTAAAACACTCCTCAGCAAATGCAAAAGGATGGAAATCATAACAGTCTCTCCGACCACAGTGCAATCAAATTAGAACTCAGGATTAAGAATCTCACTCAAAACTGCACAACTACATGGAAACTGAACAACTTGCTCCTGAATGACTACTGGGTAAATAACGAAATTAAGGGAAAAATAAATAAGTTCTTTGGAACCAACAATAACAAAGACACAACATACCAGAATCTCTGGGACACAGCTAAAGCAGTGTTTAGAGCAAAATTTATAGCACCAAATGCCCACAGGAGAAAGTGGGAAAGATCTAAAATCAACACCCTAAAATCACAATTAAAAGGACCAGAGAAGCAAGAGCAAACAAATTCAAAAGCTAAGATAAGACAAGAAATAACTCAGATTAGAGAAGAACTGAAGGAGATAGAGACATGAAAAACCCTTCAAAAAAAATCAATGAATCTAGAAGCTGGTTTTTTGAAAAGATTAACAAAATAGATAGACCACTACCCAGACTATTAAAGAAGAAAACAGAGAACAATCAAATAGACACAATAAAAAATGATAAAGGGGAGATCACCACTGATCCCACAGAAATACAAACTACAATCAGAGAACACTATAAACACCTCTACACAAATAAACTAGAAAATCTAGAAGAAACTGATACATTCCTGGAAACATACACCCTCCCAAGACTAAATGAGGAATAAGTCAAATCCCTGAATACACCAATAACAAGTTCTGAAATTGAGGCAGTAATTAATAGCCTACCAACAAAAAAAAGCCCAGGATCAGATGGATTCACAGCCAAATTCTACCAGAGGTACAAAGAGGAGCTGGTACCATTCCTTCTGAAATTATTCCAAACAATAGAAAAAGACGGACTCCTCTCTAACTCATTTTATGAGGCCAGCATCATCCTGATACCACAACCTGGCAGAGACACAACAAAAACAGAAAACTTCAGGCCTATATCCCTGATGAACATGGATGCAGAAATCCTCAATAAAATACTGGCAAACTGAATACAGCAGCACATCAAAAAGTTTATCCACCACGATCAAGTCGGCTTCATCCCTGGGATGCAAGGCTGGTTCAACATATGCAAATCAGTAAACATAATCTATCACATAAACAGAACCAATGACAAAAACCACATGATTATCTCAACAGATGTAGAGAAGGCCTGCAATAAAATTCGACACTGCTTCATGCTAAAAGCTCTCAATAAACTAGGTATTGATGTGAAGTATCTCAATAAGAGCTATTTATGACAAACCCACAGCCAATATCATACTGAATGGGCAAAAACTGGAAGCATTCCCTTTGAAAACTGGCACAAGACAGGGATGCCCTGTCTCACCATTCCTATTCAACATAGTGATGGATGTTCTGGTCAGGACAATCAGACAAGAGAAAGAAATAAAAGGTATTCAAATAGGAAAAGAGAAAGTCAAATTCTCTCTGTTTGCAGATGACATGATTGTATATGTAGAAAACCCCATTGTCTCAGCCCTAAATCTCCTTAAGCCGATAAGCAACTTTAGCAAAGTCTCGGGATACAAAATCAATGTGCAAAAATCACAAGCATTCCTGTACACCAATAACAGACAAACAGAGAGCCAAATCATGAGTGAACTCTCATTCACAATTGCTACAAAGAGAATAAAATACCTAGGAATCCAACTTACAAGGGATGTGAAGGACCTCTTCAAGGAGAACTACAAACCACCACTCAAGGAAATAAGAGAAGACACAAATAAATGGAAAAACATTCCATGATCATGGATAGGAAGAACCAATATTGTGAAAATGGCCATACTGCCCAAAGTAATTTACAGATTCCATGCTATCCCCATCAAGCTCCCATTGACTTTCTTCACAGAATTAGGAAAAAAAAAACTACTTTAAATTTCATATGGAATCAAAAAAGAGTCCATATAGCCAAGACAATCCTAAGCAAAAAGAACAAAGCTGACAAAGAACACCAGCTGACTTCAAACTATACTACAAGGCCACAGTAACCAAACAGGATGGTACTAGTATCAAAACAGATACATAGGCCAATGGAACAGAACAGAGGCATCAGAAATAACACCACACATCTACGACCATCTGATCTTTGACAAACCTGACAAAAACAAACAATGGGGAAAGGATTCCATATTTAATAAATGCTGTTGGGAAAACTGGCTAGCTATATGCAGAAAACTGAAACTGGACTCCTTCCTTACACCTTATACTAAAATTAACTCAAGATGGATAAAAGACTTAAACATAAGACCTAAAACCATAAAAAGCCTAGAAGAAAACCTAGGCAATACCATTCAGGACACAGGCACTGGTAAAGACTTCATGACTAAAACACCAAGAGCAATGGCAACAAAAGCCAGAATTGACAAATGGGATCTAATGAAAGTAAATAACTTCTGCACAGCAAATGAAACTATCAGGCAACCTACAGAATGGGAGAAAATGTTTGTAATCTATCTATCTGACAAAGGGCTAATATCCAGAATCTACAAGGAACTTTAACAAATTTACAAGAAAAAAAAACCTAACAACCCAATCATAAAGTGGGTGAACGATATGAACAGGCATTTCTCAGAAGAAGACATTTATGAGGCCAACAAACATATGAAAAAAAGCTCATCATCACTGGTCATTAGAGAACTGCAAATCAAAACCATAATGAGATACCATCTGATGCCAGTTAGAATGACGATCATTAAAAAGCCAGGAAACAACAGATGTTGGAGATGATAAGGAAAAATAGGAACGCTTTTACACTGTTGGTGGGAGTATAAGTTAGTTCAACCATTCTGGAAGACCGTGTGGTGATTCCTCAAGGATCTAGAACTGGAAATACAATTTGACCCAGCAATCCCATTACTGGGTATATACCCAAAGGATTACAAATCATTCTACTATAAAGACACATGCACATGTATGTTTATTGCAGCACTATTCACAATAGCAAAGACTTGGAACCAACCCAAATGACCATCAATGATAAACTGCATAAAGAAAATGTGGCACATATACACCATGGAATACTATGCAGCCATAAAAAAGGATGAGTTCATGTTCTTTGCAGGGACATGGATGAAGCTGGAAACCATCATTCTCAGCAAACTAACACAGGAACAGAAAACCAAATACTGCATGTTGCCACTCATAAGTGGGAGATGAACGATGAGAACCCATGGACACAGGGAAGGGAATATCACACACAGGGGCCTGTTGGGGGGTGGGGAGCTAGGGGAGGGATAGCATTAGGGGTTACACCTAATGCTAAATGACGAGTTAATGGGTACAGCACACCAACATGGCACATGTATACATATGTAACAAACCTGCCCGTTGTGCACATGTACCCTAAAACTTAAAGTATAATAATAATAAAATTAAAAAAAAATTACTATTAAAAAAAGAATAAAATACATTTCAATTTCATTTAGCACTTAGTTCAGACTACTAAATAAATATTTATAGTTAAAAAATAATAATAGGCAGGGTAGTGGTGAATTTGGGAAGAAGGGAGTAACTGGGTGGGGAGCTCGCTGGGGGCTTCCGGAATGACCTATTTCTTTTTTTTTTTTTTTTTTGAGACGGAGTCTCGCTCTGTCGCCCAGGCGGGACTGCGGACTGCAGTGGCGCAATCTCGGCTCACTGCAAGCTCCGCTTCCCGGGTTCACGCCATTCTCCTGCCTCAGCCTCCCGAGTAGCTGGGACTACAGGCGCCCGCCACCGTGCCCGGCTAATTTTTTTTTTGTATTTTTAGTAGAGACGGGGTTTCACCTTGTTAGCCAGGATGGTCTCGATCTCCTGACCTCATGATCCACCCGCCTCGGCCTCCCAAAGTGCTGGGATTACAGGCGTGAGCCACCGCGCCCGGCCGACCTATTTCTTGACTTCAGTATTTGGGAGGATTTTTGAGGTGGGAACCTATTGTTTCTTCTCTTTTGTATGTTATTTATGTTATTTGTCAATAAAAAGTTTATATATATTTAAAAAAAGCCCGTAAAACCTGGGAAACATGGCAAAACCCTGTCTCTCCTAAAAATACAAAAATTAGCCAGGTGTGATGGCAGGTGCCTGTAATACCAGCCACTCGGGAGGTTGAGGTGGGAGAATCGCTTGCACCCGGGAGGTTGAGGCTGCAGTGGGCTGAGATGACGCCCTGCACTCCAGCCTGGGTGACAGAGCAAGATCTTGTCTCAAAAAAGAAAAAAAGAAAAAAAAAGAAACCCCAGGAGCTGTTGTGTGGAGGACAGTGTGTATGGATTCAAGATGGGAAGCGGGAGGCCAGTTAGTGGAGTGACCCCACGATGGTCCTGCTGACAGCTGGAGACCCCAGTGAGTGGCAGGAAGAAGTCAGAGGTGGGACAGAATTGGCTGTGCCCAGGGGGCATGGCTGGCAGGAGGTAGAGCACAGAGAAAGATCAGGGGCAGGAATGAGTGTTCGACTTTTAAAATGTTTAACTTTTTTTTAAAAAAACTATATTTTTGGCAGTTAAACTCTAGTTCTATTAGTCATTATAAGAGAGTGTGACCTGGCCGGGCGCGGTGGCTCACAACTGTAATCCCAGCACTTTGGGAGGCCGAGGTGGGCAGATCACTTGAGGTCAGGAGTTCAGGATCAGCCTGGCCAACATGGTGAAACCCCATCTGTTTGGTGATTTCCCGTAAGTTCTGTAAGCTTTCTTCACTCTTTTTATTGCTATTTTTTGCTGTCCTGATTGAATTATTTGTAACGATGTTGTCTTTGAGTTCACCGATGCTTTCTTCTGTTTGATCTGGTCTGTTGTTGAATCTTTCCAGTAAAATTTTCAGGTCAATTATGTTCTTCAGCTCCATAATTTCTGTTTGGCACATATTTAAAAAATATGTCCTGTCACTTTACTTAAATTCTCATTTTGTTCCTTCATTGTTCTCTTGACCTTAGGGGGCATCTTCATATCCCTTGTTTTGAATTCTCTGTCGAATAAATCATATAACTTCATTTCACTAGGGTCAGTTTCTGGAGATTTGTTTTATTTCTTTGAAATATCTTTGCCTGAGTTTTCATTTTCCTTGACTTTCCGCACTGGTGCCTTTCTCAGTCTTCATGACCTTGTCTTATACATGAGAAGACCCCCACCAATCATTCAGAGATTCTGAGGGTCTCAGCCAATTCTTTCCCTTCCCAGAGAGAAGAAGGTAGCTGTGGTTTTCGCCTGTTTGCTCTGCCTGAATCAGGGAAGAACACCATCGCATCTACTAGTCTAAGCTGTCATCTCTGTCCTCCCCTATGTGGCTGGACTGCTGGACCCAACAGAGCTCCAAGACTGGAAGGCTTGGAAGGTAGATGCCAGTTCTCTGTGCAACCCTGAAGAAGCTGAGGTGTGGGATGCATGGATCACCTCTTTCCTCTTCAGTGGGAAGCTGAGAGATGGAGTTCTTGTTTGCTTATTCTGTGCTGAGGAGGGAGAGGATCTACGGCATCTACCAGCCATGCCACTGTCTTCATTCTCCCCCAGGCAACCAGAGTGGGCCAGACTCCAGCAGGCCCAATGCTTGCAGGTCAGAGGCCAGACTCTGGGAGCTCTCTTGGAAAAGTTGGGGTGCTGGATGTGCTAACTGATCCTTCCCTCCCCTGGGAGAAGGTAGAAGCCAGGGGGTCTCTTCCTGATTGTAGGGTGCTGTGCCAGGGTAGGAATTCTTGAGAGAATCTCCCGAGCATCTTTGGTAAGTCTGGTTTTGTATTTTCCCAAGGTGCAGGAGATTTTCAATTAGTGTCATTTATTTATTTATTTATTTTTATTTTATTATTATTATTATTTTTGAGACGGAGTCTTGCCTTGTCGCCCAGGCTGGAGTGCAGTGGCGCGATCTCGGCTCACTGCAAGCTCCGCCTCCTGGGTTCACGTGATTCTCCTGCCTCAGCCTCCTGAGTAGCTGGGACTACAGGCGCCCGCCACCACGCCCAGCTAATTGTTTTGTATTTTTAGTAGAGACGGGGTTGCACCGTGTTACCCAGGATGGTCTCAATCTCCTGACCTCATGATCCACCCGCCTTGGTCTCCTAAAGTGCTGGGATTACAGGAGTGAGCCACCACGCCAGGCCTAGTGTCTAAATTTTTGTAAAGGGAATTTGTCCACAAATCATTGTTGAACGGCTGTGTTTGTTGAGGGGAAGGAGGGCCCAGACCTTCCTACTCCATTATCTTGTTGAAATCACTCCCCAAAAGATTTTTACTATTGCAATGTATAATCACAAATGCTGAATTAATAAATAATTTGAGTACTTCATAATATAAATGTAAGGATCAGTAGACAGTAAAATCTATCATCCTGCTGTGATTTTAGATAATCAAAGTGTTTGCTGAATCTGCATCCATTTGAAACTAAAATGCTAGTGTAACTGCTCCATGTAACATCCCAGCCAGCGGTACCCTGGTCAGTCGGTGATGCTCACAGAGAAGTCTGAGCCTGACAATTACTGTGGGATAATAAAAAGAAATGAGTTTATATTGCCCTTCCATTTGAGGAGGTCATAATTTAATCAGGAAGTAGAGAAAACACAGAAGATAAAAAATAACTATCACTGCATTAAATGGAACTACAGAAAAATGACACACGGAGAATTCTCCCAATGGAAAATTTTCAATAGTTAGAAGTTGTCCAGTAATGCAATGGGAGCCCTGAAAAGGAAATCCGTGGTGGGAACCCCCTCGGCTGGACTAGGAGGATGTTGGAATTTCCTTCCAGTTACATCCGGATGGGATTTGGGGACCGCTTTCCAGAGCTTCAGGGGGCAAATGTGCAACAGGACCATATTTGCACTTCAGGGAGCCCTTTCCAAGCAGAAACACAGGGGTAAAGTCAAGGGGGCCAGAGGCACACGTCAGGCCAATCGTCAATATAAAGATGTTAGAAAGGGATAAAAAATAGTATGTGAAGATTTTCAGAGTTTTCATAATTAAAGATTTTTACTGAACATAATCGAACATAATCAACCTTAGACTAATAAGAAACAGCCGATGGGGGCGTATTTTGTGAAGGATCTTGGTAAATGTGAACTGGACTAAACTGGCAGTGGGGAACCATGGAGAGCTGCGGCCAGGAGATGGCCCCGTTAGGTAAGCCTGGGCGGGCGTGTGCTGGGGCACCTTGCTCTGCACCCATCGCAGCTGTTTGTGTGTCTGGGCCCAACAAGGGCCATGGTGGATAAGGGATAAATGAGACTGGATACTCACTGCCCCAGCTCCCAGCAGAATCGTGTGGCAGGAGGCATGAAGCTAGATCCTGGAAAATGTGCTCGGATTTCCAAGGCCTGTCTGCATGCCACCTCCTCCCTCCGCTCCTCCTCCATCCACCGCCCCGGGTGGGAGGAACCTCCCTGGGAGTCCGTGGGAGTTTGTAGTTCATGTCAGAATTATTGACGCAGAGGCCAAGCGAGGGCTTCAGAATCCACAAACGTGAAGGGCAGCAGGGTTTCCCTCTGCTGGGGATGGGTGAGGGCCTCCCGCTGGAGATCCAGGATGCAGTTGGGTGTGATGTGGGGCCAGGAGATATGCGGGTGTGTGGGGTGTAAACTGGCTGCACACATGCCTTTGGGTAGAGCAATCACACGCATATTTCCTGCAGGTCAAGTAGATGTGTGACAAGTATCGGGTGTGGGTCATTTTACCCACAGTGAGTCCCAAAGAAACGTACCCCACAAATAGGCTGCAGGGGTGAACAGTGGAGGTGGAGTGGGAGGAGGGGGTTAGGCAGGAAAGGGGAGGCTGAGCCATCTCTCCATGTTAGAAAAGAAAGGAGGGGAAGACCCCATCAGGAAACTCAAAAGAATTGAAAAATGCCCAGTCCAACGTCCAGTCTTAGAGAAGCAGTGACCAGAGACCAGGAGGGCCCTTTCTTTTTGCTCAGTCAAGAGCCTTCTTTCTCCTCCATCCTCCTTCCCACCTGGCCCACATGGAGCCAGCGTTAGGAAGAGGGAGGGGGAGGGGGTGTGAGTGACCCCCATGCTCTAACCTCCCTTCCCTGTAATTCCCTAGAAATTAATGTTTGGGCTTTGCAGAGGGAAGGGAAGAACAGAACTTTGAATAGGAAAACAGACTGAAGGTTAAAAGACATCAGGTCTGTCTGGACAGGGCTAAGGGCTGGTGTCTTCATGGGCTGCACCTGAGATTGAGTGCACCCAGTTCTGCAGCTGCCGGCATGGGGTTGGGTCCCGAGCACGGAAGGGCAAGAATGTGTAAGATGTTTTCATATCTACATCCTCATGTTTTGAGCTTCCTTAATTATCCCAAGACTAGAAGCACATATGTTTTGCTTGGTCCTCCAACACCATTGAAGATGGCTTCTTTAAGGTGGCTTAAAGAATGGTTAAGGGATAGAGATCCACCAGTCCCTGGTAATGACATTGACAGTGAAGGCCTCTGCCAGGGGTGGGGCTCAGGGATGCAAGGGGCTGTCTGCTCTGGACCAGAGGGAGCCTCCGAACGGGATGGGGAGGAAGGAATGTCCCTCAGGACCCAGGAGCACAGAGGTGGGATTCCCATTTTCAAGTGAATAGGACAGAACAAGATTTTGAGCAACCAATTTCTTAGAACTACAAACTCAGTTAATCATGAAATTAAAGTGGAATTTGAGAGTGTGGAGTACACATTTCTCTTTATTTTAGCCAGCTAAAGTTACTGCTCTTCATGAAGAATCACCAACAATCGCTAAACTGATTTGAAGACAGATAACTGAGGAAAGGAAATCAGGTTTCAGCTGAGTAATCCGTGCTTCCCTTCCAGTAGTCAGCAGCAAAATCACCATGGTCACCCAGCTGGAGAAATGACATCCTATATTTGACCATACATTCCGGAAGAGAAAAGCCAACACGGAGATGGAAATAAGTTTCAGAAACAGTGTCTGATAATTACCAAGATAGAGGGGTGCCATTTTATGCATACTTCATTATCCTGGCGACGCGATTGCTTCTGGTACGGCCTGAACTGTGTCTCCCTGTAGAAGAGGTCCATGGAGATCCTCACCCCCAGTGCCTCAGAACATGACCTCGCTTGGAAATAGGGTCACTGCAGACGAAATGAGTTGAGATGAGGTCACCGGAGTGGGCTCCGAGGATGACAGTGCTCTTATGAGAAGAGGAGAAGGGACGAAGATGGGGAAGGTCCTGGGAGGCAGAGGCCGAGGGTGGAGTGATGCACCCACAGCCACGGACACTGAGGCGGAAGGAGGGATCCTCCCCTAGAGACGTGCAGGGAGCGAGGCCTTGCCCACACCTTGATTTCAGACTTCTGGCTCCCAGAACTGGAGAGGGTAAATTTCTATTGTTTTAAGCCACGCTGTGTGTGGTACTTTGTTATGGCAGCCCCAGAAACTAGTACAGTCCATCCCCCAAATGTAAATGGTGTTGCGGGGTCAGAAGTGACCTCAGAAAGCTTCTAGCAATACTCAAATGCGCATTCCTCACCCTCCATCAAGGCAAGGGATTCCCCGGTGCTAACAGCAAACCCCAACCACTCCCTGTAATGTGGTTCTGTCTCTACGTATTCCCTTACTGTACATCTTCTTTAAAAACAGCCTTGGGCGGGTGGATTGCTTGAGCCCAGGAGTTTGAGACCAGCCTGGGCTACGTGATGAAACCCCATCTCTACAAACAATAACAAAAACAAAAACAAAAATTAGCTGGGCATGGTGGCGCAAGCCTGTAGTCCCAGATACTGGGGAGGCTGCGGTGAGAGGATTAGAGCCTGGGGAGGTTGAGGCTGCAGGGAGCTGTGATCCTCCCACTGCACTCCAGCCTGGGCAACACAGCAAGACCCTACCTCAAAAAAAATTACCTTGGAGACACAAAATGTGGCAACATGCAAGGAATAAGTTTCATTTCTGAGGCTTTGAAACACACAGAATTATTGTTCCACTCATAGCTGAAAAGTAAAATAAAGCTGTTGATGACAAATTTATTACTATGGTAACTGCAATACAAGGATAATTTGTTTTTAAATGCAGTGTTACTATTGGAAAAACTGTACTTATAGGTTGCTAGGGGGCCTAGAAGACAACGAAACTAATGTTTTTCAGTTATCTTTTCTTATTTTAGTGCTACATGCTTTTTGCAGAAAATTTGGAAAATATTTAAAAGAAAATACAATTCAACCACAAACCCAGAGATAACCACCATTGGGATTACTGTGCATTCATACATTATTAGTTTTCATTGCTGTGTGTGATAGTTTGTGTGTGTCAACTAGGATATGGTACCATGGCATTTGCTCAAATACCTGAATGTGAAGGTGTGTTTTACAAGAGATTAATGCTCACATTGGCAGATTTTGAGTAAGGCAGATTTCCCTCCAAACTTGAGATGAAGTCACACTCTGTCGCCCAGGTTGGAGTGCAGTGGCGTGATCTCGGCTCAATGCAACCTCCACCTCCCGGGGTCAAGGGATTCTCCTGCTCCAGCCTTCTGAGTAGCTGGGATTACAGGCATGTACTACCATGCTCAGCTAATTTTTTTTCCTTTTTTTTTTTTTTTTTTTTTTTTAGTAAAGACAGCTTTCACCATGTTGGCCAGACTGGTCTTGAACTGCTGACCTCAAGTGATCCACCTGCCTCAGCCTCCCAAAGTTGTGGGATTACAGGCCTGAGCCACAGCACCCTGTTAAACACTGTTAATGTTTTAACAGTCTGTACACATATTATTTACTTGACAATTATTTTATTTATCTATTCAGTCCTTAATACATATTTACTTACCGAATGAATAAATGAAAAAATTCATAAATTAGGCATCATACGCCAAAGAAGACAATGAACTCATAGAACACATTGTCTTTACTATTGGGGAGAATTACATATAAGATGAGCTGTTTAGTAAAACTCGCTGCTGCTTCAAGGTTAGCACCGGGTTCTACTAATGGTGTGATTCCACTTAACTGTGTCCTCAGATCTTACAGATTGGACTCTTTTTTGCTCTGTTCTCTTCATTCAGTACATTCTCTGGAATCTCGAAGGTCGCACCTTCAATAGCCATTAGATTAAGAGACATGAACAGAAAGCCTTGCATGAATTTTTTCAGCTAAAAATACAGAAGTATTTAGCTGAACTATCCGTGCTGCTGCTGTTAGACATTCTGAAGGCTATGACAGTAAAGAGAGTGACTCATATTTAAGGAATGGTTGTTCTGAACACTCTTCATCGTGCGAATGTGAAAAATTATTTTTCTATTGTGCTACCAGAACTCTATTAGGAGTCACGTGATGAACTCAGGTAAGGCCCTTGGTTATGGGGCAGGAATGCACGTGTCACAGTTACAGGAAAACTCAGAAAAGTAGCTCATTGGTATAGTGAAGAGCTAGTAAATGCATTTTGTGGCTCTGAGTGTTATCATGAATGACTTAACTGTTTTGGAAAGTTAAGACTTCATATAATTAGAAATGGAAAAAAATCATGGTATTTTATTTATGTCTCTCAACCGAACTCCCTACCAAAAGCAGGGCCTGAAAAGAGAAAATGGCCACTATTAAATAATTTTACACATTATAAAAATTTGAAAAAGTAATTTAAAGAAAGAAAAATAATTAATAGTAGCTATATTTTTAATAGTAACCCTATCTCTCCTTCATTTCATTCATTCACCCCTTGAGTCAAAGTGGAAATCAAAGTCAAAATTGCTGAGTATTTAGATAACAGTGACTATAAAAGCATCATCTATCAATATATGTGTGATGTAGCTAAGATATATTCTTAGAAACATTCATAGCCTTATATACTTTTATTAGTAAATATACTTTCAGATAAAGAATGAAACAACAAATAGGTCTAAGAAAACAAAAGAAGAAATAGCAATAAAAGCAGAAGTTAATGAATTAGAAAACAACTGAAAATGTATAAATCCACCCAAGAGCCAGTTCCTCTCTGGCCTCACCCCAGATCACCATTTTCCTTTTTCAAGACCATCCCCCTGAAGCTGGCAGACCACTATAGGCAAAGTTATTTTTCCTGAGAAGCAAATCTATAAAAATCTCCTAAGAAAGTTATTTCCTGAAATTAAATAGTTCCTATAGATGAACGGGCAATGGATTTCTGCAAAGAGACCAGTATTTGGGATAAGGCTTTGCTGCCTAAAATTAGGAGATTCTCAAACTGCCCTTTGGAAGTAGGATGTTTTTAAGAAAGCATCCTGTAATGTTTTTAGGGAAACAGGCAATAAGCCAGTGTCTGTGGGATCCTTGCCCCTCCCGCTAGGACTTTCCAGAGGCAGGGGTTAAACTATGCATAGATTATGGGTATAATCAGCCCATTAGAAAAAAGCAATTTGGAAGACCTCCATTCTAGTCAGAATCTCCTTAGCTGCACTGATGAAGGTGAAAGCATAAAAGCTTCAGAGGGAGCCACATGCCCAGAAAATCCCCTTATGATGCTACCCAGAAGAAGAGATACCTTGGCAATAAGTAGACTGGTGGTTGAGCATTCGCAAATATTTTCTTTACAACACTCTGTGCAGTAATAAAAACATAGAGGCAGTTCCCCAACGGTAATGTTAAAGTCACGCAGCAGTGTGTCCGTCCAGTGACATCTGGGCCTAGAGTCCGCCACAGAAGGACGCACGTGGTACCTCTGCAGGCGGGACTCTGACCCCTAGGGCCTTCCACGCTGGTGCCACATCTGTGAACACGTTACGCTACACATCAAGCGGGCATGAAGGTTGCAGGTGGAATCGAGGTTGCTAACCAGCAGACCCCGGGGTAGTGAGAATCTCCTGATGACCCAGGCAGGCCCCCTCTCAGCGCAGGAGCATTGAAAGCAGAAGAGGAAGGCAGAGCAAGTCGGAGATCGATGTGGACGTGAGACAGGAGGGGTCTGCAGAGTGAGAGAGACCCCACACCCCGTCCAGCTGGCTCTGAAGATGCAGGCAGGGGCCAGAGCTAACACATCCCTGTGGGTGGCCTCTGGAAACAGGGGGCTGACTTCAGCTGACAACAAGGACACGGGGCTTCGGTCCCGCAACTGTAACATCTTGATGTGAAAGAAAACCACTCCCCACGCAGATCCCCGGAAAGAAGGGCCAACGGCCGACACCTCAGCCTTAGCCCAGAGAGACCCGGAAGGAGGGCAGGCTGCCGACACCTCGGCCTTAGCCCAGAGAAACCCGTGTTGGCTCATGACCTGCAGGACTTGGCTGAGGATAAACGCCCTGTTTTAAGACACTAAGTTTGTGGCAGTTTTTATGACAGCAACGGAAAACTAACAAAATATTTGGGAGAAAAAAGGAAATTGTACAGTAATGCGTGCAGTGGGACCTCATGTTTATTGTAAACTACGCCCATATGTGTATATTTTTATACACACACGAAAGTGTCCGGACAGGATAAAGTCATGGGCAGTGGAAACCCCTGGCGATGGACATGCCAGAGACAGAGTGACACTCCACTTCACACAATTACGTGTGTTAGCTCTTTACAATGAGTCATAATTTTACAGTTTAAGCATCAGTTTAATAACTGATTTAATGAATGGACTGCGAGTGTATGGAGAGGCTGGCTACAGTACTGCCCAGGCACTGCCCACGGCTGGGTGGTGGGGGCACGGGGCCGCCAGGTTTTCCAGAGACGCATCTCTAGGGATGTCTCCCTGTGGTGAGCTCGCTAAGCTGCATTTCTTGTTTGCACCTGCAATGGCACAGTTGGGTTAAAAAAAGAAAAGCTTACGTGGTCTGTGGATTATGTGTTTTTCAGTTGCAGTTCGCCATAAAAGTGCTGGATGGTAAAAGACAGCACTCACTACAGCCCCCTGAACTGACAGCCCTAAGGAGTATTTTTTTTTCTTTTTCGGTCTTTTGCCCAGGCTGGAGTGCAGTGGTGCAATCTCAGCTCACTGCAACCTCCGCCTCCCAGATTCACGCAATTCTCCTGGCTCGGCCACCTGGGTACCTGGGATTACAGGCACGGGCCAAAATGCCTGGCTAATTTTTTGTATTTTTAGTACAGACAGGGTTTTGCCATCTTGGCCAGGCTGGTCTCAAACTCCTGATCTCAAGTGATCTGCCCGCCTCCGCCTCCCAAAGTGCTGGGATCACAGGTGTGAGCCCTCATTCACAGCCAGGAGTATTAATGAACAAACCAGGCGCCAGTCTTAGGAGCCTCCCTCTTAACTAAGGTCTTCATGAAAACAATATCAGTTGTAGCAGGCCAAAAACTAGATGTTGAAGTAAAATATGAGAAACATAGAAATAACAGAAAAGAATAAGTAAAGCACAAAATTTAAAAATGGAAGTTTTTAATTTGTCTTTCATTGTACTTAAGTTTTTGATTTAACGTTAAGGACATTTTTTCTAATAGAAAAAAGTTAGAATAAGACTAGAGTTGGTATGCACAAGAAGAAAGAAATGAGGTAAAAAGTGAAGAATTTACTAGAGAAACAATGAAATCCATGAAGAGATGTAAGGTAAGATACTGGAAACAGCACGAAACAGGTGGATGGATAATGTTCTGGTGCCCTTCTTCATGGCTGCCTGTTGGGTCCGCCGGGTGTGGGGTGAGCTGCTTCCCTGATGGGCAGAGACCCCCAGGAGCAAGTGCCAAGTGCCATTCGAATCCCCAGGTCCTCACCTCATGCCCAGATGCCTGAGCTTCTGAGGAGAGACATCGTCAGGGACCTGGGAACCCCTAGGGCTGGACCGATCAGAGTGCAAATGCTCTCTCTGCACGTGCTGGCAACGGTTGCAACACAGGCTGGACCAGAATCTCCCCTCCGCTTCCCTCCAGCTGAAACTAAAAATGAAGAGCCAGCAGCCCACGGTAGTGGAGGAGACTGTGAGAGAGGATGCCTCCTCCCCAGGAGCATATGGCTTCCTATTAACTGAAGAACTGCAGGTTGCAGGTGTGTGGCATGCACGAGGAGTCTGGCGTCTGCTCCCGTTTTGACTAATAGAACCTAAAGGAGCTTAAGAAATCAGGTGAATGTGAATCAGCTTTGCACACGTCTTTTAAATTGATTATCTTTATGTTTAGGCTCTAAACAGGATTACTTTATCGGCGTCGCTAATAGCAGTTCATTTATTAAGTTGATTATCAATAATCCCTGACAAATGAGTCATAAGACGATGGTTTTATCCATTCATCCAGTGTGTGAGGAGCACATATAATGCCTCACAGTGAAGGCGCAATGGCAATGATAAATGAGACAGCTCTTGCTTTCAAAGGCTATAGGGACTCTCGGGAAAGCAAACAGGCATGTGGTAGAGACAAGCACGAGCAGTGAGGAAATATGCTGCAGGGGACGTAACTCCAGGGAGCCTTCCCAGAGGAGGCAATCAGAGCTGGGCATGGAAGGATGACCGGCAGCAAGGAGGAGACGGTGAACAGCCGACTTCAAGTCAGAGGAGCGAGGAGGAAGAAAATTGTCAGGGGAACAAGGCTTTCCGGGGGCAGATCACGAAGGATCTGCACTGGGATCAGGCAAACCCCTGCAACCAGCGCGTGGAGGGTCTCAAACAGAAAGCTGAGACGTGAGATCAGCCTTTGATGTGAGAGGCAGGACTTGGAGCTGGTGGCCGAGAGGTGCTAGGAGCTGAGTGATCTGAAGGAAGCTGTGAGAGCCCAGATACCAAATGGAGTCTCAGCATCAGGAAAGGCAAAAACGTCAGGACTGCTGGGCTTAGAAACACAGGAAGTGGCTCTGAAGGGTCTTTCATCTTTCTAGATGGATTCTGCAAAAACTGTGATTTCTTTGAAAGGCTTCTTAATCAGATGTCAGCCTGACTCTGCAAGGTCTCAAAAGCAGCCCCGACGCTCCCTGCCTACGGAGGCACAGCCACCCGCCACAGGCCAGTGGATGCTAGGAGATCCCCAGGCCAGGTACCCAGCTTGCCCAGCATGGTGGTGTTACGCTGTGTGGAGCAAAAGGTGATCCCAGGGCAGGCTCATGGGCCAGAGGAATATCTGAGCCCGTCTTCTGAGCTCTTCTCAGATGCGTCCATCAATAGCTGGTGTTCTCTTGGTTACTCACTTGATCACCTCACCCAACCCATGGCAGATGGGAGGGAGAAGAGGCTTGGAGCCATCTCATGACTTAAATAGCCTACTCACAAACATATCCCAAAACGGAAGTGTCAGGAGGCTGAGGTATGCCCCTTCTCTTCCCGTACAAGAATACAGTTTATTTCTCACCTTGGAGAAATGGCTTCACAGGATTCTGTTTTATCCTCCACGATCCATTGTTTCATAAGATTCACTTTTGCAGCTCTGGTTCAGATGCTGAATGGGTCAGTGCGTCTCACTTTCTGCATGGCTGTAAGAATTTCCGCAAATGCACGGTCATGCAGCCACCACCAAAACCGAGACATGCAGCCCTCCCTCTCACTGCAGTTCTAAGTTCCTGCTGCCCTCTTCTTTCAGAGCCATGCTTAAAGAACTTCCTTTCTTAGGAAGCCGAGGAGGGTGGGCCATTTCAGGTCAGGAGTTTGAGACCAGTCTGGCCAACATGGTGAAACTCTTGTCTCTACTAAAAATATAAAATACAAAAATTAGTCGGGTGTGGTGGTGCACACTTGTAATCCCAGCTGCTCGGGAGGCTGAGGCAGGAGAATCGTTTGAACCCAGGAGAAAGAGGTTGCAGTGAGCTGAGACTGTGCCACCACACTCCAGCCTGGGTGACGGAGCGAGACTCCATCTTGGCGGGGGAAAAGAAAAGAACGAACTTCATTTCCTATTTCTTGCAGTACTGGTCTGCTAGCAATGAATTTCCCTAGCTTTTTTTTTTTTTTCCTAAGGATGACTTTTTTCATTTTGATTTATGAAAGATATTTTCTCTCATTCTAGAATTCTGGGCTAACGTCTTTTCCTGTTTTAAGTATGTCACTTTACGGTGTTCTGGCCAGAATCATTTACGATGAAAAGTGTGCTGTAATTCTTTATTCTTCTGTACATAATGGTCTATAATTTTCTTTCTTTCTTTTTTTTTTTTTTTAAGGTTTTATCTGTATCCTTCACTTCTGGTAGTTTGACTGTGGTGTGTACATGTGTGTGGGGCTTGTCTGTATCCTTCACTTCTGGTAGTTTGACTGTGGTGTGTACATGTGTGTGGGGGTTTGTCTGTATCCTTCACTTCTGGTAGTTTGACTGTGGTGTGTACATGTGTGGGGTTTTATCTGTATCCTTCACTTCTGGTAGTTTGACTGTGGTGTGTATGTGTGCGGGGTTTTGTCTGTATCCTTCACTTCTGGTAGTTTGACTGTGGTGTGTAGACGTGTGTGGGGTTTTTTCTGTATCCTTCACTTCTGGTAGTTTGACTGTGGTGTGTACATGTGTGTGGGGATTGTCTGTATCCTTCACTTCTGGTAGTTTGACTGTGGTGTGTAGATGTGTGGTGTTTTGTCTGTATCCTTCACTTCTGGTAGTTTGACTATGGTGTGTATATATGTGTGGGGGTTTGTCTGTATCCTTCACTTCTGGTAGTTTGACTGTGGTGTGTAGACGTGTGTGGGGGTTTGTCTGTATCGTTCACTTGTGGTAGTTTGACTGTGGTGTGTGTATGTGTGTGGGGTTTTATCTGTATCCTTCACTTCTGGTAGTTTGACTGCGGTGTGTATATGTGTGGAGTTTTGTCTGTATCTTTCTGGTTGACTGTGGTGTGTAGATGTGTGTGGTGTTTTGTCTGTATCCTTCACTTCTGGTAGTTTGACTGTGGTGTGTGTATATGTGTGGGGTTTTGTCTGTATCTTTCTGGTAGTTTGACTGTGGTGTGTAGATGTGTGTGGAGTTTTGTCTGTATCCTTCACTTCTGGTAGTTTGACTGTGGTGTATATATGTGTGGAGTTTTGTCTGTATCCTTCACTTCTGGTAGTTTGACTGTGGTGTGTATATGTGTGTGGGGTTTTTTCTGTATCCTTCACTTCTGGTAGTTTGACTGTGGTGTGTGTATATGTGTGGAGTTTTGTCTGTATCCTTCTCTTCTGGTAGTTTGACTGTGTTGTGTCGATGTGTGTGGGGTTTTGTCTGTATCCTTCTCTTCTGGTAGTTTGACTGTGGTGCATATATGTGCGGGGTTTTGTCTGTATCCTTCACTTCTGGTAGTTTGACTGTGTTGTGTAGATGTGTGTGGGGTTTTGTCTGTATCCTTCTCTTCTGGTAGTTTGACTGTGGTGTGTAGATGTGTGGTGTTTTGTCTGTATCCTTCACTTCTGGTAGTTTGACTGTGGTGTGTAGATGTGTGTGGGGTTTTGTCTGTATCCTTCACTTCTGGTAGTTTGACTGTGGTGTGTGTGTATATGTGTGGGGTTTTGTCTGTATCCTTCACTTCTGGTAGTTTGTGGTGTGTGTAGATGTGTGCAGGGTTTTGTCTGTATACTTCACTTCTGGTAGTTTACTGTGGTGTATAGATGTGTGGGGTTTTGTCTGTATCCTTCACTTCTGGTAGTTCGACTATGGTGTGTAGATGTGTGGGGTTTTGTCTGTATCCTTCACTTCTGGTAGTTTACTGTGGTGTGTAGATGTGTGGGGTTTTGTCTGTATCCTTCACTTCTGGTAGTTTGACTGTGGTATGTAGATGTGTGGGGGTTTGTCTGTATCCTTCACTTCTGGTAGTTCGACTGTGGTGTGTAGATGTGTATGGGGTTTTGTTTCTGGTGTTGATCTGTCTTTGAGATTTTCTCAGGTTCTTCAGTCTGTGATGTGATCTATCTTTCTAATGTTAGAAACTCCCTGGCATTAGTGCTTCCCACGTTTCTTCTGTTCTGCTCTGCTTTCGTCTTTCTGGCTGGGATTCAGGTTCTATGTGTGTGAGAACATTTGATAGCTCTCTGCAGCTCTCGGATGCTCTTTTCTGCCTTTCGATTCCCACGCTTTCTCTTCGAGCCTCCGCTGGGTAATTTCCATGAACCTATCTTCAAGGTCACTGATTTCTTCGTTATGTCGAGCCTGCTGATGACTCACCAGCAAAATCCTTTATTTCTGAAACCATGAACCCCATCTGTGGTCTTTCCCTCTGCCTCTTTCTTAGAGTTCTCCTCTCTCCACTGCTTCCCATTTAGCCAGGCCCACTGTGCCGCTGCTTGATCGCATAACTATAGTTACTTTCACGTTTTCTCTGAGAGTTTGAAGGAACATCCATGTCACTTCTGAATCTTGTATTGATTGCCCTGTGTCTTGAGAATGAGCTTTAATTTTACGGTGTCTCCTAAATTTTGATGAAATCTTGGTCATCGTGTACAGAACAGTGGGAATGGATGTGAATGGTATCAGTGCTGGGAAATGGGCGGGGCTCTTATTCCATCAGGCTTTCGGTGGAGGTGTTGAGGCCATCAGGTCAGGTGCAGAGCTGGCTGAGTCGTGCTGCCCTGCGGCTGCCTGTGCTGCAGCACACACTTTACCTCCTCCAGAGCAGCCTTTTGCTGAGGGTGGTAGCAGCGCATGGTGGGGGCTTCCTTAGTGCCCCCACATCACCCAAACCAACGCCCACGATGGGCACTTAGGCAATGTACCGTGTCACGCAACGATATGTAACACAATAGTGAACGTGGCTGTATTTTTTACGTCTTTGCATGCTTCTCAGGAATTTCTCTAGAATAAACTTTTAGATTTTCAGTTTTAAATGGCATGCTCTCCAAACGTTTTAGTTATTGATAAGGTAGATGAATAGTCTTTGCTTGGCCTTTATTCATTTTTGCACTGCGTCATTCATTTTTTTCTTTATTGATTTGTAAGGCAATCTTTATATATTAAAAATATAAACATTTGTTACTTATATTGAAAAACTCTCAGGTTTTTATTATGATTTTACTTTGGCGATATTATTTTTAGTTTGCTTGTTGGCTTGTATCATAAATAAGTTTTTAATTTTATGAATTTAAAGTGGTATCTTTATAATTACGCCCCATGGAATCATGCCCAGATACGTCTTCTCCACCCCCAGAGTACAGAATACTCATATACATATGTGTCTATATATATACACACATATATGTGTGTGTATATATACGATTTTAATGCTTACATATTTAATCCATCAGAATTTATCTTTACATATGATATGAAGTATCTTTGAAATAAGCTCTTTTTTCTTTATAAATTTAAAGTGCTACCTTCATTAGAGAATGACCCAGAGACATTCAAAATTATTAGAGCTTTGACTTTCTAATTGAACTAAGCAGAAAAAAAAGCAAAGGCCTCCAAATGAAATTATTTGGTCTACCTTTCATCACAATCAGAATTGAATTAGTTATTCAAGTATTTCAAATGTTAATATATAAGCAAGTCCAGTATCTCAATCACTAATACATAAGCTAATTTAGAAATGCAGTAAATTGGATTCAGTAGGACTTGGAATTTGCATTTCAATTAGTTGATAATAATTCTAAGTGGTGCTCTGCACGTGGGCAGGGTCTGACCCACAGACGGGGCCATCAGCCCTGGGAATCTGACCTTCCCGATCGGGGACACAAGGCCGAGGGTCTGTACACCAGGGCATGAGACAGGTGGGACAGGATTTCTGCTTGTTTTTATTTTTATTTTTGAGAGCAAAAGGCCTTCTATTATCTTGCACTATGTTAGAGAACATAGCAGGGTATAAGTGAAAACGCTTATATATATAATTAGGATGTGCATATTAAGTGATTAACGAGAAGACTGATTTTTTCTCAGTTTTACAGCAGGAAGATAAGATGGTTTTTAACAGAATAATTCTGGCATTGTTCCAAGAGGTGGAACATTTTGAAGCAGAATTCCTGCAGTCTTTGCAGGAGTGCTCTGCTCTGTGGTTTAGAAGGAGGGCTGATAACAGCCAATTAAAGACCCAACCTTCTTCCAGTCCCGTACCAGGCAGTCAAAAAAGAACTGCTGACACGTTCCATCTCACGGGACGGCACAGTCAACGCAGGTGCCCAGAGCCTCCCAAGGACTTGGTGTGCCCGATAACTTCCGGGGTAAGAACCTGAACCCATACCTATCACATTAAAATTAAATACAATTAGCAAGTCGATCTTCCCATAACATTTGCATTCTTAACTATTGTTCAGGTGAAGAGAAGTTGTTCATGTACACCAAGAGGAGAATAAAAGCCTCATGGAGACAAGCAAACATTCATTATCATTTTTATCATTTGAATCACTTGGAAACGTAAAAGATTTTGTCAGTCAGCTCCTGCTGGGAAGCTCTTTTGTGCAAAAAAGAGAAAAACACTCAGTGCACTGTATCCAATTACTTTCAATTCTGTTTAAAATACAATTATAGAATCACCAATTTTGTTTAAAGCAGACTTTGGGTATAAGATAAACTTAGTATAAGAGTGTCTACGTAATTTACCAACAAAACGTTATCAGATTACATTAATGCAGATTTCCACACCTTGCCTCTGGCAGCTATGAGCACTCGCGCTGGTGCCAGTGGCACCTCGGAGGCACCGGGCGGGGCTCAGGACTTGCGGGGCCAGGGGCAGGTTGAGGAGGAAGGTCAGTGCTGACCACGCTGAGTGCTGCCCGTTCCCCAGCATGCTGTGTGCCCCTGTGGGAATCCGAGGTTGCTGCTCCTTCCTGGGTCCTGCAGGCTCCTCTCACTCCCCTGGCCCCGGGCTGCTCTTGACACCTGTCCCTGCTGCAGGGACACCAGGCTGCAGCCTCCAGCAGGGATGCCTTTCCTCTTCCATTTCTCACAATAAACCTCTTGTTGGATATCCTGTGGCATTTACTTGCTTTAAATTTTTTTTTTTTTTTTTTTTTTTGAGAGAGAGTGTAATTCTGTGGCCCAGGCTGGAGGGCAATGGCACGATCTTGGCTCACTGCAACCTCCGCCTCCCGGGTTCAAGTGATTCTCCTGCCTCAGCCTCTCGAGTAGCTGGGATTACAGGCATGTGCCACTACACCAGCTAATTTTTGAATTTTTAGTAAAGATGGGGTTTTGCCATGTTGGCCAGGCTGGTCTCGAACTCCTGACCTCAGTTGATCTGCCCACCTTGGCCTCCCAAAGTGCTGGGATTACAGGCATGAGCCACCGCGCCCAGCCCCTTAAAAAATTTTTATCGTATATTGACAAAGTATGTGTATTTACGGGGTTAAAAAGTGTGTTGTGATTTTAAGTACAATGTAGAAAAATGAAGTGAATTAACACAGCTATCAGCTGAAATATTTCACATTTTTTGTGATGAGAACATTAGAAATTCACTCAGTGATACTGAAATGTGCAGTACTCATTTACTTGCAGTATTCAGTGTGCTACTGATCTAAAAACATGAAGAATATCCTCCTGTCTCGGTTACTGTAGCCTGTAGTATAGTTTGAAGTCAGGTAGTGTGATGCCTCCAGCTTTGTTCTTTTGGCTTAGGATTGTCTTGGCGATGTGGGCTCTTTTTTGTTTCCATAAGAACTTTAAAGTAGTTTTTTCCAATTCTGTGAAGAAAGGCATTGGTAGCTTGATGGGGATGGCACTGAATCTATAAATTACCTTGTACTGGTACCAAAACAGAGATATAGACCAATGGAACAGAACAGAGCCCTCAGAAATAATACCACACATCTACAACCATCTTATCTTTGACAAACCTGACAAAAACAAGAAATGGAGAAAGGACTCCCTATTTAATAAATGGTGCTGGGAAAACTGGCTAGCCATACGTAGCTGAAACTGGATCCCTTCCTTACACCTTATACTAAAATTAATTCAAGATGGATTAAAGACTTACATGTTAGACCTAAAACCATAAAAATCCTAGAAGAAAACCTAGGCATTATCATTCAGGACATACGCATGGGCAAGGACTTCATGTGTAGAACACCAAAAGCAATGGCAACAAAAGCAAAAATTGACAAATGGGATCTAATTAAACTAAAGAGCTTCTGAACAGCAAAAGAAACTACTATCAGAGCGAACAGGCAACCTACAGAATGGGAGAAAATTTTTGCAATCTACTCATCTGACAAAGGGCTAATATCCAGAATCTACAAAGAACTCAAATAAATTTACAAGAAAAAAATAAACAACCCCATCAACAAGTGGGCGAAGGACATGAACAGACACTTCTCAAAAGAAGACATTTATGCAGCCAACAGACACATGAAAAAATGCTCATCATCACTGGCCATCAGAGAAATGCAAATCAAAACCACAATGAGACACCATCGCACACCAGTTAGAATGGCGATCATTAAAAAGTCAGGAAACAACAGGTGCTGGAGAGGATGTGGAGAAATAGGAACACTTTTACACTGTTGGTGGGACTGTAAACTAGTTCAACCATTGTGGAAGACAGTGTGGCGATTCCTCAAGGATCTAGAACTAGAAATACCATTTGACCCAGCCATCCCATTACTGGGTATATACCGGAAGGACTATAAATCATGCTGCTATAAAGGCACATGCACATGTATGTTTATTACAGCACTATTCACAATAGCAAAGACTTGGAACCAACCCAAATGTCCATCAATGATAGACTGGATTAAGAAAATGTGGCACATATACACCATGGAAAACTACGCAGCCATAAAAAGGACAAGTTCATGTCCTTTGTAGGGACATGGATGAAGCTAGAAACCATCATTCTGAGCAAACTATCACAAGAACAAAAAACCAAACACCACATGTTCTCACTCATAGGTGGGAATTGAACAATGAGAAGACTTGGACACAGGAAGGGGAACATCACACACTAGGGCCTGTTATGGGGTGGGGGGAGGGGGGAGGGAAAGCATTAGGAGATATATCTAATGTAAATGACGAGTTAATGGGTACAGCACACCAACATGGCACATGTATACATATGTAGCAAACCTGCACATTGTGCACATGTACCCTAGAACTTAAATAATAATAATAATAATAATAATAATAATAATAAAGAATATCCTCCTGTCTCACGGAGGGTGGTTCTTTTGACCCTCAACTCTCCATTTTCCGCACCCCCAGCTTCTGTAACCTCCATTCCACTGTCTGCACCTGTGAGTTCCATTGTTTTAGGTCCTGTATTTAGGTGGGGATTTGCGGTGTTTGTTTTTCTGTATTTTGGCTTATTTCATGTAACCTAATGCCCTCTGCTTCCATTCACGTCTGCCTTCCCACGTTTGCCACAGCACTGCTCACAATCGCCAAGTCACAGAGTCAACCTCTGTCATCAAAGGGTGAGTGGATGAAAATGCAGCAGATACGGTGTGGAATACTAGTCACTCCTAAAGAGGAAGAAACTCTGTCGTCTGTGATGATTTTTTGTATTGTTCATAGTCTCTTGTTGTGCGTTATTATGACCTAACATTGCGTTTCTCCCTCGCTTGCCTCTCTCTGTCCCTGTGTAGTGAGTGTGTGCACACGTGTGTGTTTGTGGAAGATACTCAGTCACTAGCAGGAAGCACAACAGTGGATTCCAAATACAATTCTTAGGCGAAGAAACATCTTCAAGACTCATTAGGTATTTTCTCAATGCTTGCAAAATCTCATGAGTCACATATTTATGCAGAGTGAGATGCCTGTCACACGTATGTTCGTGGGTTTCCTTTCTTGTGTCCGGAATGATCAGGTTGAACCATATACAATTTCTGCTTTTAAATATTGGCTGATTATTGGCAGTTTAATGTGGGTCAACCAACTTTATCAACTCAGCACAGTAAAGGTGCTTAGCTCAGCCTAAGTGGAAGCTTTTATTTGCAGTAACACATGATTTGGGTCATAACAAAATGGAAATGTCAACTAACTGTTTAATAAATGTGCTTGCTCGATGGTATTGAGGCTCTGGTGGGAAGACCACACACAGGACTCATCACCGAGGGAGGTGACTCATCACCGAGGGGAGATTCTGCTGCCTCCGGGGGCAGGGGGCAGCATGGTTTAGCCGCGTAAAACTGAGAGACCTAGAGTTGACTTCCGGTGGTGTGACTCGCTGAGACAGGGTCTTCATCTCTAAGGCTTGGGTCATGGTGTTGGCTTCAGCACAGTTACCAGAGCGGCGAGGGCTGGGATGGCTGTTGTTCTTGGTGTATTACAAGTCCTGCAATTATTGCCGGTGCTGTGCCTAGTTCATTGCTCTCCTGTCTCACGTTACCCCCCATACACTAAAATCTGGTGACGCAGAACCTGTTTCCATTTTCTGATTGCACCTGAGTGATTCAACAGAGTTGGCATTCAACATGAAATAGTGTTACTATAAAATATTATTTCCCTCTCCCGTAAATATGCTGTCTTTGGGAACTTGGTCCTGCTCTGTGCAGGGCTGATGCTCTCCTACCCACCGCTTACCCTAATGCTCTAGGGTGGACCCCTCAATGCAAATGTGAGTCTGCAGGGAGACAAGCCTGGAGCTCCCAGAATGGGTTAGGAGTCCTGTCTCACGCATTTAGAGAGCACCTCACTTTACACTTGTAAGTTACCTACGCCACTTATGACTACTCACTGAAGTGCACTGGGTCTGTTAGATTCTAAGGGGTCAGCTCACACCTTCTGTAAAGGCCCAGATGTAAGTATTCTAGGGTCTGCCGGCTGTCGGGGTGCCTCACACCTGCTCAGCCCTGCCTGAAGCTGGGAGGTACCCACAGCAACATGATGACCAGTGAGCGGGCCACATTCCAATAAAACTTTATTCACAAAAAAGGCCCTTGGCAGGCCCTTGCTTGCCAGCATCTGGACTGAAAGCTCCATTCTCTGGTGTTAGTTTACCTGCATTTGGGCACCAGAACAGCACGTGATGTTTCCTGCATACTTCCCGAATAAACGAGCTGTTATTATTGATGACTAAATATAACTTAAGCAAGAATATGCTCCCCAAGCTGTGAAACCCACGGATGGCAGTCAGGGGTCTAAAGGACTTTTCTCTCAGACACTCTTCACCCTTTCTGTCTTCTCAATCCCATTAGATGCCCCCACAGTTCACCTTCTCTCCTCTCCATCTCATCAGACGCCCCCACAGTTCACCCCTCTCTCCCCTCCATCTCATCAGACGCCCCCACAGTTCACCCCTCTCTCCCCTCCATCTCATCAGATGCCCCCACAGTTCACCCTCTCTCCTCTCCATCTCATCAGACACCCCCACAGTCCACCCTCTCTCCTCTCCATCCCAGAAGACGCCCCTCCAGTTCACCCTCTCTCCTCTCCATCTCATCAGATGCCCCTGACACTTCACCCTCTCTCATCTCCATCTCATCAGATTACCCCTCCAGTTCACCATCTCTCCTCTCCATCTCATCAGATGCCCCCACAGTTCACCCCTCTCTCCTCTCCATCTCATCAGATGCCCCCACAGTTCACCCTCTCTCCTCTCCATCTCATCAGACACCCCCACAGTCCACCCTCTCTCCTCTCCATCCCAGAAGACGCCCCTCCAGTTCACCCTCTCTCCTCTCCATCTCATCAGATGCCCCCAATACTTCACCCTCTCTCATCTCCATCTCATCAGACACCCCTCCAGTTCACCATCTCTCCTCTCCATCTCATCAGATGCCCCCACAGTTCAACCCTCTCTCCTCTCCATCTCATCAGATGCCCCCACAGTTCACCCCTCTCTCCTCTCCATCTCATCAGATGCCCCCACAGTTCACCCCTCTCTCCTCTCCATCTCATCAGACGCCCCCACAGTTCACCCTCTCTCCTCTCCATCTCATCAGACACCCCCACAGTCCACCCTCTCTCCTCTCCATCCCAGAAGATGCCCCTCCAGTTCACCCTCTCTCCTCTCCATCCCATCAGTCGCCCCCACAGTTCACCCTCTCCTCTCCATACCAGCAGACGCCCCCACAGTTCACCCTCTCTCCTCTCCATCTCATCAGACGCCCCCACAGTTCACCCTCTCTCCTCTCCATCCCAGAAGATGCCCCCACAGTTCACCCTTCTCTCCTCTCCATCTCATCAGACGCCCCACAGTTCACCTCTCTCGTCTCTATTCCAGCAGATGCCCCCACAGTTCACCCCTCTCTCCTCTCCATCTCATCAGACAACCCACAGTTCACCCTCTCTCCTCTCCATCCCAGAAGACGCCCCCACAGTTCACTCCTTTCTCCTCTCCATCTCATCAGATGCCCCCACAGTTCACCTCTCTCCTCTCTATTCCAGCAGATGCCCCCATAGTTCACCCCCTCTCCTCTCCATCTCATCAGATGCCCCCACAGTTCACCCTCTCTCCTCTCCATCTCATCAGACACCCCCACAGTTCACCCTCTCTCCTCTCCATCCCAGAAGATGCCCCTCCAGTTCACCCTCTCTCCTCTCCATCTCATCAGACGCCCCCACAGTTCACCCTCTCTCCTCTCCATCTCATCAGACATCCCCACAGTTCACCCTCTCTCCTCTCCGTCTCATCAGACGCCCCCACAGTTCACCCTCTCTCCTCTCCATCTCATCAGACGCCCCCACAGTTCACCCTCTCTCCTCTCCATCCCAGCAGACGCCCCCACAGTTTACCCTCTCTCCTCTCCATCTCATTAGACGCCCCCACAGTTCACCCTGTCTCCTCTCCATCCCAGCAGACGCCCCCACAGTTTACCCTCTCTCCTCTCCATCTCATCAGACGCCCCATAGTTCACCCCGTCTCCTCTCCATCCCAGAAGACGCCCCCACAGTTCACCCTCTCTCCTCTCCATCTCATCAGACGCCCCCACAGTTCACCCTCTCTCCTCTCCATCCCAGAAGATGCCCCCACAGTTCACCCTTCTCTCTCTCCATCTCATCAGATGCCCCCATAGTTCACCCCCTCTCTCCTCTCCGTCCCAGAAGATGCCCCTCCAGTTCACCCCTCTCCCCTCTCCATCTCATCAGACACCCCACAGTTCACTCCTCTCTCCTCTCCATCCCAGAAGACAACCCTCCAGTTCACCCCTTTCTCCTCTCCATCTCATCAGACACCCCACAGTTCACCCCTCTCTCCTCTCCATCTCATCAGACACCCCACA